>NC_000016.10:37462550-37762550 GCF_000001405.40 Homo sapiens
TCCCTCTACCATTATATGACGAAATCCCGTTTCCAACGAAGGCATCTAAGAGGTCCAAATATCCACTTGCAGACTTTACAAACAGAGGGTTTCCAGAATGCTGTATGAAAAGAAAGGTTTAACTCTGTGAGCAACTCCAAGACACATAATTGTCAGATTCACCAAAGTTGAAATGAAGGAAAAAATGTTAAGGGCAGCCAGAGAGAAAGGTCGGGTTACCCTCAAAGGGAAGCCCATCAGACTAACAGCGGATCTCTCGGCAGAAACCCTACAAGCCAGAAGAGAGTGGGGGCCAATATTCAACATTCTTAAAGGAAAGAATTTTCAACCCAGAATTTCATATCCAGCCAAACTAAGCTTCTAAGTGAAGGAGAAATAAAATACTTTATAGACAAGCAAATGCTGAGAGATTTTGGCACCACCCAGGCCTGCCTTAAAGAGCTCCTGAAGGAAGAATTCTTAGTAACTTCTTTGTGTTGTGTGTATTCAACTGACAGAGTTGAACCTTCCTTTAGACAGAGCAGATTTGAAAGTCTCTTTTTGTGGAATTTGCAAGTGGAGATTTCAAGCGCTTTGAGGCCAAAAGCAGAAAAGGAAATATTTTCCTATAAAAACTCGACAGAATCATTCTCAGAAACTGCTCTGTGATGTGTGCGTTCAACTCACAGAGTTTAACTTTTCTTTTCATTCAGCAGTTTGGAAACACTGTTTGGAAAGTCTGCACGTGGATATATTGGCCTCTTAGAGGCCTTCGTTGGAAACGGGTTTTTTTCATGTAAGGCTAGACAGAAGAAATCTCAGTAACTTCCTTGTGTTGTGTGTATTCAACTGACAGAGTTGAACCTTCCTTTAGACAGAGCAGATTCGAAACACTCTTTTTCTGCAATTTGCAAGTGGAGACTTCAAGCGCTTTGAGGCCAAAGGCAGAAAAGGAAATATCTTCGTATAAAAACCCGACAGAATCATTCTCAGAAACTGGTCTGTGATGTGTGCGTTCAACTCACAGAGTTTAACTTTTCTTTTCATTCAGCAGTTTGGAAACACTCTGTTTGTAAAGTCTGCAAGTGGATATCTTGGCCTCTTAGAGGCCTTCGTTGGAAACGGGTTTTTTCATGTAAGGATAGACAGAGGAATTCCCAGTAACTTCCTTCTGTTGTGTGCATTCAACTCACAGAGTTGAATGATTCTTTACACAGAGCAGATTTGAGACACTCTTTTGGTGGAATTTGTAAGTGGAGAATTCAGCCGCTTTGAGGTCAACGGTAGAAAAGGAAATATCTTCGTATAAAAACTAGACAGAATGATTCTCAGAAACTGTTTTGTGATGTGTGCGTTCAACTCACAGAGTTTAACCTTTCTTTTCAAAGAGCAGTTAGGAAACACTCTGTTTGTAAAGTCTGCAAGTGGATATTCAGACCTCTTTGAGGCCTTCGTTGGAAACGGGATTTCTTCATATTATGCTAGACAGATGAATTCTCAGTAACTTCCTTGTGTTGTGTGTATTCAACTCACAGAGTTGAACGATCCTTTACACAGAGCAGATTTGAAACACTGTTTTTCTGGAATTTGCAAGTGGAGATTTCAGCCGCTTTGAGGTCAATGGTAGAAAAGGAAATATCTTCGTATAAAAACTAGACAGAATGATTCTCAGAAACTCCTTTGTGATGTGTGCGTTCAACTCACAGAGTTTAACCTTTCTTTTCACAGAGCAGTTAGGAAACACTCTGTTTGTGAAGCCTGCCAGTGGATATTCGGACCTCTTTGAGGCCTTCGTTGGAAACGGGATTTCTTCATATTATGCTAGACAGAAGATTTCTCAGTAACTTCTTTGTGTTGTGTGTATGCAACTCACAGAGTTCAACCTTCCTTTAGACAGAGCAGATTTGAAACACTCTTTTTGTGGAATTTGCAAGTGGAGATTTCAAGCGCTTCGATGCCAATGGTAGAAAAGGAAATATCTTCGTATAAAAACAAGACAAACTCGTTCCCAGACACTGCGTAGTGATGTGTGTGTTTAACTCACAGAGTTTAACCTTTCTTTTCATACAGCATTCTGGAAACCCTGTGTTTGTAAAGTCTGCAAGTGGATATTTGGACCTCTTAGATGCCTTCGTTGGAAACGGGATTTCTTCATATAATGCTAGAGGGAAGAATTCTTAGTAACTTCTTTGTGTTGTGTGTATTCAACTGACAGAGTTGAACCTTCCTTTAGACAGAGCAGATTTGAAAGTCTCTTTTTGTGGAATTTGCAAGTGGAGATTTCAAGCGCTTTGAGGCCAAAAGCAGAAAAGGAAATATTTTCCTATAAAAATTAGACAGAATCTTTCTCAGAAACTGCTCTGGGATGTGTGCGTTCAACTCACAGAGTTTAACTTTTCTTTTCATTCAGCAGTTTGGAAACACTCTGTTTGGAAAGTCTGCACGTGGATATTTTGACCTCTTTGAGGCCTTCGTTGGAAACGGGTTTTTTTCATGTAAGGCTAGACAGAAGAAATCTCAGTAACTTCCTTGTGTTGTGTGTATTCAACTGACAGTGTTGAACCTTCCTTTAGACAGAGCAGATTCGAAACACTCTTTTTCTGCAATTTGCAAGTGGAGACTTCAAGCGCTTTGAGGCCAAAGGCAGAAAAGGAAATATCTTCGTATAAAAACCCGACAGAATCATTCTCAGAAACTGCTCTGTGATGTGTGCGTTCAACTCACAGAGTTTAACTTTTCTTTTCATTCAGCAGTTTGGAAACACTCTGTTTGTAAAGTCTGCAAGTGGATATCTTGGCCTCTTAGAGGCCTTCGTTGGAAACGGGTTTTTTCATGTAAGGATAGACAGAGGAATTCCCAGTAACTTCCTTGTGTTGTGTGCATTCAACTCACAGAGTTGAATGATTCTTTACACAGAGCAGATTTGAGACACTCTTTGGGTGGAATTTGTAAGTGGAGAATTCAGCCGCTTTGAGGTCAACGGTAGAAAAGGAAATATCTTCGTATAAAATCTAGACAGAATGATTCTCAGAAACTGTTTTGTGATGTGTGCGTTCAACTCACAGAGTTTAACCTTTCTTTTCAAAGAGCAGTTAGGAAACACTCTGTTTGTAAAGTCTGCAAGTGGATATTCAGACCTCTTTGAGGCCTTCGTTGGAAACGGGATTTCTTCATATTATGCTAGACAGATGAATTCTCAGTAACTTCCTTGTGTTGTGTGTATTCAACTCACAGAGTTGAACGATCCTTTACACAGAGCAGATTTGAAACACTGTTTTTCTGGAATTTGCAAGTGGAGATTTCAGCCGCTTTGAGGTCAATGGTAGAAAAGGAAATATCTTCGTATAAAAACTAGACAGAATGATTCTCAGAAACTCCTTTGTGATGTGTGCGTTCAACTCACAGGGTTTAACCTTTCTTTTCACAGAGCAGTTAGGAAACACTCTGTTTGTGAAGCCTGCCAGTGGATATTCGGACCTCTTTGAGGCCTTCGTTGGAAACGGGATTTCTTCATATTATGCTAGACAGAAGATTTCTCAGTAACTTCTTTGTGTTGTGTGTATGCAACTCACAGAGTTCAACCTTCCTTTAGACAGAGCAGATTTGAAACACTCTTTTTGTGGAATTTGCAAGTGGAGATTTCAAGCGCTTCGATGCCAATGGTAGAAAAGGAAATATCTTCGTATAAAAACAAGACAAACTCGTTCCCAGACACTGCGTAGTGATGTGTGTGTTTAACTCACAGAGTTTAACCTTTCTTTTCATACAGCATTCTGGAAACCCTCTGTTTGTAAAGTCTGCAAGTGGATATTTGGACCTCTTAGATGCCTTCGTTGGAAACGGGATTTCTTCATATAATGCTAGAGGGAAGAATTCTTAGTAACTTCTTTGTGTTGTGTGTATTCAACTGACAGAGTTGAACCTTCCTTTAGACAGAGCAGATTCGAAACACTCTTTTTCTGCAATTTGCAAGTGGAGACTTCAAGCGCTTTGAGGCCAAAGGCAGAAAAGGAAATATCTTCGTATAAAAACCCGACAGAATCATTCTCAGAAACTGCTCTGTGATGTGTGCGTTCAACTCACAGAGTTTAACTTTTCTTTTCATTCAGCAGTTTGGAAACACTCTGTTTGTAAAGTCTGCAAGTGGATATCTTGGCCTCTTAGAGGCCTTCGTTGGAAACGGGTTTTTTCATGTAAGGATAGACAGAGGAATTCCCAGTAACTTCCTTGTGTTGTGTGCATTCAACTCACAGAGTTGAATGATTCTTTACACAGAGCAGATTTGAGACACTCTTTTGGTGGAATTTGTAAGTGGAGAATTCAGCCGCTTTGAGGTCAACGGTAGAAAAGGAAATATCTTCGTATAAAAACTAGACAGAATGATTCTCAGAAACTGTTTTGTGATGTGTGCGTTCAACTCACAGAGTTTAACCTTTCTTTTCAAAGAGCAGTTAGGAAACACTCTGTTTGTAAAGTCTGCAAGTGGATATTCAGACCTCTTTGAGGCCTTCGTTGGAAACGGGATTTCTTCATATTATGCTAGACAGATGAATTCTCAGTAACTTCCTTGTGTTGTGTGTATTCAACTCACAGAGTTGAACGATCCTTTACACAGAGCAGATTTGAAACACTGTTTTTCTGGAATTTGCAAGTGGAGATGTCAGCCGCTTTGAGGTCAATGGTAGAAAAGGAAATATCTTCGTATAAAAACTAGACAGAATGATTCTCAGAAACTCCTTTGTGATGTGTGCGTTCAACTCACAGAGTTTAACCTTTCTTTTCATACAGCATTCTGGAAACCCTCTGTTTGTAAAGTCTGCAAGTGGATATTTGGACCTCTTAGATGCCTTCGTTGGAAACGGGATTTCTTCATATAATGCTAGAGGGAAGAATTCTTAGTAACTTCTTTGTGTTGTGTGTATTCAACTGACAGAGTTGAACCTTCCTTTAGACAGAGCAGATTTGAAAGTCTCTTTTTGTGGAATTTGCAAGTGGAGATTTCAAGCGCTTTGAGGCCAAAAGCAGAAAAGGAAATATTTTCCTATAAAAACTAGACAGAATCATTCTCAGAAACTGCTTTGTGATGTGTGTGTTCAACTCACAGAGTTTAACTTTTCTTTTCATTCAGCAGTTTGGAAACACTCTGTTTGGAAAGTCTGCACGTGGATATTTTGACCTCTTTGAGGCCTTCGTTGGAAACGGGTTTTTTTCATGTAAGGCTAGACAGAAGAAATCTCAGTAACTTCCTTGTGTTGTGTGTATTCAACTGACAGAGTTGAACCTTCCTTTAGACAGAGCAGATTCGAAACACTCTTTTTCTGCAATTTGCAAGTGGAGACTTCAAGCGCTTTGAGGCCAAAGGCAGAAAAGGAAATATCTTCGTATAAAAACCCGACAGAATCATTCTCAGAAACTGCTCTGTGATGTGTGCGTTCAACTCACAGAGTTTAACTTTTCTTTTCATTCAGCAGTTTGGAAACACTCTGTTTGTAAAGTCTGCAAGTGGATATCTTGGCCTCTTAGAGGCCTTCGTTGGAAAAGGGTTTTTTCATGTAAGGTTAGACAGAGGAATTCCCAGTAACTTCCTTGTGTTGTGTGCATTCAACTCACAGAGTTGAATGATTCTTTACACAGAGCAGATTTGAGACACTCTTTTGGTGGAATTTGTAAGTGGAGAATTCAGCCGCTTTGAGGTCAACGGTAGAAAAGGAAATATCTTCGTATAAAAACTAGACAGAATGATTCTCAGAAACTGTTTTGTGATGTGTGCGTTCAACTCACAGAGTTTAACCTTTCTTTTCAAAGAGCAGTTAGGAAACACTCTGTTTGTAAAGTCTGCAAGTGGATATTCAGACCTCTTTGAGGCCTTCGTTGGAAACGGGATTTCTTCATATTATGCTAGACAGATGAATTCTCAGTAACTTCCTTGTGTTGTGTGTATTCAACTCACAGAGTTGAACGATCCTTTACACAGAGCAGATTTGAAACACTGTTTTTCTGGAATTTGCAAGTGGAGATTTCAGCCGCTTTGAGGTCAATGGTAGAAAAGGAAATATCTTCGTATAAAAACTAGACAGAATGATTCTCAGAAACTCCTTTGTGATGTGTGCGTTCAACTCACAGAGTTTAACCTTTCTTTTCACAGAGCAGTTAGGAAACACTCTGTTTGTGAAGCCTGCCAGTGGATATTCGGACCTCTTTGAGGCCTTCGTTGGAAACGGGATTTCTTCATATTATGCTAGACAGAAGATTTCTCAGTAACTTCTTTGGGTTGTGTGTATGCAACTCACAGAGTTCAACCTTCCTTTAGACAGAGCAGATTTGAAACACTCTTTTTGTGGAATTTGCAAGTGGAGATTTCAAGCGCTTCGATGCCAATGGTAGAAAAGGAAATATCTTCGTATAAAAACAAGACAAACTCGTTCCCAGACACTGCGTAGTGAAGTGTGTGTTTAACTCACAGAGTTTAACCTTTCTTTTCATACAGCATTCTGGAAACCCTCTGTTTGTAAAGTCTGCAAGTGGATATTTGGACCTCTTAGATGCCTTCGTTGGAAACGGGATTTCTTCATATAATGCTAGAGGGAAGAATTCTTAGTAACTTCTTTGTGTTGTGTGTATTCAACTGACAGATTTGAACCTTCCTTTAGACAGAGCAGATTTGAAAGTCTCTTTTTGTGGAATTTGCAAGTGGAGATTTCAAGCGCTTTGAGGCCAAAAGCAGAAAAGGAAATATTTTCCTATAAAAACTAGACAGAATCTTTCTCAGAAACTGCTCTGGGATGTGTGCGTTCAACTCACAGCAGTTTAACTTTTCTTTTCATTCAGCAGTTTGGAAACACTCTGTTTGGAAAGTCTGCACGTGGATATTTTGACCTCTTTGAGGCCTTCGTTGGAAACGGGTTTTTTTCATGTAAGGCTAGACAGAAGAAATCTCAGTAACTTCCTTGTGTTGTGTGTATTCAACTGACAGAGTTGAACCTTCCTTTAGACAGAGCAGATTCGAAACACTCTTTTTCTGCAATTTGCAAGTGGAGACTTCAAGCGCTTTGAGGCCAAAGGCAGAAAAGGAAATATCTTCGTATAAAAACCCGACAGAATCATTCTCAGAAACTGCTCTGTGATGTGTGCGTTCAACTCACAGAGTTTAACTTTTCTTTTCATTCAGCAGTTTGGAAACACTCTGTTTGTAAAGTCTGCAAGTGGATATCTTGGCCTCTTAGAGGCCTTCGTTGGAAACGGGTTTTTTCATGTAAGGTTAGACAGAGGAATTCCCAGTAACTTCCTTGTGTTGTGTGCATTCAACTCACAGAGTTGAATGATTCTTTACACAGAGCAGATTTGAGACACTCTTTTGGTGGAATTTGTAAGTGGAGAATTCAGCCGCTTTGAGGTCAACGGTAGAAAAGGAAATATCTTCGTATAAAAACTAGACAGAATGATTCTCAGAAACTGTTTTGTGATGTGTGCGTTCAACTCACAGAGTTTAACCTTTCTTTTCAAAGAGCAGTTAGGAAACACTCTGTTTGTAAAGTCTGCAAGTGGATATTCAGACCTCTTTGAGGCCTTCGTTGGAAACGGGATTTCTTCATATTATGCTAGACAGATGAATTCTCAGTAACTTCCTTGTGTTGTGTGTATTCAACTCACAGAGTTGAACGATCCTTTACACAGAGCAGATTTGAAACACTGTTTTTCTGGAATTTGCAAGTGGAGATTTCAGCCGCTTTGAGGTCAATGGTAGAAAAGGAAATATCTTCGTATAAAAACTAGACAGAATGATTCTCAGAAACTCCTTTGTGATGTGTGCGTTCAACTCACAGAGTTTAACCTTTCTTTTCACAGAGCAGTTAGGAAACACTCTGTTTGTGAAGCCTGCCAGTGGATATTCGGACCTCTTTGAGGCCTTCGTTGGAAACGGGATTTCTTCATATTATGCTAGTCAGAAGATTTCTCAGTAACTTCTTTGTGTTGTGTGTATGCAACTCACAGAGTTCAACCTTCCTTTAGACAGAGCAGATTTGAAACACTCTTTTTGTGGAATTTGCAAGTGGAGATTTCAAGCGCTTCGATGCCAATGGTAGAAAAGGAAATATCTTCGTATAAAAACAACACAAACTCGTTCCCAGACACTGCGTAGTGATGTGTGTGTTTAACTCACAGAGTTTAACCTTTCTTTTCATACAGCATTCTGGAAACCCTCTGTTTGTAAAGTCTGCAAGTAGATATTTGGACCTCTTAGATGCCTTCGTTGGAAACGGGATTTCTTCATATAATGCTAGAGGGAAGAATTCTTAGTAACTTCCTTTGTGTTGTGTGTATTCAACTGACAGAGTTGAACCTTCCTTTAGACAGAGCAGATTTGAAAGTCTCTTTTTGTGGAATTTGCAAGTGGAGATTTCAAGCGCTTTGAGGCCAAAAGCAGAAAAGGAAATATTTTCCTATAAAAACTCGACAGAATCTTTCTCAGAAACTGCTCTGGGATGTGTGCGTTCAACTCACAGAGTTTAACTTTTCTTTTCATTCAGCAGTTTGGAAACACTCTGTTTGGAAAGTCTGCACGTGGATATTTTGACCTCTTTGAGGCCTTCGTTGGAAACGGGTTTTTTTCATGTAAGGCTAGACAGAAGAAATCTCAGTAACTTCCTTGTGTTGTGTGTATTCAACTGACAGAGTTGAACCTTCCTTTAGACAGAGCAGATTCGAAACACTCTTTTTCTGCAATTTGCAAGTGGAGACTTCAAGCGCTTTGAGGCCAAAGGCAGAAAAGGAAATATCTTCGTATAAAAACCCGACAGAATCATTCTCAGAAACTGCTCTGTGATGTGTGCGTTCAACTCACAGAGTTTAACTTTTCTTTTCATTCAGCAGTTTGGAAACACTCTGTTTGTAAAGTCTGCAAGTGGATATCTTGGCCTCTTAGAGGCCTTCGTTGGAAGCGGGTTTTTTCATGTAAGGTTAGACAGAGGAATTCCCACTAACTTCCTTGTGTTGTGTGCATTCAACTCACAGAGTT
The DNA here is from genome assembly GCF_000001405.40 of Homo sapiens. NCBI lineage: Eukaryota > Metazoa > Chordata > Mammalia > Primates > Hominidae > Homo > Homo sapiens. Next base: position 37,471,546 of record NC_000016.10, read on the forward strand.
GAATGATTCTTTACACAGAGCAGATTTGAGACACTCTTTTGGTGGAATTTGTAAGTGGAGAATTCAGCCGCTTTGATGTCAACGGTAGAAAAGGAAATATCTTCGTATAAAAACTAGACAGAATGATTCTCAGAAACTGTTTTGTGATGTGTGCGTTCAACTCACAGAGTTTAACCTTTCTTTTCAAAGAGCAGTTAGGAAACACTCTGTTTGTAAAGTCTGCAAGTGGATATTCAGACCTCTTTGAGGCCTTCGTTGGAAACGGGATTTCTTCATATTATGCTAGACAGATGAATTCTCAGTAACTTCCTTGTGTTGTGTGTATTCAACTCACAGAGTTGAACGATCCTTTACACAGAGCAGATTTGAAACACTGTTTTTCTGGAATTTGCAAGTGGAGATTTCAGCCGCTTTGAGGTCAATGGTAGAAAAGGAAATATCTTCGTATAAAAACTAGACAGAATGATTCTCAGAAACTCCTTTGTGATGTGTGCGTTCAACTCACAGAGTTTAACCTTTCTTTTCACAGAGCAGTTAGGAAACACTCTGTTTGTGAAGCCTGCCAGTGGATAATCGGACCTCTTTGAGGCCTTGGTTGGAAACGGGATTTCTTCATATTATGCTAGACAGAAGATTTCTCAGTAACTTCTTTGTGTTGTGTATATGCAACTCACAGAGTTCAACCTTCCTTTAGACAGAGCAGATTTGAAACACTCTTTTTGTGGAATTTGCAAGTGGAGATTTCAAGCGCTTCGATGCCAATGGTAGAAAAGGAAATATCTTCGTATAAAAACAAGACAAACTCGTTCCCAGACACTGCGTAGTGATGTGTGTGTTTAACTCACAGAGTTTAACCTTTCTTTTCATACAGCATTCTGGAAACCCTCTGTTTGTAAAGTCTGCAAGTGGATATTTGGACCTCTTAGATGCCTTCGTTGGAAACGGGATTTCTTCATATAATGCTAGAGGGAAGAATTCTTAGTAACTTCTTTGTGTTGTGTGTATTCAACTGACAGAGTTGAACCTTCCTTTAGACAGAGCAGATTTGAAAGTCTCTTTTTGTGGAATTTGCAAGTGGAGATTTCAAGCGCTTTGAGGCCAAAAGCAGAAAAGGAAATATTTTCCTATAAAAACTCGACAGAATCTTTCTCAGAAACTGCTCTGGGATGTGTGCATTCAACTCACAGAGTTTAACTTTTCTTTTCATTCAGCAGTTTGGAAACACTCTGTTTGGAAAGTCTACACGTGGATATGTTGACCTCTTTGAGGCCTTCGTTGGAAACGGTTTTTTTTCATGTAAGGCTAGACAGAAGAAATCTCAGTAACTTCCTTGTGTTGTGTGTATTCAACTGACAGAGTTGAACCTTCCTTTAGACAGAGCAGATTCGAAACACTCTTTTTCTGCAATTTGCAAGTGGAGACTTCAAGCGCTTTGAGGCCAAAGGCAGAAAAGGAAATATCTTCGTATAAAAACCCGACAGAATCATTCTCAGAAACTGCTCTGTGATGTGTGCGTTCAACTCACAGAGTTTAACTTTTCTTTTCATTCAGCAGTTTGGAAACACTCTGTTTGTAAAGTCTGCAAGTGGATATCTTGGCCTCTTAGAGGCCTTCGTTGGAAACGGGTTTTTTCATGTAAGGTTAGACAGAGGAATTCCCAGTAACTTCCTTGTGTTGTGTGCATTCAACTCACAGAGTTGAATGATTCTTTACACAGAGCAGATTTGAGACACTCTTTTGGTGGAATTTGTAAGTGGAGAATTCAGCCGCTTTGAGGTCAACGGTAGAAAAGGAAATATCTTCGTATAAAAACTAGGCAGAATGATTCTCAGAAACTGTTTTTTGATGTGTGCGTTCAACTCACAGAGTTTAACCTTTCTTTTCAAAGAGCAGTTAGGAAACACTCTGTTTGTAAAGTCTGCAAGTGGATATTCAGACCTCTTTGAGGCCTTCGTTGGAAACGGGATTTCTTCATATTATGCTAGACAGATGAATTCTCAGTAACTTCCCTTGTGTTGTGTGTATTCAACTCACAGAGTTGAACGATCCTTTACACAGAGCAGATTTGAAACACTGTTTTTCTGGAATTTGCAAGTGGAGATTTCAGCCGCTTTGAGGTCAATGGTAGAAAAGGAAATATCTTCGTATAAAAACTAGACAGAATGATTCTCAGAAACTCCTTTGTGATGTGTGCGTTCAACTCACAGAGTTTAACCTTTCTTTTCACAGAGCAGTTAGGAAACACTCTGTTTGTGAAGCCTGCCAGTGGATAATCGGACCTCTTTGAGGCCTTCGTTGGAAACGGGATTTCTTCATATTATGCTAGACAGAAGATTTCTCAGTAACTTCTTTGTGTTGTGTGTATGCAACTCACAGAGTTCAACCTTCCTTTAGACAGAGCAGATTTGAAACACTCTTTTTGTGGAATTTGCAAGTGGAGATTTCAAGCGCTTCGATGCCAATGGTAGAAAAGGAAATATTCTTCGTATAAAAACAAGACAAACTCGTTCTCCAGACACTGCGTAGTGATGTGTGTGTTTAACTCACAGAGTTTCACCTTTCTTTTCATACAGCATTCTGGAAACCCTGTGTTTGTAAAGTCTGCAAGTGGATATTTGGACCTCTTAGATGCCTTCGTTGGAAACGGGATTTCTTCATATAATGCTAGAGGGAAGAATTCTTAGTAACTTCTTTGTGTTGTGTGTATTCAACTGACAGAGTTGAACCTTCCTTTAGACAGAGCAGATTTGAAAGTCTCTTTTTGTGGAATTTGCAAGTGGAGATTTCAAGCGCTTTGAGGCCAAAAGCAGAAAAGGAAATATTTTCCTATAAAAACTCGACAGAATCTTTCTCAGAAACTGCTCTGGGATGTGTGCGTTCAACTCACAGAGTTTAACTTTTCTTTTCATTCAGCAGTTTGGAAACACTCTGTTTGGAAAGTCTGCACGTGGATATTTTGACCTCTTTGAGGCCTTCGTTGGAAACGGGTTTTTTTCATGTAAGGCTAGACAGAAGAAATCTCAGTAACTTCCTTGTGTTGTGTGTATTCAACTGACAGAGTTGAACCTTCCTTTAGACAGAGCAGATTCGAAACACTCTTTTTCTGCAATTTGCAAGTGGAGACTTCAAGCGCTTTGAGGCCAAAGGCAGAAAAGGAAATATCTTCGTATAAAAACCCGACAGAATCATTCTCAGAAACTGCTCTGTGATGTGTGCGTTCAACTCACAGAGTTTAACTTTTCTTTTCATTCAGCAGTTTGGAAACACTCTGTTTGTAAAGTCTGCAAGTGGATATCTTGGCCTCTTAGAGGCCTTCGTTGGAAGCGGGTTTTTTCATGTAAGGATAGACAGAGGAATTCCCAGTAACTTCCCTTGTGTTGTGTGCATTCAACTCACAGAGTTGAATGATTCTTTACACAGAGCAGATTTGAGACACTCTTTTGGTGGAATTTGTAAGTGGAGAATTCAGCCGCTTTGAGGTCAACGGTAGAAAAGGAAATATCTTCGAATAAAAACTAGACAGAATGATTCTCAGAAACTGTTTTTTGATGTGTGCGTTCAACTCACAGAGTTTAACCTTTCTTTTCAAAGAGCAGTTAGGAAACACTCTGTTTGTAAAGTCTGCAAGTGGATATTCAGACCTCTTTGAGGCCTTCGTTGGAAACGGGATTTCTTCATATTATGCTAGACAGATGAATTCTCAGTAACTTCCCTTGTGTTGTGTGTATTCAACTCACAGAGTTGAACGATCCTTTACACAGAGCAGATTTGAAACACTGTTTTTCTGGAATTTGCAAGTGGAGATTTCAGCCGCTTTGAGGTCAATGGTAGAAAAGGAAATATCTTCGTATAAAAACTAGACAGAATGATTCTCAGAAACTCCTTTGTGATGTGTGCGTTCAACTCACAGAGTTTAACCTTTCTTTTCACAGAGCAGTTAGGAAACACTCTGTTTGTGAAGCCTGCCAGTGGATATTCGGACCTCTTTGAGGCCTTCGTTGGAAACGGGATTTCTTCATATTATGCTAGACAGAAGATTTCTCAGTAACTTCTTTGTGTTGTGTGTATGCAACTCACAGAGTTCAACCTTCGTTTAGACAGAGCAGATTTGAAACACTCTTTTTGTGGAATTTGCAAGTGGAGATTTCAAGCGCTTCGATGCCAATGGTAGAAAAGGAAATATCTTCGTATAAAAACAAGACAAACTCGTTCCCAGACACTGCGTAGTGATGTGTGTGTTTAACTCACAGAGTTTAACCTTTCTTTTCATACAGCATTCTGGAAACCCTGTGTTTGTAAAGTCTGCAAGTGGATATTTGGACCTCTTAGATGCCTTCGTTGGAAACGGGATTTCTTCATATAATGCTAGAGGGAAGAATTCTTAGTAACTTCTTTGTGTTGTGTGTATTCAACTGACAGAGTTGAACCTTCCTTTAGACAGAGCAGATTTGAAAGTCTCTTTTTGTGGAATTTGCAAGTGGAGATTTCAAGCGCTTTGAGGCCAAAAGCAGAAAAGGAAATATTTTCCTATAAAAACTCGACAGAATCTTTCTCAGAAACTGCTCTGGGATGTGTGCGTTCAACTCACAGAGTTTAACTTTTCTTTTCATTCAGCAGTTTGGAAACACTCTGTTTGGAAAGTCTGCACGTGGATATTTTGACCTCTTTGAGGCCTTCGTTGGAAACGGGTTTTTTTCATGTAAGGCTAGACAGAAGAAATCTCAGTAACTTCCTTGTGTTGTGTGTATTCAACTGACAGAGTTGAACCTTCCTTTAGACAGAGCAGATTCGAAACACTCTTTTTCTGCAATTTGCAAGTGGAGACTTCAAGCGCTTTGAGGCCAAAGGCAGAAAAGGAAATATCTTTGTATAAAAACCCGACAGAATCATTCTCAGAAACTGCTCTGTGATGTGTGCGTTCAACTCACAGAGTTTAACTTTTCTTTTCATTCAGCAGTTTGGAAGCACTCTGTTTGTATAGTCTGCAAGTGGATATATTGACCACTTTGAGGCCTTCGTTGGAAACGGTTTTTTTTCATGTAAGGCTAGACAGAAGAATTCCCGGTAACTTCTTTGTGTTGTGTGCATTCAACTCACAGAGTTGAACGTTCCTTTAGACAGAGCAGATTTGAAACACTCTTTTTGTGCAATTTGCAAGTGGAGATTTCAAGCGCTTTAAGGTCAATGGCAGAAAAGGAAATAACTTCGTTTCAAAACTAGACAGTATGATTCTCAGAAACTCCTTTGTGATGTGTGCGTTCAACTCACAGAGTTTAACCTTTCTTTTCACAGAGCAGTTAGGAAACACTCTGTTTGTGAAGCCTGCCAGTGGATATTCGGACCTCTTTGAGGCCTTCGTTGGAAACGGGATTTCTTCGTATTATGCTAGACAGAAGATTTCTCAGTAACTTCTTTGTGTTGTGTGTATGCAACTCACAGAGTTCAACCTTCCTTTAGACAGAGCAGATTTGAAACACTCTTTTTGTGGAATTTGCAAGTGGAGATTTCAAGCGCTTCGATGCCAATGGTAGAAAAGGAAATATCTTCGTATAAAAACAAGACAAACTCGTTCCCAGACACTGCGTAGTGATGTGTGTGTTTAACTCACAGAGTTTAACCTTTCTTTTCATACAGCATTCTGGAAACCCTGTGTTTGTAAAGTCTGCAAGTGGATATTTGGACCTCTTAGATGCCTTCGTTGGAAACGGGATTTCTTCATATAATGCTAGAGGGAAGAATTCTTAGTAACTTCTTTGTGTTGTGTGTATTCAACTGACAGAGTTGAACCTTCCTTTAGACAGAGCAGATTTGAAAGTCTCTTTTTGTGGAATTTGCAAGTGGAGATTTCAAGCGCTTTGAGGCCAAAAGCAGAAAAGGAAATATTTTCCTATAAAAACTCGACAGAATCTTTCTCAGAAACTGCTCTGGGATGTGTGCGTTCAACTCACAGAGTTTAACTTTTCTTTTCATTCAGCAGTTTGGAAACACTCTGTTTGGAAAGTCTGCACGTGGATATTTTGACCTCTTTGAGGCCTTCGTTGGAAACGGGTTTTTTTCATGTAAGGCTAGACAGAAGAAATCTCAGTAACTTCCTTGTGTTGTGTGTATTCAACTGACAGAGTTGAACCTTCCTTTAGACAGAGCAGATTCGAAACACTCTTTTTCTGCAATTTGCAAGTGGAGACTTCAAGCGCTTTGAGGCCAAAGGCAGAAAAGGAAATATCTTCGTATAAAAACCCGACAGAATCATTCTCAGAAACTGCTCTGTGATGTGTGCGTTCAACTCACAGAGTTTAACTTTTCTTTTCATTCAGCAGTTTGGAAACACTCTGTTTGTAAAGTCTGCAAGTGGATATCTTGGCCTCTTAGAGGCCTTCGTTGGAAACGGGTTTTTTCATGTAAGGATAGACAGAGAAATTCCCAGTAACTTCCTTGTGTTGTGTGCATTCAACTCACAGAGTTGAATGATTCTTTACACAGAGCAGATTTGAGACACTCTTTTGGTGGAATTTGTAAGTGGAGAATTCAGCCGCTTTGAGGTCAACGGTAGAAAAGGAAATATCTTCGTATAAAAACTAGACAGAATGATTCTCAGAAACTGTTTTGTGATGTGTGCGTTCAACTCACAGAGTTTAACCTTTCTTTTCAAAGAGCAGTTAGGAAACACTCTGTAAAGTCTGCAAGTGGATATTCAGACCTCTTTGAGGCCTTCGTTGGAAACGGGATTTCTTCATATTATGCTAGACAGATGAATTCTCAGTAACTTCCTTGTGTTGTGTGTATTCAACTCACAGAGTTGAACGATCCTTTACACAGAGCAGATTTGAAACACTGTTTTTCTGGAATTTGCAAGTGGAGATGTCAGCCGCTTTGAGGTCAATGGTAGAAAAGGAAATATCTTCGTATAAAAACTAGACAGATAATGATTCTCAGAAACTCCTTTGTGATGTGTGCGTTCAACTCACAGAGTTTAACCTTTCTTTTCACAGAGCAGTTAGGAAACACTCTGTTTGTGAAGCCTGCCAGTGGATATTCAGACCTCTTTGAGGCCTTCGTTGGAAACGGGATTTCTTCATATTATGCTAGACAGAAGATTTCTCAGTAACTTCTTTGTGTTGTGTATATGCAACTCACAGAGTTCAACCTTCCTTTAGACAGAGCAGATTTGAAACACTCTTTTTGTGGAATTTGCAAGTGGAGATTTCAAGCGCTTCGATGCCAATGGTAGAAAAGGAAATATCTTCGTATAAAAACAAGACAAACTCGTTCCCAGACACTGCGTAGTGATGTGTGTGTTTAACTCACAGAGCTTCACCTTTCTTTTCATACAGCATTCTGGAAACCCTCTGTTTGTAAAGTCTGCAAGTGGATATTTGGACCTCTTAGATGCCTTCGTTGGAAACGGGATTTCTTCATATAATGCTAGAGGGAAGAATTCTTAGTAACTTCTTTGTGTTGTGTGTATTCAACTGACAGAGTTGAACCTTCCTTTAGACAGAGCAGATTTGAAAGTCTCTTTTTGTGGAATTTGCAAGTGGAGATTTCAAGCGCTTTGAGGCCAAAAGCAGAAAAGGAAATATTTTCCTATAAAAACTCGACAGAATCTTTCTCAGAAACTGCTCTGGGATGTGTGCGTTCAACTCACAGAGTTTAACTTTTCTTTTCATTCAGCAGTTTGGAAACACTCTGTTTGGAAAGTCTGCACGTGGATATTTTGACCTCTTTGAGGCCTTCGTTGGAAACGGGTTTTTTTCATGTAAGGCTAGACAGAAGAAATCTCAGTAACTTCCTTGTGTTGTGTGTATTCAACTGACAGAGTTGAACCTTCCTTTAGACAGAGCAGATTCGAAACACTCTTTTTCTGCAATTTGCAAGTGGAGACTTCAAGCGCTTTGAGGCCAAAGGCAGAAAAGGAAATATCTTCGTATAAAAACCCGACAGAATCATTCTCAGAAACTGCTCTGTGATGTGTGCGTTCAACTCACAGAGTTTAACTTTTCTTTTCATTCAGCAGTTTGGAAACACTCTGTTTGTAAAGTCTGCAAGTGGATATCTTGGCCTCTTAGAGGCCTTCGTTGGAAACGGGTTTTTTCATGTAAGGTTAGACAGAGGAATTCCCAGTAACTTCCTTGTGTTGTGTGCATTCAACTCACAGAGTTGAATGATTCTTTACACAGAGCAGATTTGAGACACTCTTTGGGTGGAATTTGTAAGTGGAGAATTCAGCCGCTTTGAGGTCAACGGTAGAAAAGGAAATACCTTCGTATAAAAACTAGACAGAATGATTCTCAGAAACTGTTTTGTGATGTGTGCGTTCAACTCACAGAGTTTAACCTTTCTTTTCAAAGAGCAGTTAGGAAACACTCTGTAAAGTCTGCAAGTGGATATTCAGACCTCTTTGAGGCCTTCGTTGGAAACGGGATTTCTTCATATAATGCTAGAGGGAAGAATTCTTAGTAACTTCTTTGTGTTGTGTGTATTCAACTGACAGAGTTGAACCTTCCTTTAGACAGAGCAGATTTGAAAGTCTCTTTTTGTGGAATTTGCAAGTGGAGATTTCAAGCGCTTTGAGGCCAAAAGCAGAAAAGGAAGTATTTTCCTATAAAAACTAGAGAGAATCATTCTCAGAAACTGCTCTGTGATGTGTGTGTTCAACTCACAGAGTTTAACTTTCTTTTCATTCAGCAGTTTGGAAACACTCTGTTTGGAAACTCTGCACGTGGATATTTTGACCTCTTTGAGGCCTTCGTTGGAAACGGGTTTTTTTCATGTAAGGCTAGACAGAAGAAATCTCAGTAACTTCCTTGTGTTGTGTGTATTCAACTGACAGAGTTGAACCTTCCTTTAGACAGAGCAGATTCGAAACACTCTTTTTCTGCAATTTGCAAGTGGAGACTTCAAGCGCTTTGAGGCCAAAGGCAGAAAAGGAAATATCTTCGTATAAAAACCCGACAGAATCATTCTCAGAAACTGCTCTGTGATGTGTGCGTTCAACTCACAGAGTTTAACTTTTCTTTTCATTCAGCAGTTTGGAAACACTCTGTTTGTAAAGTCTGCAAGTGGATATCTTGGCCTCTTAGAGGCCTTCGTTGGAAACGGGTTTTTTCATGTAAGGATAGACAGAGGAATTCCCAGTAACTTCCTTGTGTTGTGTGCATTCAACTCACAGAGTTGAATGATTCTTTACACAGAGCAGATTTGAGACACTCTTTTGGTGGAATTTGTAAGTGGAGAATTCAGCCGCTTTGAGGTCAACGGTAGAAAAGGAAATATCTTCGTATAAGAACTAGACAGAATGATTCTCAGAAACTGTTTTGTGATGTGTGCGTTCAACTCACAGAGTTTAACCTTTCTTTTCAAAGAGCAGTTAGGAAACACTCTGTTTGTAAAGTCTGCAAGTGGATATTCAGACCTCTTTGAGGCCTTCGTTGGAAACGGGATTTCTTCATATTATGCTAGACAGATGAATTCTCAGTAACTTCCTTGTGTTGTGTGTATTCAACTCACAGAGTTGAACGATCCTTTACACAGAGCAGATTTGAAACACTGTTTTTCTGGAATTTGCAAGTGGAGATTTCAGCCGCTTTGAGGTCAATGGTAGAAAAGGAAATATCTTCGTATAAAAACTAGACAGAATGATTCTCAGAAACTCCTTTGTGATGTGTGCGTTCAACTCACAGAGTTTAACCTTTCTTTTCACAGAGCAGTTAGGAAACACTCTGTTTGTGAAGCCTGCCAGTGGATATTCGGACCTCTTTCAGGCCTTCGTTGGAAACGGGATTTCTTCATATTATGCTAGACAGAAGATTTCTCAGTAACTTCTTTGTGTTGTGTGTATGCAACTCACAGAGTTCAACCTTCCTTTAGACAGAGCAGATTTGAAACACTCTTTTTGTGGAATTTGCAAGTGGAGATTTCAAGCGCTTCGATGCCAATGGTAGAAAAGGAAATATCTTCGTATAAAAACAAGACAAACTCGTTCCCAGACACTGCGTAGTGATGTGTGTGTTTAACTCACAGAGTTTCACCTTTCTTTTCATACAGCATTCTGGAAACCCTCTGTTTGTAAAGTCTGCAAGTCGATATTTGGACCTCTTAGATGCCTTCGTTGGAAACGGGATTTCTTCATATAATGCTAGAGGGAAGAATTCTTAGTAACTTCTTTGTGTTGTGTGTATTCAACTGACAGAGTTGAACCTTCCTTTAGACAGAGCAGATTTGAAAGTCTCTTTTTGTGGAATTTGCAAGTGGAGATTTCAAGCGCTTTGAGGCCAAAAGCAGAAAAGGAAATATTTTCCTATAAAACCTCGACAGAATCTTTCTCAGAAACTGCTCTGGGATGTGTGCGTTCAACTCACAGAGTTTAACTTTTCTTTTCATTCAGCAGTTTGGAAACACTCTGTTTGGAAAGTCTGCACGTGGATATTTTGACCTCTTTGAGGCCTTCGTTGGAAACGGGTTTTTTTCATGTAAGGCTAGACAGAAGAAATCTCAGTAACTTCCTTGTGTTGTGTGTATTCAACTGACAGAGTTGAACCTTCCTTTAGACAGAGCAGATTCGAAACACTCTTTTTCTGCAATTTGCAAGTGGAGACTTCAAGCGCTTTGAGGCCAAAGGCAGAAAAGGAAATATCTTCGTATAAAAACCCGACAGAATCATTCTCAGAAACTGCTCTGTGATGTGTGCGTTCAACTCACAGAGTTTAACTTTTCTTTTCATTCAGCAGTTTGGAAACACTCTGTTTGTAAAGTCTGCAAGTGGATATCTTGGCCTCTTAGAGGCCTTCGTTGGAAACGGGTTTTTTCATGTAAGGTTAGACAGAGGAATTCCCAGTAACTTCCTTGTGTTGTGTGCATTCAACTCACAGAGTTGAATGATTCTTTACACAGAGCAGATTTGAGACACTCTTTTGGTGGAATTTGTAAGTGGAGAATTCAGCCGCTTTGAGGTCAACGGTAGAAAAGGAAATATCTTCGTATAAAATCTAGACAGAATGATTCTCAGAAACTGTTTTGTGATGTGTGCGTTCAACTCACAGAGTTTAACCTTTCTTTTCAAAGAGCAGTTAGGAAACACTCTGTTTGTAAAGTCTGCAAGTGGATATTCAGACGTCTTTGAGGCCTTCGTTGGAAACGGGATTTCTTCATATTATGCTAGACAGATGAATTCTCAGTAACTTCCTTGTGTTGTGTGTATTCAACTCACAGAGTTGAACGATCCTTTACACAGAGCAGATTTGAAACACTGTTTTTCTGGAATTTGCAAGTGGAGATTTCAGCTGCTTTGAGGTCAATGGTAGAAAAGGAAATATCTTCGTATAAAAACTAGACAGAATGATTCTCAGAAACTCCTTTGTGATGTGTGCGTTCAACTCACAGAGTTTAACCTTTCTTTTCACAGAGCAGTTAGGAAACACTCTGTTTGTGAAGCCTGCCAGTGGATATTCGGACCTCCTTTGAGGCCTTCGTTGGAAACGGGATTTCTTCATATTATGCTAGACAGAAGATTTCTCAGTAACTTCTTTGTGTTGTGTATATGCAACTCACAGAGTTCAACCTTCCTTTAGACAGAGCAGATTTGAAACACTCTTTTTGTGGAATTTGCAAGTGGAGATTTCAAGCGCTTCGATGCCAATGGTAGAAAAGGAAATATCTTCGTATAAAAACAAGACAAACTCGTTCCCAGACACTGCGTAGTGATGTGTGTGTTTAACTCACAGAGTTTAACCTTTCTTTTCATACAGCATTCTGGAAACCCTCTGTTTGTAAAGTCTGCAAGTGGATATTTGGACCTCTTAGATGCCTTCGTTGGAAACGGGATTTCTTCATATAATGCTAGAGGGAAGAATTCTTAGTAACTTCTTTGTGTTGTGTGTATTCAACTGACAGAGTTGAACCTTCCTTTAGACAGAGCAGATTTGAAAGTCTCTTTTTGTGGAATTTGCAAGTGGAGATTTCAAGCGCTTTGAGGCCAAAAGCAGAAAAGGAAATATTTTCCTATAAAAACTCGACAGAATCTTTCTCAGAAACTGCTCTGGGATGTGTGCGTTCAACTCACAGAGTTTAACTTTTCTTTTCATTCAGCAGTTTGGAAACACTCTGTTTGGAAAGTCTGCACGTGGATATTTTGACCTCTTTGAGGCCTTCGTTGGAAACGGGTTTTTTTCATGTAAGGCTAGACAGAAGAAATCTCAGTAACTTCCTTGTGTTGTGTGTATTCAACTGACAGAGTTGAACCTTCCTTTAGACAGAGCAGATTCGAAACACTCTTTTTCTGCAATTTGCAAGTGGAGACTTCAAGCGCTTTGAGGCCAAAGGCAGAAAAGGAAATATCTTCGTATAAAAACCCGACAGAATCATTCTCAGAAACTGCTCTGTGATGTGTGCGTTCAACTCACAGAGTTTAACTTTTCTTTTCATTCAGCAGTTTGGAAACACTCTGTTTGTAAAGTCTGCAAGTGGATATCTTGGCCTCTTAGAGGCCTTCGTTGGAAACGGGTTTTTTCATGTAAGGATAGACAGAGGAATTCCCAGTAACTTCCCTTGTGTTGTGTGCATTCAACTCACAGAGTTGAATGATTCTTTACACAGAGCAGATTTGAGACACTCTTTTGGTGGAATTTGTAAGTGGAGAATTCAGCCGCTTTGAGGTCAACGGTAGAAAAGGAAATATCTTCGTATAAAAACTAGACAGAATGATTCTCAGAAACTGTTTTGTGATGTGTGCGTTCAACTCACAGAGTTTAACCTTTCTTTTCAGAGAGCAGTTAGGAAACACTCTGTTTGTAAAGTCTGCAAGTGGATATTCAGACCTCTTTGAGGCCTTCGTTGGAAACGGGATTTCTTCATATTATGCTAGACAGATGAATTCTCAGTAACTTCCCTTGTGTTGTGTGTATTCAACTCACAGAGTTGAACGATCCTTTACACAGAGCAGATTTGAAACACTGTTTTTCTGGAATTTGCAAGTGGAGATTTCAGCCGCTTTGAGGTCAATGGTAGAAAAGGAAATATCTTCGTATAAAAACTAGACAGAATGATTCTCAGAAACTCCTTTGTGATGTGTGCGTTCAACTCACAGAGTTTAACCTTTCTTTTCACAGAGCAGTTAGGAAACACTCTGTTTGTGAAGCCTGCCAGTGGATATTCGGACCTCTTTGAGGCCTTCGTTGGAAACGGGATTTCTTCATATTATGCTAGACAGAAGATTTCTCAGTAACTTCTTTGTGTTGTGTGTATGCAACTCACAGAGTTCAACCTTCCTTTAGACAGAGCAGATTTGAAACACTCTTTTTGTGGAATTTGCAAGTGGAGATTTCAAGCGCTTCGATGCCAATGGTAGAAAAGGAAATATCTTCGTATAAAAACAAGACAAACTCGTTCCCAGACACTGCGTAGTGATGTGTGTGTTTAACTCACAGAGTTTCACCTTTCTTTTCATACAGCATTCTGGAAACCCTCTGTTTGTAAAGTCTGCAAGTGGATATTTGGACCTCTTAGATGCCTTCGTTGGAAACGGGATTTCTTCATATAATGCTAGAGGGAAGAATTCTTAGTAACTTCTTTGTGTTGTGTGTATTCAACTGACAGAGTTGAACCTTCCTTTAGACAGAGCAGATTTGAAAGTCTCTTTTTGTGGAATTTGCAAGTGGAGATTTCAAGCGCTTTGAGGCCAAAAGCAGAAAAGGAAATATTTTCCTATAAAAACTCGACAGAATCTTTCTCAGAAACTGCTCTGGGATGTGTGCGTTCAACTCACAGAGTTTAACTTTTCTTTTCATTCAGCAGTTTGGAAACACTCTGTTTGGAAAGTCTGCACGTGGATATTTTGACCTCTTTGAGGCCTTCGTTGGAAACGGGTTTTTTTCATGTAAGGCTAGACAGAAGAAATCTCAGTAACTTCCTTGTGTTGTGTGTATTCAACTGACAGAGTTGAACCTTCCTTTAGACAGAGCAGATTCGAAACACTCTTTTTCTGCAATTTGCAAGTGGAGACTTCAAGCGCTTTGAGGCCAAAGGCAGAAAAGGAAATATCTTCGTATAAAAACCCGACAGAATCATTCTCAGAAACTGCTCTGTGATGTGTGCGTTCAACTCACAGAGTTTAACTTTTCTTTTCATTCAGCAGTTTGGAAACACTCTGTTTGTAAAGTCTGCAAGTGGATATCTTGGCCTCTTAGAGGCCTTCGTTGGAAGCGGGTTTTTTCATGTAAGGATAGACAGAGGAATTCCCAGTAACTTCCTTGTGTTGTATGCATTCAACTCACAGAGTTGAATGATTCTTTACACAGAGCAGATTTGAGACACTCTTTTGGTGGAATTTGTAAGTGGAGAATTCAGCCGCTTTGAGGTCAACGGTAGAAAAGGAAATATCTTCGTATAAAAACTAGAAAGAATGATTCTCAGAAACTGTTTTGTGATGTGTGCTTTCAACTCACAGAGTTTAACCTTTCTTTTCAAAGAGCAGTTAGGAAACACTCTGTTTGTAAAGTCTGCAAGTGGATATTCAGACCTCTTTGAGGCCTTCGTTGGAAACGGGATTTCTTCATATTATGCTAGACAGATGAATTCTCAGTAACTTCCTTGTGTTGTGTGTATTCAACTCACAGAGTTAAACGATCCTTTACACAGAGCAGATTTGAAACACTGTTTTTCTGGAATTTGCAAGTGGAGATTTCAGCCGCTTTGAGGTCAATGGTAGAAAAGGAAATATCTTCGTATAAAAACTAGACAGAATGATTCTCAGAAACTCCTTTGTGATGTGTGCGTTCAACTCACAGAGTTTAACCTTTCTTTTCACAGAGCAGTTAGGAAACACTCTGTTTGTGAAGCCTGCCAGTGGATATTCGGACCTCTTTGAGGCCTTCGTTGGAAACGGGATTTCTTCATATTATGCTAGTCAGAAGATTTCTCAGTAACTTCTTTGTGTTGTGTGTATGCAACTCACAGAGTTCAACCTTCCTTTAGACAGAGCAGATTTGAAACACTCTTTTTGTGGAATTTGCAAGTGGAGATTTCAAGCGCTTCGATGCCAATGGTAGAAAAGGAAATATCTTCGTATAAAAACAAGACAAACTCGTTCCCAGACACTGCGTAGTGATGTGTGTGTTTAACTCACAGAGTTTAACCTTTCTTTTCATACAGCATTCTGGAAACCCTCTGTTTGTAAAGTCTGCAAGTCGATATTTGGACCTCTTAGATGCCTTCGTTGGAAACGGGATTTCTTCATATAATGCTAGAGGGAAGAATTCTTAGTAACTTCTTTGTGTTGTGTGTATTCAACTGACAGAGTTGAACCTTCCTTTAGACAGAGCAGATTTGAAAGTCTCTTTTTGTGGAATTTGCAAGTGGAGATTTCAAGCGCTTTGAGGCCAAAAGCAGAAAAGGAAATATTTTCCTATAAAACCTCGACAGAATCTTTCTCAGAAACTGCTCTGGGATGTGTGCGTTCAACTCACAGAGTTTAACTTTTCTTTTCATTCAGCGTTTGGAAACACTCTGTTTGGAAAGTCTGCCTTGGATATTTTGACCTCTTTGAGGCCTTCGTTGGAAACGGGTTTTTTTCATGTAAGGCTAGACAGAAGAAATCTCAGTAACTTCCTTGTGTTGTGTATTCAACTGACAGAGTTGAACCTTCCTTTAGACAGAGCAGATTCGAAACACTCTTTTTCTGCAATTTGCAAGTGGAGACTTCAAGCGCTTTGAGGCCAAAGGCAGAAAAGGAAATATCTTCGTATAAGAACCCGACAGAATCATTCTCAGAAACTGCTCTGTGATGTGTGCGTTCAACTCACAGAGTTTAACTTTTCTTTTCATTCAGCAGTTTGGAAACACTCTGTTTGTAAAGTCTGCAAGTGGATATCTTGGCCTCTTAGAGGCCTTCGTTGGAAACGGGTTTTTTCATGTAAGGTTAGACAGAGGAATTCCCAGTAACTTCCTTGTGTTGTGTGCATTCAACTCACAGAGTTGAATGATTCTTTACACAGAGCAGATTTGAGACACTCTTTTGGTGGGATTTGTAAGTGGAGAATTCAGCCGCTTTGAGGTCAACGGTAGAAAAGGAAATATCTCCGTATAAAAACTAGACAGAATGATTCTCAGAAACTGTTTTGTGATGTGTGCGTTCAACTCACAGAGTTTAACCTTTCTTTTCAAAGAGCAGTTAGGAAACACTCTGTTTGTAAAGTCTGCAAGTGGATATTCAGACCTCTTTGAGGCCTTCGTTGGAAACGGGATTTCTTCATATTATGCTAGACAGATGAATTCTCAGTAACTTCCTTGTGTTGTGTGTATTCAACTCACAGAGTTGAACGATCCTTTACACAGAGCAGATTTGAAACACTGTTTTTCTGGAATTTGCAAGTGGAGATTTCAGCCGCTTTGAGGTCAATGGTAGAAAAGGAAATATCTTCTGTATAAAAACTAGACAGAATGATTCTCAGAAACTCCTTTGTGATGTGTGCGTTCAACTCACAGAGTTTAACCTTTCTTTTCACAGAGCAGTTAGGAAACACTCTGTTTGTGAAGCCTGCCAGTGGATATTCGGACCTCTTTGAGGCCTTCGTTGGAAACGGGATTTCTTCATATTATGCTAGACAGAAGATTTCTCAGTAACTTCTTTGTGTTGTGTGTATGCAACTCACAGAGTTCAACCTTCCTTTAGACAGAGCAGATTTGAAACACTCTTTTTGTGGAATTTGCAAGTGGAGATTTCAAGCGCTTCGATGCCAATGGTAGAAAAGGAAATATCTTCGTATAAAAACAAGACAAACTCGTTCCCAGACACTGCGTAGTGATGTGTGTGTTTAACTCACAGAGTTTAACCTTTCTTTTCATACAGCATTCTGGAAACCCTCTGTTTGTAAAGTCTGCAAGTGGATATTTGGACCTCTTAGATGCCTTCGTTGGAAACGGGATTTCTTCATATAATGCTAGAGGGAAGAATTCTTAGTAACTTCTTTGTGTTGTGTGTATTCAACTGACAGAGTTGAACCTTCCTTTAGACAGAGCAGATTTGAAAGTCTCTTTTTGTGGAATTTGCAAGTGGAGATTTCAAGCGCTTTGAGGCCAAAAGCAGAAAAGGAAATATTTTCCTATAAAAACTCGACAGAATCATTCTCAGAAACTGCTCTGTGATGTGTGCGTTCAACTCACAGAGTTTAACTTTTCTTTTCATTCAGCAGTTTGGAAACACTGTTTGGAAAGTCTGCACGTGGATATTTTGACCTCTTTGAGGCCTTCGTTGGAAACGGGTTTTTTTCATGTAAGGCTAGACAGAAGAAATCTCAGTAACTTCCTTGTGTTGTGTGTATTCAACTGACAGAGTTGAACCTTCCTTTAGACAGAGCAGATTCGAAACACTCTTTTTCTGCAATTTGCAAGTGGAGACTTCAAGCGCTTTGAGGCCAAAGGCAGAAAAGGAAATATCTTCGTATAAAAACCCGACAGAATCATTCTCAGAAACTGCTCTGTGATGTGTGCGTTCAACTCACAGAGTTTAACTTTTCTTTTCATTCAGCAGTTTGGAAACACTCTGTTTGTAAAGTCTGCAAGTGGATATCTTGGCCTCTTAGAGGCCTTCGTTGGAAACGGGTTTTTTCATGTAAGGATAGACAGAGGAATTCCCAGTAACTTCCTTGTGTTGTGTGCATTCAACTCACAGAGTTGAATGATTCTTTACACAGAGCAGATTTGAGACACTCTTTTGGTGGAATTTGTAAGTGGAGAATTCAGCCGCTTTGAGGTCAACGGTAGAAAAGGAAATATCTTCGTATAAAAACTAGACAGAATGATTCTCAGAAACTGTTTTGTGATGTGTGCGTTCAACTCACAGAGTTTAACCTTTCTTTTCAAAGAGCAGTGAGGAAACACTCTGTTTGTAAAGTCTGCAAGTGGATATTCAGACCTCTTTGAGGCCTTCGTTGGAAACGGGATTTCTTCATATTATGCTAGACAGATGAATTCTCAGTAACTTCCTTGTGTTGTGTGTATTCAACTCACAGAGTTGAACGATCCTTTACACAGAGCAGATTTGAAACACTGTTTTTCTGGAATTTGCAAGTGGAGATTTCAGCCGCTTTGAGGTCAATGGTAGAAAAGGAAATATCTTCGTATAAAAACTAGACAGAATGATTCTCAGAAACTCCTTTGTGATGTGTGCGTTCAACTCACAGAGTTTAACCTTTCTTTTCACAGAGCAGTTAGGAAACACTCTGTTTGAGAAGCCTGCCAGTGGATATTCGGACCTCTTTGAGGCCTTCGTTGGAAACGGGATTTCTTCATATTATGCTAGACAGAAGATTTCTCAGTAACTTCTTTGTGTTGTGTGTATGCAACTCACAGAGTTCAACCTTCCTTTAGACAGAGCAGATTTGAAACACTCTTTTTGTGGAATTTGCAAGTGGAGATTTCAAGCGCTTTGAGGCCAAAAGCAGAAAAGGAAATATTTTCCTATAAAAACTAGACAGAATCTTTCTCAGAAACTGCTCTGTGATGTGTGCGTTCAACTCACAGAGTTTAACTTTTCTTTTCATTCAGCAGTTTGGAAACACTCTGTTTGTAAAGTCTGCAAGTGGATATCTTGGCCTCTTAGAGGCCTTCGTTGGAAACGGGTTTTTTCATGTAAGGTTAGACAGAGGAATTCCCAGTAACTTCCTTGTGTTGTGTGCATTCAACTCACAGAGTTGAATGATTCTTTACACAGAGCAGATTTGAGACACTCTTTTGGTGGAATTTGTAAGTGGAGAATTCAGCCGCTTTGAGGTCAACGGTAGAAAAGGAAATATCTTCGTATAAAAACTAGACAGAATGATTCTCAGAAACTGTTTTGTGATGTGTGCGTTCAACTCACAGAGTTTAACCTTTCTTTTCAAAGAGCAGTTAGGAAACACTCTGTTTGTAAAGTCTGCAAGTGGATATTCAGACCTCTTTGAGGCCTTCGTTGGAAACGGGATTTCTTCATATTATGCTAGACAGATGAATTCTCAGTAACTTCCTTGTGTTGTGTGTATTCAACTCACAGAGTTGAACGATCCTTTACACAGAGCAGATTTGAAACACTGTTTTTCTGGAATTTGCAAGTGGAGATTTCAGCCGCTTTGAGGTCAATGGTAGAAAAGGAAATATCTTCGTATAAAAACTAGACAGAATGATTCTCAGAAACTCCTTTGTGATGTGTGCGTTCAACTCACAGAGTTTAACCTTTCTTTTCACAGAGCAGTTAGGAAACACTCTGTTTGTGAAGCCTGCCAGTGGATATTCGGACCTCTTTGAGGCCTTCGTTGGAAACGGGATTTCTTCATATTATGCTAGACAGAAGATTTCTCAGTAACTTCTTTGTGTTGTGTGTATGCAACTCACAGAGTTCAACCTTCCTTTAGACAGAGCAGATTTGAAACACTCTTTTTGTGGAATTTGCAAGTGGAGATTTCAAGCGCTTCGATGCCAATGGTAGAAAAGGAAATATCTTCGTATAAAAACAAGACAAACTCGTTCCCAGACACTGCGTAGTGATGTGTGTGTTTAACTCACAGAGTTTCACCTTTCTTTTCATACAGCATTCTGGAAACCGTGTGTTTGTAAAGTCTGCAAGTGGATATTTGGACCTCTTAGATGCCTTCGTTGGAAACGGGATTTCTTCATATAATGCTAGAGGGAAGAATTCTTAGTAACTTCTTTGTGTTGTGTGTATTCAACTGACAGAGTTGAACCTTCCTTTAGACAGAGCAGATTTGAAAGTCTCTTTTTGTGGAATTTGCAAGTGGAGATTTCAAGCGCTTTGAGGCCAAAAGCAGAAAAGGAAATATTTTCCTATAAAAACTCGACAGAATCTTTCTCAGAAACTGCTCTGGGATGTGTGCGTTCAACTCACAGAGTTTAACTTTTCTTTTCATTCAGCAGTTTGGAAACACTCTGTTTGGAAAGTCTGCACGTGGATATTTTGACCTCTTTGAGGCCTTCGTTGGAAACGGGTTTTTTTCATGTAAGGCTAGACAGAAGAAATCTCAGTAACTTCCTTGTGTTGTGTGTATTCAACTGACAGAGTTGAACCTTCCTTTAGACAGAGCAGATTCGAAACACTCTTTTTCTGCAATTTGCAAGTGGAGACTTCAAGCGCTTTGAGGCCAAAGGCAGAAAAGGAAATATCTTCGTAGAAAAACCCGACAGAATCATTCTCAGAAACTGCTCTGTGATGTGTGCGTTCAACTCACAGAGTTTAACTTTTCTTTTCATTCAGCAGTTTGGAAACACTCTGTTTGTAAAGTCTGCCAGTGGATATCTTGGCCTCTTAGAGGCCTTCGTTGGAAACGGGTTTTTTCATGTAAGGTTAGACAGAGGAATTCCCAGTAACTTCCTTGTGTTGTGTGCATTCAACTCACAGAGTTGAATGATTCTTTACACAGAGCAGATTTGAGACACTCTTTTGGTGGAATTTGTAAGTGGAGAATTCAGCCGCTTTGAGGTCAACGGTAGAAAAGGAAATATCTTCGTATAAAAACTAGACAGAATGATTCTCAGAAACTGTTTTGTGATGTGTGCGTTCAACTCACAGAGTTTAACCTTTCTTTTCAAAGAGCAGTTAGGAAACACTCCGTGTGTAAAGTCTGCAAGTGGATATTCAGACCTCTTTGAGGCCTTCGTTGGAAACGGGATTTCTTCATATTATGCTAGACAGATGAATTCTCAGTAACTTCCTTGTGTTGTGTGTATTCAACTCACAGAGTTGAACGATCCTTTACACAGAGCAGATTTGAAACACTGTTTTTCTGGAATTTGCAAGTGGAGATTTCAGCTGCTTTGAGGTCAATGGTAGAAAAGGAAATATCTTCGTATAAAAACTAGACAGAATGATTCTCAGAAACTCCTTTGTGATGTGTGCGTTCAACTCACAGAGTTTAACCTTTCTTTTCACAGAGCAGTTAGGAAACACTCTGTTTGTGAAGCCTGCCAGTGGATATTCGGACCTCTTTGAGGCCTTCGTTGGAAACGGGATTTCTTCATATTATGCTAGACAGAAGATTTCTCAGTAACTTCTTTGTGTTGTGTGTATGCAACTCACAGAGTTCAACCTTCCTTTAGACAGAGCAGATTTGAAACACTCTTTTTGTGGAATTTGCAAGTGGAGATTTCAAGCGCTTCGATGCCAATGGTAGAAAAGGAAATATTCTTCGTATAAAAACAAGACAAACTCGTTCCCAGACACTGCGTAGTGATGTGTGTGTTTAACTCACAGAGTTTAACCTTTCTTTTCATACAGCATTCTGGAAACCCTCTGTTTGTAAAGTCTGCAAGTGGATATTTGGACCTCTTAGATGCCTTCGTTGGAAACGGGATTTCCTCATATAATGCTAGAGGGAAGAATTCTTAGTAACTTCTTTGTGTTGTGTGTATTCAACTGACAGAGTTGAACCTTCCTTTAGACAGAGCAGATTTGAAAGTCTCTTTTTGTGGAATTTGCAAGTGGAGATTTCAAGCGCTTTGAGGCCAAAAGCAGAAAAGGAAATATTTTCCTATATAAACTAGACAGAATCATTCTCAGAAACTGCTCTGTGATGTGTGTGTTCAACTCACAGAGTTTAACTTTCTTTTCATTCAGCAGTTTGGAAACACTCTGTTTGGAAAGTCTGCACGTGGATATTTTGACCTCTTTGAGGCCTTCGTTGGAAACGGGTTTTTTTCATGTAAGGCTAGACAGAAGAAATCTCAGTAACTTCCTTGTGTTGTGTGTATTCAACTGACAGAGTTGAACCTTCCTTTAGACAGAGCAGATTCGAAACACTCTTTTTCTGCAATTTGCAAGTGGAGACTTCAAGCGCTTTGAGGCCAAAGGCAGAAAAGGAAATATCTTCGTATAAAAACCCGACAGAATCATTCTCAGAAACTGCTCTGTGATGTGTGCGTTCAACTCACAGAGTTTAACTTTCCTTTTCATTCAGCAGTTTGGAAACACTCTGTTTGTAAAGTCTGCAAGTGGATATCTTGGCCTCTTAGAGGCCTTCGTTGGAAACGGGTTTTTTCATGTAAGGATAGACAGAGGAATTCCCAGTAACTTCCTTGTGTTGTGTGCATTCAACTCACAGAGTTGAATGATTCTTTACACAGAGCAGATTTGAGACACTCTTTTGGTGGAATTTGTAAGTGGAGAATTCAGCCGCTTTGAGGTCAACGGTAGAAAAGGAAATATCTTCGTATAAAAACTAGACAGAATGATTCTCAGAAACTCCTTTGTGATGTGTGCGTTCAACTCACAGAGTTTAACCTTTCTTTTCACAGAGCAGTTAGGAAACACTCTGTTTGTGAAGCCTGCCAGTGGATATTCGGACCTCTTTGAGGCCTTCGTTGGAAACGGGATTTCTTCATATTATGCTAGACAGAAGATTTCTCAGTAACTTCTTTGTGTTGTGTGTATGCAACTCACAGAGTTCAACCTTCCTTTAGACAGAGCAGATTTGAAACACTCTTTTTGTGGAATTTGCAAGTGGAGATTTCAAGCGCTTCGATGCCAATGGTTGAAAAGGAAATATCTTCGTATAAAAACAAGACAAACTCGTTCCCAGACACTGCGTAGTGATGTGTGTGTTTAACTCACAGAGTTTCACCTTTCTTTTCATACAGCATTCTGGAAACCCTCTGTTTGTAAAGTCTGCAAGTGGATATTTGGACCTCTTAGATGCCTTCGTTGGAAACGGGATTTCTTCATATAATGCTAGAGGGAAGAATTCTTAGTAACTTCTTTGTGTTGTGTGTATTCAACTGACAGAGTTGAACTTTCCTTTAGACAGAGCAGATTTGAAAGTCTCTTTTTGTGGAATTTGCAAGTGGAGATTTCAAGCGCTTTGAGGCCAAAAGCAGAAAAGGAAATATTTTCCTATAAAAACTAGACAGAATCTTTCTCAGAAACTGCTCTGGGATGTGTGCGTTCAACTCACAGAGTTTAACTTTTCTTTTCATTCAGGAGTTTGGAAACACTCTGTTTGGAAAGTCTGCACGTGGATATTTTGACCTCTTTGAGGCCTTCGTTGGAAACGGGTTTTTTTCATGTAAGGCTAGACAGAAGAAATCTCAGTAACTTCCTTGTGTTGTGTGTATTCAACTGACAGAGTTGAACCTTCCTTTAGACAGAGCAGATTCGAAACACTCTTTTTCTGCAATTTGCAAGTGGAGACTTCAAGCGCTTTGAGGCCAAAGGCAGAAAAGGAAATATCTTCGTATAAAAACCCGACAGAATCATTCTCAGAAACTGCTCTGTGATGTGTGCGTTCAACTCACAGAGTTTAACTTTTCTTTTCATTCAGCAGTTTGGAAACACTCTGTTTGTAAAGTCTGCAAGTGGATATCTTGGCCTCTTAGAGGCCTTCGTTGGAAACGGGTTTTTTCATGTAAGGTTAGACAGAGGAATTCCCAGTAACTTCCTTGTGTTGTGTGCATTCAACTCACAGAGTTGAATGATTCTTTACACAGAGCAGATTTGAGACACTCTTTGGGTGGAATTTGTAAGTGGAGAATTCAGCCGCTTTGAGGTCAACGGTAGAAAAGGAAATATCTTCGTATAAAAACTAGACAGAATGATTCTCAGAAACTGTTTTGTGATGTGTGCGTTCAACTCACAGAGTTTAACCTTTCTTTTCAAAGAGCAGTTAGGAAACACTCTGTAAAATCTGCAAGTGGATATTCAGACCTCTTTGAGGCCTTCGTTGGAAACGGGATTTCTTCATATAATGCTAGAGGGAAGAATTCTTAGTAACTTCTTTGTGTTGTGTGTATTGAACTGACAGAGTTGAACCTTCCTTTAGACAGAGCAGATTTGAAAGTCTCTTTTTGTGGAATTTGCAAGTGGAGATTTCAAGCGCTTTGAGGCCAAAAGCAGAAAGGGAAATATTTTCTTATAAAAACTAGAGAGAATCTTTCTCAGAAACTGCTCTGGGATGTGTGCGTTCAACTCACAGAGTTTAACTTTTCTTTTCATTCAGCAGTTTGGAAACACTCTGTTTGGAAAGTCTGCACGTGGATATTTTGACCTCTTTGAGGCCTTCGTTGGAAACGGGTTTTTTTCATGTAAGGCTAGACAGAAGAAATCTCAGTAACTTCCTTGTGTTGTGTGTATTCAACTGACAGAGTTGAACCTTCCTTTAGACAGAGCAGATTCGAAACACTCTTTTTCTGCAATTTGCAAGTGGAGACTTCAAGCGCTTTGAGGCCAAAGGCAGAAAAGGAAATATCTTCGTATAAAAACCCGACAGAATCATTCTCAGAAACTGCTCTGTGATGTGTGCGTTCAACTCACAGAGTTTAACTTTTCTTTTCATTCAGCAGTTTGGAAACACTCTGTTTGTAAAGTCTGCAAGTGGATATCTTGGCCTCTTAGAGGCCTTCATTGGAAGCGGGTTTTTTCATGTAAGGATAGACAGAGGAATTCCCAGTAACTTCCTTGTGTTGTATGCATTCAACTCACAGAGTTGAATGATTCTTTACACAGAGCAGATTTGAGACACTCTTTTGGTGGAATTTGTAAGTGGAGAATTCAGCCGCTTTGAGGTCAACGGTAGAAAAGGAAATATCTTCGTATAAAAACTAGAAAGAATGATTCTCAGAAACTGTTTTGTGATGTGTGCTTTCAACTCACAGAGTTTAACCTTTCTTTTCAAAGAGCAGTTAGGAAACACTCTGTTTGTAAAGTCTGCAAGAGGATATTCAGACCTCTTTGAGGCCTTCGTTGGAAACGGGATTTCTTCATATTATGCTAGACAGATGAATTCTCAGTAACTTCCTTGTGTTGTGTGTATTCAACTCACAGAGTTGAACGATCCTTTACACAGAGCAGATTTGAAACACTGTTTTTCTGGAATTTGCAAGTGGAGATTTCAGCCGCTTTGAGGTCAATGGTAGAAAAGGAAATATCTTCTGTATAAAAACTAGACAGAATGATTCTCAGAAACTCCTTTGTGATGTGTGCGTTCAACTCACAGAGTTTAACCTTTCTTTTCACAGAGCAGTTAGGAAACACTCTGTTTGTGAAGCCTGCCAGTGGATATTCGGACCTCTTTGAGGCCTTCGTTGGAAACGGGATTTCTTCATATTATGCTAGACAGAAGATTTCTCAGTAACTTCTTTGTGTTGTGTGTATGCAACTCACAGAGTTCAACCTTCCTTTAGACAGAGCAGATTTGAAACACTCTTTTTGTGGAATTTGCAAGTGGAGATTTCAAGCGCTTCGATGCCAATGGTAGAAAAGGAAATATCTTCGTATAAAAACAAGACAAACTCGTTCCCAGACACTGCGTAGTGATGTGTGTGTTTAACTCACAGAGTTTCACCTTTCTTTTCATACAGCATTCTGGAAACCCTCTGTTTGTAAAGTCTGCAAGTCGATATTTGGACCTCTTAGATGCCTTCGTTGGAAACGGGATTTCTTCATATAATGCTAGAGGGAAGAATTCTTAGTAACTTCTTTGTGTTGTGTGTATTCAACTGACAGAGTTGAACCTTCCTTTAGACAGAGCAGATTTGAAAGTCTCTTTTTGTGGAATTTGCAAGTGGAGATTTCAAGCGCTTTGAGGCCAAAAGCAGAAAAGGAAATATTTTCCTATAAAAACTAGACAGAATCATTCTCAGAAACTGCTCTGTGATGTGTGTGTTCAACTCACAGAGTTTAACTTTCTTTTCATTCAGCAGTTTGGAAACACTCTGTTTGGAAAGTCTGCACGTGGATATTTTGACCTCTTTGAGGCCTTCGTTGGAAACGGGTTTTTTTCATGTAAGGCTAGACAGAAGAAATCTCAGTAACTTCCTTGTGTTGTGTGTATTCAACTGACAGAGTTGAACCTTCCTTTAGACAGAGCAGATTCGAAACACTCTTTTTCTGCAATTTGCAAGTGGAGACTTCAAGCGCTTTGAGGCCAAAGGCAGAAAAGGAAATATCTTCGTATAAAAACCCGACAGAATCATTCTCAGAAACTGCTCTGTGATGTGTGCGTTCAACTCACAGAGTTTAACTTTTCTTTTCATTCAGCAGTTTGGAAACACTCTGTTTGTAAAGTCTGCAAGTGGATATCTTGGCCTCTTAGAGGCCTTCGTTGGAAACGGGTTTTTTCATGTAAGGTTAGACAGAGGAATTCCCAGTAACTTCCTTGTGTTGTGTGCATTCAACTCACAGAGTTGAATGATTCTTTACACAGAGCAGATTTGAGACACTCTTTTGGTGGAATTTGTAAGTGGAGAATTCAGCCGCTTTGAGGTCAACGGTAGAAAAGGAAATATCTTCGTATAAAAACTAGACAGAATGATTCTCAGAAACTGTTTTGTGATGTGTGCTTTCAACTCACAGAGTTTAACCTTTCTTTTCAAAGAGCAGTTAGGAAACACTCTGTTTGTAAAGTCTGCAAGTGGATATTCAGACCTCTTTGAGGCCTTCGTTGGAAACGGGATTTCTTCATATTATGCTAGACAGATGAATTCTCAGTAACTTCCTTGTGTTGTGTGTATTCAACTCACAGAGTTGAACGATCCTTTACACAGAGCAGATTTGAAACACTGTTTTTCTGGAATTTGCAAGTGGAGATTTCAGCCGCTTTGAGGTCAATGGTAGAAAAGGAAATATCTTCGTATAAAAACTAGACAGAATGATTCTCAGAAACTCCTTTGTGATGTGTGCGTTCAACTCACAGGGTTTAACCTTTCTTTTCACAGAGCAGTTAGGAAACACTCTGTTTGTGAAGCCTGCCAGTGGATATTCGGACCTCTTTGAGGCCTTCGTTGGAAACGGGATTTCTTCATATTATGCTAGACAGAAGATTTCTCAGTAACTTCTTTGTGTTGTGTGTATGCAACTCACAGAGTTCAACCTTCCTTTAGACAGAGCAGATTTGAAACACTCTTTTTGTGGAATTTGCAAGTGGAGATTTCAAGCGCTTCGATGCCAATGGTAGAAAAGGAAATATCTTCGTATAAAAACAAGACAAACTCGTTCCCAGACACTGCGTAGTGATGTGTGTGTTTAACTCACAGAGTTTCACCTTTCTTTTCATACAGCATTCTGGAAACCCTCTGTTTGTAAAGTCTGCAAGTGGATATTTGGACCTCTTAGATGCCTTCGTTGCAAACGGGATTTCTTCATATAATGCTAGAGGGAAGAATTCTTAGTAACTTCTTTGTGTTGTGTGTATTCAACTGACAGAGTTGAACCTTCCTTTAGACAGAGCAGATTTGAAAGTCTCTTTTTGTGGAATTTGCAAGTGGAGATTTCAAGCGCTTTGAGGCCAAAAGCAGAAAAGGAAATATTTTCCTATAAAAACTCGACAGAATCTTTCTCAGAAACTGCTCTGGGATGTGTGCGTTCAACTCACAGAGTTTAACTTTTCTTTTCATTCAGCAGTTTGGAAACACTCTGTTTGGAAAGTCTGCACGTGGATATTTTGACCTCTTTGAGGCCTTCGTTGGAAACGGGTTTTTTTCATGTAAGGCTAGACAGAAGAAATCTCAGTAACTTCCTTGTGTTGTGTGTATTCAACTGACAGAGTTGAACCTTCCTTTAGACAGAGCAGATTCGAAACACTCTTTTTCTGCAATTTGCAAGTGGAGACTTCAAGCGCTTTGAGGCCAAAGGCAGAAAAGGAAATATCTTCGTATAAAAACCCGACAGAATCATTCTCAGAAACTGCTCTGTGATGTGTGCGTTCAACTCACAGAGTTTAACTTTTCTTTTCATTCAGCAGTTTGGAAACACTCTGTTTGTAAAGTCTGCAAGTGGATATCTTGGCCTCTTAGAGGCCTTCGTTGGAAACGGGTTTTTTCATGTAAGGATAGACAGAGGAATTCCCAGTAACTTCCTTGTGTTGTGTGCATTCAACTCACAGAGTTGAATGATTCTTTACACAGAGCAGATTTGAGACACTCTTTGGGTGGAATTTGTAAGTGGAGAATTCAGCCGCTTTGAGGTCAACGGTAGAAAAGGAAATATCTTCGTATAAAAACTAGACAGAATGATTCTCAGAAACTGTTTTGTGATGTGTGCGTTCAACTCACAGAGTTTAACCTTTCTTTTCAGAGAGCAGTTAGGAAACACTCTGTTTGTAAAGTCTGCAAGCGGATATTCAGACCTCTTTGAGGCCTTCGTTGGAAACGGGATTTCTTCATATTATGCTAGACAGATGAATTCTCAGTAACTTCCTTGTGTTGTGTGTATTCAACTCACAGAGTTGAACGATCCTTTACACAGAGCAGATTTGAAACACTGTTTTTCTGGAATTTGCAAGTGGAGATGTCAGCCGCTTTGAGGTCAATGGTAGAAAAGGAAATATCTTCGTATAAAAACTAGACAGAATGATTCTCAGAAACTCCTTTGTGATGTGTGCGTTCAACTCACAGAGTTTAACCTTTCTTTTCACAGAGCAGTTAGGAAACACTCTGTTTGTGAAGCCTGCCAGTGGATATTCGGACCTCTTTGAGGCCTTCGTTGGAAACGGGATTTCTTCATATTATGCTAGACAGAAGATTTCTCAGTAACTTCTTTGTGTTGTGTGTATGCAACTCACAGAGTTCAACCTTCCTTTAGACAGAGCAGATTTGAAACACTCTTTTTGTGGAATTTGCAAGTGGAGATTTCAAGCGCTTCGATGCCAATGGTAGAAAAGGAAATATCTTCGTATAAAAACAAGACAAACTCGTTCCCAGACACTGCGTAGTGATGTGTGTGTTTAACTCACAGAGTTTAACCTTTCTTTTCATACAGCATTCTGGAAACCCTCTGTTTGTAAAGTCTGCAAGTGGATATTTGGACCTCTTAGATGCCTTCTTTGGAAACGGGATTTCTTCATATAATGCTAGAGGGAAGAATTCTTAGTAACTTCTTTGTGTTGTGTGTATTCAACTGACAGAGTTGAACCTTCCTTTAGACAGAGCAGATTTGAAAGTCTCTTTTTGTGGAATTTGCAAGTGGAGATTTCAAGCGCTTTGAGGCCAAAAGCAGAAAAGGAAATATTTTCCTATAAAAACTCGACAGAATCTTTCTCAGAAACTGCTCTGGGATGTGTGCGTTCAACTCACAGAGTTTAACTTTTCTTTTCATTCAGCAGTTTGGAAACACTCTGTTTGGAAAGTCTGCACGTGGATATTTTGACCTCTTTGAGGCCTTCGTTGGAAACGGGTTTTTTTCATGTAACGCTAGACAGAAGAAATCTCAGTAACTTCCTTGTGTTATGTGTATTCAACTGACAGAGTTGAACCTTCCTTTAGACAGAGCAGATTCGAAACACTCTTTTTCTGCAATTTGCAAGTGGAGACTTCAAGCGCTTTGAGGCCAAAGGCAGAAAAGGAAATATCTTCGTATAAAAACCCGACAGAATCATTCTCAGAAACTGCTCTGTGATGTGTGCGTTCAACTCACAGAGTTTAACTTTTCTTTTCATTCAGCAGTTTGGAAACACTCTGTTTGTAAAGTCTGCAAGTGGATATCTTGGCCTCTTAGAGGCCTTCGTTGGAAACGGGTTTTTTCATGTAAGGTTAGACAGAGGAATTCCCAGTAACTTCCTTGTGTTGTGTGCATTCAACTCACAGAGTTGAATGATTCTTTACACAGAGCAGATTTGAGACACTCTTTTGGTGGAATTTGTTAGTGGAGAATTCAGCCGCTTTGAGGTCAACGGTAGAAAAGGATATATCTTCGTATAAAAACTAGACAGAATGATTCTCAGAAACTGTTTTGTGATGTGTGCGTTCAACTCACAGAGTTTAACCTTTCTTTTCAAAGAGCAGTTAGGAAACACTCTGTTTGTAAAGTCTGCAAGTGGATATTCAGACCTACTTTGAGGCCTTCGTTGGAAACGGGATTTCTTCATATTATGCTAGACAGATGAATTCTCAGTAACTTCCTTGTGTTGTGTGTATTCAACTCACAGAGTTGAACGATCCTTTACACAGAGCAGATTTGAAACACTGTTTTTCTGGAATTTGCAAGTGGAGATTTCAGCCGCTTTGAGGTCAATGGTAGAAAAAGAAATATCTTCGTATAAAAACTAGACAGAATGATTCTCAGAAACTCCTTTGTGATGTGTGCGTTCAACTCACAGAGTTTAACCTTTCTTTTCACAGAGCAGTTAGGAAACACTCTGTTTGTGAAGCCTGCCAGTGGATATTCAGACCTCTTTGAGGCCTTCGTTGGAAACGGGATTTCTTCATATTATGCTAGACAGAAGATTTCTCAGTAACTTCTTTGTGTTGTGTGTATGCAACTCACAGAGTTCAACCTTCCTTTAGACAGAGCAGATTTGAAACACTCTTTTTGTGGAATTTGCAAGTGGAGATTTCAAGCGCTTCGATGCCAATGGTAGAAAAGGAAATATCTTCGTATAAAAACAAGACAAACTCGTTCCCAGACACTGCGTAGTGATGTGTGTGTTTAACTCACAGAGTTTAACCTTTCTTTTCATACAGCATTCTGGAAACCCTGTGTTTGTAAAGTCTGCAAGTGGATATTTGGACCTCTTAGATGCCTTCGTTGGAAACGGGATTTCTTCATATAATGCTAGAGGGAAGAATTCTTAGTAACTTCTTTGTGTTGTGTGTATTCAACTGACAGAGTTGAACCTTCCTTTAGACAGAGCAGATTTGAAAGTCTCTTTTTGTGGAATTTGCAAGTGGAGATTTCAAGCGCTTTGAGGCCAAAAGCAGAAAAGGAAATATTTTCCTATAAAAACTCGACAGAATCTTTCTCAGAAACTGCTCTGGGATGTGTGCGTTCAACTCACAGAGTTTAACTTTTCTTTTCATTCAGCAGTTTGGAAACACTCTGTTTGGAAAGTCTGCACGTGGATATTTTGACCTCTTTGAGGCCTTCGTTGGAAACGGGTTTTTTTCATGTAAGGCTAGACAGAAGAAATCTCAGTAACTTCCTTGTGTTGTGTGTATTCAACTGACAGAGTTGAACCTTCCTTTAGACAGAGCAGATTCGAAACACTCTTTTTCTGCAATTTGCAAGTGGAGACTTCAAGCGCTTTGAGGCCAAAGGCAGAAAAGGAAATATCTTCGTATAAAAACCCGACAGAATCATTCTCAGAAACTGCTCTGTGATGTGTGCGTTCAACTCACAGAGTTTAACTTTTCTTTTCATTCAGCAGTTTGGAAACACTCTGTTTGTAAAGTCTGCAAGTGGATATCTTGGCCTCTTAGAGGCCTTCGTTGGAAACGGGTTTTTTCATGTAAGGTTAGACAGAGGAATTCCCAGTAACTTCCTTGTGTTGTGTGCATTCAACTCACAGAGTTGAATGATTCTTTACACAGAGCAGATTTGAGACACTCTTTTGGTGGAATTTGTAAGTGGAGAATTCAGCCGCTTTGAGGTCAACGGTAGAAAAGGAAATATCTTCGTATAAAAACTAGACAGAATGATTCTCAGAAACTGTTTTGTGATGTGTGCGTTCAACTCACAGAGTTTAACCTTTCTTTTCAAAGAGCAGTTAGGAAACACTCTGTTTGTAAAGTCTGCAAGTGGATATTCAGACCTCTTTGAGGCCTTCGTTGGAAACGGGATTTCTTCATATTATGCTAGACAGATGAATTCTCAGTAACTTCCTTGTGTTGTGTGTATTCAACTCACAGAGTTGAACGATCCTTTACACAGAGCAGATTTGAAACACTGTTTTTCTGGAATTTGCAAGTGGAGATTTCAGCCGCTTTGAGGTCAATGGTAGAAAAGGAAATATCTTCGTATAAAAACTAGACAGAATGATTCTCAGAAACTCCTTTGTGATGTGTGCGTTCAACTCACAGAGTTTAACCTTTCTTTTCACAGAGCAGTTAGGAAACACTCTGTTTGTGAAGCCTGCCAGTGGATATTCGGACCTCTTTGAGGCCTTCGTTGGAAACGGGATTTCTTCATATTATGCTAGACAGAAGATTTCTCAGTAACTTCTTTGTGTTGTGTGTATGCAACTCACAGAGTTCAACCTTCCTTTAGACAGAGCAGATTTGAAACACTCTTTTTGTGGAATTTGCAAGTGGAGATTTCAAGCGCTTCGATGCCAATGGTAGAAAAGGAAATATCTTCGTATAAAAACAAGACAAACTCGTTCCCAGACACTGCGTAGTGATGTGTGTGTTTAACTCACAGAGTTTCACCTTTCTTTTCATACAGCATTCTGGAAACCCTCTGTTTGTAAAGTCTGCAAGTGGATATTTGGACCTCTTAGATGCCTTCGTTGGAAACGGGATTTCTTCATATAATGCTAGAGGGAAGAATTCTTAGTAACTTCTTTGTGTTGTGTGTATTCAACTGACAGAGTTGAACCTTCCTTTAGACAGAGCAGATTTGAAAGTCTCTTTTTGTGGAATTTGCAAGTGGAGATTTCAAGCGCTTTGAGGCCAAAAGCAGAAAAGGAAATATTTTCCTATAAAAACTCGACAGAATCTTTCTCAGAAACTGCTCTGGGATGTGTGCGTTCAACTCACAGAGTTTAACTTTTCTTTTCATTCAGCAGTTTGGAAACACTCTGTTTGGAAAGTCTGCACAGTGGATATTTTGACCTCTTTGAGGCCTTCGTTGGAAACGGGTTTTTTTCATGTAAGGCTAGACAGAAGAAATCTCAGTAACTTCCTTGTGTTGTGTGTATTCAACTGACAGAGTTGAACCTTCCTTTAGACAGAGCAGATTCGAAACACTCTTTTTCTGCAATTTGCAAGTGGAGACTTCAAGCGCTTTGAGGCCAAAGGCAGAAAAGGAAATATCTTCGTATAAAAACCCGACAGAATCATTCTCAGAAACTGCTCTGTGATGTGTGCGTTCAACTCACAGAGTTTAACTTTTCTATTCATTCAGCAGTTTGGAAACACTCTGTTTGTAAAGTCTGCAAGTGGATATCTTGGCCTCTTAGAGGCCTTCATTGGAAACGGGTTTTTTCATGTAAGGTTAGACAGAGGAATTCCCAGTAACTTCCTTGTGTTGTGTGCATTCAACTCACAGAGTTGAATGATTCTTTACACAGAGCAGATTTGAGACACTCTTTTGGTGGAATTTGTAAGTGGAGAATTCAGCCGCTTTGAGGTCAACGGTAGAAAAGGAAATATCTTCGTATAAAAACTAGACAGAATGATTCTCAGAAACTGTTTTGTGATGTGTGCGTTCAACTCACAGAGTTTAACCTTTCTTTTCAAAGAGCAGTTAGGAAGCACTCTGTTTGTAAAGTCTGCAAGTGGATATTCAGACCTCTTTGAGGCCTTCGTTGGAAACGGGATTTCTTCATATTATGCTAGACAGATGAATTCTCAGTAACTTCCTTGTGTTGTGTGTATTCAACTCACAGAGTTGAACGATCCTTTACACAGAGCAGATTTGAAACACTGTTTTTCTGGAATTTGCAAGTGGAGATTTCAGCCGCTTTGAGGTCAATGGTAGAAAAGGAAATATCTTCGTATAAAAACTAGACAGAATGATTCTCAGAAACTCCTTTGTGATGTGTGCGTTCAACTCACAGAGTTTAACCTTTCTTTTCACAGAGCAGTTAGGAAACACTCTGTTTGTGAAGCCTGCCAGTGGATATTCGGACCTCTTTGAGGCCTTCGTTGGAAACGGGATTTCTTCATATTATGCTAGACAGAAGATTTCTCAGTAACTTCTTTGTGTTGTGTGTATGCAACTCACAGAGTTCAACCTTCCTTTAGACAGAGCAGATTTGAAACACTCTTTTTGTGGAATTTGCAAGTGGAGATTTCAAGCGCTTCGATGCCAATGGTAGAAAAGGAAATATCTTCGTAGAAAAACAAGACAAACTCGTTCCCAGACACTGCGTAGTGATGTGTGTGTTTAACTCACAGAGTTTCACCTTTCTTTTCATACAGCATTCTGGAAACCCTGTGTTTGTAAAGTCTGCAAGTGGACATTTGGACCTCTTAGATGCCTTCGTTGGAAACGGGATTTCTTCATATAATGCTAGAGGGAAGAATTCTTAGTAACTTCTTTGTGTTGTGTGTATTCAACTGACAGAGTTGAACCTTCCTTTAGACAGAGCAGATTTGAAAGTCTCTTTTTGTGGAATTTGCAAGTGGAGATTTCAAGCGCTTTGAGGCCAAAAGCAGAAAAGGAAATATTTTCCTATAAAAACTAGACAGAATCTTTCTCAGAAACTGCTCTGGGATGTGTGCGTTCAACTCACAGAGTTTAACTTTTCTTTTCATTCAGCAGTTTGGAAACACTCTGTTTGGAAAGTCTGCACGTGGATATTTTGACCTCTTTGAGGCCTTCGTTGGAAACGGGTTTTTTTCATGTAACGCTAGACAGAAGAAATCTCAGTAACTTCCTTGTGTTATGTGTATTCAACTGACAGAGTTGAACCTTCCTTTAGACAGAGCAGATTCGAAACACTCTTTTTCTGCAATTTGCAAGTGGAGACTTCAAGCGCTTTGAGGCCAAAGGCAGAAAAGGAAATATCTTCGTATAAAAACCCGACAGAATCATTCTCAGAAACTGCTCTGTGATGTGTGCGTTCAACTCACAGAGTTTAACTTTTCTTTTCATTCAGCAGTTTGGAAACACTCTGTTTGTAAAGTCTGCAAGTGGATATCTTGGCCTCTTAGAGGCCTTCGTTGGAAACGGGTTTTTTCATGTAAGGTTAGACAGAGGAATTCCCAGTAACTTCCTTGTGTTGTGTGCATTCAACTCACAGAGTTGAATGATTCTTTACACAGAGCAGATTTGAGACACTCTTTTGGTGGAATTTGTAAGTGGAGAATTCAGCCGCTTTGAGGTCAACGGTAGAAAAGGAAATATCTTCGTATAAAAACTAGACAGAATGATTCTCAGAAACTGTTTTGTGATGTGTGCGTTCAACTCACAGAGTTTAACCTTTCTTTTCAAAGAGCAGTTAGGAAACACTCTGTTTGTAAAGTCTGCAAGTGGATATTCAGACCTCTTTGAGGCCTTCGTTGGAAACGGGATTTCTTCATATTATGCTAGACAGATGAATTCTCAGTAACTTCCTTGTGTTGTGTGTATTCAACTCACAGAGTTGAACGATCCTTTACACAGAGCAGATTTGAAACACTGTTTTTCTGGAATTTGCAAGTGGAGATTTCAGCCGCTTTGAGGTCAATGGTAGAAAAGGAAATATCTTCGTATAAAAACTAGACAGAATGATTCTCAGAAACTCCTTTGTGATGTGTGCGTTCAACTCACAGGGTTTAACCTTTCTTTTCACAGAGCAGTTAGGAAACACTCTGTTTGTGAAGCCTGCCAGTGGATATTCGGACCTCTTTGAGGCCTTCGTTGGAAACGGGATTTCTTCATATTATGCTAGACAGAAGATTTCTCAGTAACTTCTTTGTGTTGTGTGTATGCAACTCACAGAGTTCAACCTTCCTTTAGACAGAGCAGATTTGAAACACTCTTTTTGTGGAATTTGCAAGTGGAGATTTCAAGCGCTTCGATGCCAATGGTAGAAAAGGAAATATCTTCGTATAAAAACAAGACAAACTCGTTCCCAGACACTGCGTAGTGATGTGTGTGTTTAACTCACAGAGTTTAACCTTTCTTTTCATACAGCATTCTGGAAACCCTCTGTTTGTAAAGTCTGCAAGTGGATATTTGGACCTCTTAGATGCCTTCGTTGGAAACGGGATTTCTTCATATAATGCTAGAGGGAAGAATTCTTAGTAACTTCTTTGTGTTGTGTGTATTCAACTGACAGAGTTGAACCTTCCTTTAGACAGAGCAGATTTGAAAGTCTCTTTTTGTGGAATTTGCAAGTGGAGATTTCAAGCGCTTTGAGGCCAAAAGCAGAAAAGGAAATATTTTCCTATAAAAACTAGACAGAATCATTCTCAGAAACTGCTCTGTGATGTGTGTGTTCAACTCACAGAGTTTAACTTTCTTTTCATTCAGCAGTTTGGAAACACTCTGTTTAGAAAGTCTGCACGTGGATATTTTGACCTCTTTGAGGCCTTCGTTGGAAACGGGTTTTTTCATGTAAGGCTAGACAGAAGAAATCTCAGTAACTTCCTTGTGTTGTGTGTATTCAACTGACAGAGTTGAACCTTCCTTTAGACAGAGCAGATTCGAAACACTCTTTTTCTGCAATTTGCAAGTGGAGACTTCAAGTGCTTTGAGGCCAAAGGCAGAAAAGGAAATATCTTCGTATAAAAACCCGACAGAATCATTCTCAGAAACTGCTCTGTGATGTGTGCGTTCAACTCACAGAGTTTAACTTTTCTTTTCATTCAGCAGTTTGGAAACACTCTGTTTGTAAAGTCTGCAAGTGGATATATTGGCCTCTTAGAGGCCTTCGTTGGAAACGGGTTTTTTTCATGTAAGGCTAGACAGAAGAAATCTCAGTAACTTCCTTGTGTTGTGTGTATTCAACTGACAGAGTTGAACCTTCCTTTAGACAGAGCAGATTCGAAACACTCTTTTTCTGCAATTTGCAAGTGGAGACTTCAAGCGCTTTGAGGCCAAAGGCAGAAAAGGGAATATCTTCGTATAAAAACCCGACAGAATCATTCTCAGAAACTGCTCTGTGATGTGTGCGTTCAACTCACAGAGTTTAACTTTTCTTTTCATTCAGCAGTTTGGAAACACTCTGTTTGTAAAGTCTGCAAGTGGATATCTTGGCCTCTTAGAGGCCTTCGTTGGAAACGGGTTTTTTCATGTAAGGTTAGACAGAGGAATTCCCAGTAACTTCCTTGTGTTGTGTGCATTCAACTCACAGAGTTGAATGATTCTTTACACAGAGCAGATTTGAGACACTCTTTTGGTGGAATTTGTAAGTGGAGAATTCAGCTGCTTTGAGGTCAACGGTAGAAAAGGAAATATCTTCGTATAAAAACTAGACAGAATGATTCTCATTAACTGTTTTGTGATGTGTGCGTTCAACTCACAGAGTTTAACCTTTCTTTTCAAAGAGCAGTTAGGAAACACTCTGTTTGTAAAGTCTGCAAGTGAATATTCAGACCTCTTTGAGGCCTTCGTTGGAAACGGGATTTCTTCATATTATGCTAGACAGATGAATTCTCAGTAACTTCCTTGTGTTGTGTGTATTCAACTCACAGAGTTGAACGATCCTTTACACAGAGCAGATTTGAAACACTGTTTTTCTGGAATTTGCAAGTGGAGATTTCAGCTGCTTTGAGGTCAATGGTAGAAAAGGAAATATCTTCGTATAAAAACTAGACAGAATGATTCTCAGAAACTCCTTTGTGATGTGTGCGTTCAACTCACAGAGTTTAACCTTTCTTTTCACAGAGCAGTTAGGAAACACTCTGTTTGTGAAGCCTGCCAGTGGATATTCGGACCTCTTTGAGGCCTTCGTTGGAAACGGGATTTCTTCATATTATGCTAGACAGAAGATTTCTCAGTAACTTCTTTGTGTTGTGTGTATGCAACTCACAGAGTTCAACCTTCCTTTAGACAGAGCAGATTTGAAACACTCTTTTTGTGGAATTTGCAAGTGGAGATTTCAAGCGCTTCGATGCCAATGGTAGAAAAGGAAATATCTTCGTATAAAAACAAGACAAACTCGTTCCCAGACACTGCGTAGTGATGTGTGTGTTTAACTCACAGAGTTTAACCTTTCTTTTCATACAGCATTCTGGAAACCCTGTGTTTGTAAAGTCTGCAAGTGGATATTTGGACCTCTTAGATGCCTTCGTTGGAAACGGGATTTCTTCATATAATGCTAGAGGGAAGAATTCTTAGTAACTTCTTTTTGTTGTGTGTATTCAACTGACAGAGTTGAACCTTCCTTTAGACAGAGCAGATTTGAAAGTCTCTTTTTGTGGAATTTGCAAGTGGAGATTTCAAGCGCTTTGAGGCCAAAAGCAGAAAAGGAAATATTTTCCTATAAAAATTAGACAGAATCTTTCTCAGAAACTGCTCTGGGATGTGTGCGTTCAACTCACAGAGTTTAACTTTTCTTTTCATTCAGCAGTTTGGAAACACTCTGTTTGGAAAGTCTGCACGTGGATATTTTGACCTCTTTGAGGCCTTCGTTGGAAACGGGTTTTTTTCATGTAAGGCTAGACAGAAGAAATCTCAGTAACTTCCTTGTGTTGTGTGTATTCAACTGACAGAGTTGAACCTTCCTTTAGACAGAGCAGATTCGAAACACTCTTTTTCTGCAATTTGCAAGTGGAGACTTCAAGCGCTTTGAGGCCAAAGGCAGAAAAGGAAATATCTTCGTATAAAAACCCGACAGAATCATTCTCAGAAACTGCTCTGTGATGTGTGCGTTCAACTCACAGAGTTTAACTTTTCTTTTCATTCAGCAGTTTGGAAACACTCTGTTTGTAAAGTCTGCAAGTGGATATCTTGGCCTCTTAGAGGCCTTCGTTGGAAACGGGTTTTTTCATGTAAGGTTAGACAGAGGAATTCCCAGTAACTTCCTTGTGTTGTGTGCATTCAACTCACAGAGTTGAATGATTCTTTACACAGAGCAGATTTGAGACACTCTTTTGGTGGAATTTGTAAGTGGAGAATTCAGCCGCTTTGAGGTCAACGGTAGAAAAGGAAATATCTTCGTATAAAAACTAGACAGAATGATTCTCAGAAACTGTTTTGTGATGTGTGCGTTCAACTCACAGAGTTTAACCTTTCTTTTCAAAGAGCAGTTAGGAAACACTCTGTTTGTAAAGTCTGCAAGTGGATATTCAGACCTCTTTGAGGCCTTCGTTGGAAACGGGATTTCTTCATATTATGCTAGACAGATGAATTCTCAGTAACTTCCTTGTGTTGTGTGTATTCAACTCACAGAGTTGAACGATCCTTTACACAGAGCAGATTTGAAACACTGTTTTTCTGGAATTTGCAAGTGGAGATTTCAGCCGCTTTGAGGTCAATGGTAGAAAAGGAAATATCTTCGTATAAAAACTAGACAGAATGATTCTCAGAAACTCCTTTGTGATGTGTGCGTTCAACTCACAGAGTTTAACCTTTCTTTTCACAGAGCAGTTAGGAAACACTCTGTTTGTGAAGCCTGCCAGTGGATATTCGGACCTCTTTGAGGCCTTCGTTGGAAACGGGATTTCTTCATATTATGCTAGACAGAAGATTTCTCAGTAACTTCTTTGTGTTGTGTGTATGCAACTCACAGAGTTCAACCTTCCTTTAGACAGAGCAGATTTGAAACACTCTTTTTGTGGAATTTGCAAGTGGAGATTTCAAGCGCTTCGATGCCAATGGTAGAAAAGGAAATATCTTCGTATAAAAACAAGACAAACTCGTTCCCAGACACTGCGTAGTGATGTGTGTGTTTAACTCACAGAGTTTAACCTTTCTTTTCATACAGCATTCTGGAAACCCTCTGTTTGTAAAGTCTGCAAGTGGATATTTGGACCTCTTAGATGCCTTCGTTGGAAACGGGATTTCTTCATATAATGCTAGAGGGAAGAATTCTTAGTAACTTCTTTGTGTTGTGTGTATTCAACTGACAGAGTTGAACCTTCCTTTAGACAGAGCAGATTTGAAAGTCTCTTTTTGTGGAATTTGCAAGTGGAGATTTCAAGCGCTTTGAGGCCAAAAGCAGAAAAGGAAATATTTTCCTATAAAAACTAGACAGAATCATTCTCAGAAACTGCTCTGTGATGTGTGTGTTCAACTCACAGAGTTTAACTTTCTTTTCATTCAGCAGTTTGGAAACACTCTGTTTGGAAAGTCTGCACGTGGATATTTTGACCTCTTTGAGGCCTTCGTTGGAAACGGGTTTTTTCATGTAAGGCTAGACAGAAGAAATCTCAGTAACTTCCTTGTGTTGTGTGTATTCAACTGACAGAGTTGAACCTTCCTTTAGACAGAGCAGATTCGAAACACTCTTTTTCTGCAATTTCCAAGTGGAGACTTCAAGCGCTTTGAGGCCAAAGGCAGAAAAGGAAATATCTTCGTATAAAAACCCGACAGAATCATTCTCAGAAACTGCTCTGTGATGTGTGCGTTCAACTCACAGAGTTTAACTTTTCTTTTCATTCAGCAGTTTGGAAACACTCTGTTTGTAAAGTCTGCAAGTGGATATCTTGGCCTCTTAGATGCCTTCGTTGGAAACGGTTTTTTTCATGTAAGGTTAGACAGAGGAATTCCCAGTAACTTCCTTGTGTTGTGTGCATTCAACTCACAGAGTTGAATGATTCTTTACACAGAGCAGATTTGAGACACTCTTTTGGTGGAATTTGTAAGTGGAGAATTCAGCCGCTTTGAGGTCAACGGTAGAAAAGCAAATATCTTCGTATAAAAACTAGACAGAATGATTCTCAGAAACTGTTTTGTGATGTGTGCGTTCAACTCACAGAGTTTAACCTTTCTTTTCAAAGAGCAGTTAGGAAACACTCTGTTTGTAAAGTCTGCAAGCGGATATTCAGACCTCTTTGAGGCCTTCGTTGGAAACGGGATTTCTTCATATTATGCTAGACAGATGAATTCTCAGTAACTTCCTTGTGTTGTGTGTATTCAACTCACAGAGTTGAACGATCCTTTACACAGAGCAGATTTGAAACACTGTTTTTCTGGAATTTGCAAGTGGAGATTTCAGCCGCTTTGAGGTCAATGGTAGAAAAGGAAATATCTTCGTATAAAAACTAGACAGAATGATTCTCAGAAACTCCTTTGTGATGTGTGCGTTCAACTCACAGAGTTTAACCTTTCTTTTCACAGAGCAGTTAGGAAACACTCTGTTTGTGAAGCCTGCCAGTGGATATTCGGACCTCTTTGAGGCCTTCGTTGGAAACGGGATTTCTTCATATTATGCTAGACAGAAGATTTCTCAGTAACTTCTTTGTGTTGTGTGTATGCAACTCACAGAGTTCAACCTTCCTTTAGACAGAGCAGATTTGAAACACTCTTTTTGTGGAATTTGCAAGTGGAAATTTCAAGCGCATCGATGCCAATGGTAGAAAAGGAAATATCTTCGTATACAAACAAGACAAACTCGTTCCCAGACACTGCGTAGTGATGTGTGTGTTTAACTCACAGAGTTTAACCTTTCTTTTCATACAGCATTCTGGAAACCCTCTGTTTGTAAAGTCTGCAAGTGGATATTTGGACCTCTTAGATGCCTTCGTTGGAAACGGGATTTCTTCATATAATGCTAGAGGGAAGAATTCTTAGTAACTTCTTTGTGTTGTGTGTATTCAACTGACAGAGTTGAACCTTCCTTTAGACAGAGCAGATTTGAAAGTCTCTTTTTGTGGAATTTGCAAGTGGAGATTTCAAGCGCTTTGAGGCCAAAAGCAGAAAAGGAAATATTTTCCTATAAAAACCCGACAGAATCATTCTCAGAAACTGCTCTGTGATGTGTGCGTTCAACTCACAGAGTTTAACTTTTCTTTTCATTCAGCAGTTTGGAAACACTGTTTGGAAAGTCTGCACGTGGATATTTTGACCTCTTTGAGGCCTTCGTTGGAAACGGGTTTTTTTCATGTAAGGCTAGACAGAAGAAATCTCAGTAACTTCCTTGTGTTGTGTGTATTCAACTGACAGAGTTGAACCTTCCTTTAGACAGAGCAGATTTGAAACACTCTTTTTCTGCAATTTGCAAGTGGAGACTTCAAGCGCTTTGAGGCCAAAGGCAGAAAAGGAAATATCTTCGTATAAAAACCCGACAGAATCATTCTCAGAAACTGCTCTGTGATGTGTGCGTTCAACTCACAGAGTTTAACTTTTCTTTTCATTCAGCAGTTTGGAAACACTCTGTTTGTAAAGTCTGCAAGTGGATATCTTGGCCTCTTAGAGGCCTTCGTTGGAAACGGGTTTTTTCATGTAAGGTTAGACAGAGGAATTCCCAGTAACTTCTTTGTGTTGTGTGCATTCAACTCACAGAGTTGAATGATTCTTTACACAGAGCAGATTTGAGACACTCTTTTGGTGGAATTTGTAAGTGGAGAATTCAGCCGCTTTGAGGTCAACGGTAGAAAAGGAAATATCTTCGTATAAAAACTAGACAGAATGATTCTCAGAAACTGTTTTGTGATGTGTGCTTTCAACTCACAGAGTTTAACCTTTCTTTTCAAAGAGCAGTTAGGAAACACTCTGTTTGTAAAGTCTGCAAGTGGATATTCAGACCTCTTTGAGGCCTTCGTTGGAAACGGGATTTCTTCATATTATGCTAGACAGAAGATTTCTCAGTAACTTCTTTGTGTTGTGTGTATGCAACTCACAGAGTTCAACCTTCCTTTAGGCAGAGCAGATTTGAAACACTCTTTTTGTGGAATTTGCAAGTGGAGATTTCAAGCGCTTCGATGCCAATGGTAGAAAAGGAAATATCTTCGTATAAAAACAAGACAAACTCGTTCCCAGACACTGCGTAGTGATGTGTGTGTTTAACTCACAGAGTTTCACCTTTCTTTTCATACAGCATTCTGGAAACCCTGTGTTTGTAAAGTCTGCAAGTGGATATTTGGACCTCTTAGATGCCTTCGTTGGAAACGGGATTTCTTCATATAATGCTAGAGGGAAGAATTCTTAGTAACTTCTTTGTGTTGTGTGTATTCAACTGACAGAGTTGAACCTTCCTTTA
Organism: Homo sapiens; assembly: GCF_000001405.40. Lineage (NCBI taxonomy): Eukaryota > Metazoa > Chordata > Mammalia > Primates > Hominidae > Homo > Homo sapiens. The sequence continues at coordinate 37,514,022 of NC_000016.10, forward strand.
GACAGAGCAGATTTGAAAGTCTCTTTTTGTGGAATTTGCAAGTGGAGATTTCAAGCGCTTTGAGGCCAAAAGCAGAAAAGGAAATATTTTCCTATAAAAACTAGACAGAATCTTTCTCAGAAACTGCTCTGGGATGTGTGCGTTCAACTCACAGAGTTTAACTTTTCTTTTCATTCAGCAGTTTGGAAACACTCTGTTTGGAAAGTCTGCACGTGGATATTTTGACCTCTTTGAGGCCTTCGTTGGAAACGGGTTTTTTTCATGTAAGGCTAGACAGAAGAAATCTCAGTAACTTCCTTGTGTTGTGTGTATTCAACTGACAGAGTTGAACCTTCCTTTAGACAGAGCAGATTCGAAACACTCTTTTTCTGCAATTTGCAAGTGGAGACTTCAAGCGCTTTGAGGCCAAAGGCAGAAAAGGAAATATCTTCGTATAAAAACCCGACAGAATCATTCTCAGAAACTGCTCTGTGATGTGTGCGTTCAACTCACAGAGTTTAACTTTTCTTTTCATTCAGCAGTTTGGAAACACTCTGTTTGTAAAGTCTGCAAGTGGATATCTTGGCCTCTTAGAGGCCTTCGTTGGAAACGGGTTTTTTCATTTAAGGTTAGACAGAGGAATTCCCAGTAACTTCCTTGTGTTGTGTGCATTCAACTCACAGAGTTGAATGATTCTTTACACAGAGCAGATTTGAGACACTCTTTGGGTGGAATTTGTAAGTGGAGAATTCAGCCGCTTTGAGGTCAACGGTAGAAAAGGAAATATCTTCGTATAAAATCTAGGCAGAATGATTCTCAGAAACTGTTTTTTGATGTGTGCGTTCAACTCACAGAGTTTAACCTTTCTTTTCAAAGAGCAGTTAGGAAACACTCTGTTTGTAAAGTCTGCAAGTGGATATTCAGACCTCTTTGAGGCCTTCGTTGGAAACGGGATTTCTTCATATTATGCTAGACAGATGAATTCTCAGTAACTTCCTTGTGTTGTGTGTATTCAACTCACAGAGTTGAACGATCCTTTACACAGAGCAGATTTGAAACACTGTTTTTCTGGAATTTGCAAGTGGAGATTTCAGCCGCTTTGAGGTCAATGGTAGAAAAGCAAATATCTTCGTATAAAAACTAGACAGAATGATTCTCAGAAACTCCTTTGTGATGTGTGCGTTCAACTCACAGAGTTTAACCTTTCTTTTCACAGAGCAGTTAGGAAACACTCTGTTTGTGAAGCCTGCCAGTGGATATTCGGACCTCTTTGAGGCCTTCGTTGGAAACGGGATTTCTTCATATTATGCTAGACAGAAGATTTCTCAGTAACTTCTTTGTGTTGTGTGTATGCAACTCACAAGAGTTCAACCTTCCTTTAGACAGAGCAGATTTGAAACACTCTTTTTGTGGAATTTGCAAGTGGAGATTTCAAGCGCTTCGATGCCAATGGTAGAAAAGGAAATATCTTCGTATAAAAACAAGACAAACTCGTTCCCAGACACTGCGTAGTGATGTGTGTGTTTAACTCACAGAGTTTCACCTTTCTTTTCATACAGCATTCTGGAAACCCTCTGTTTGTAAAGTCTGCAAGTGGATATTTGGACCTCTTAGATGCCTTCGTTGGAAACGGGATTTCTTCATATAATGCTAGAGGGAAGAATTCTTAGTAACTTCTTTGTGTTGTGTGTATTCAACTGACAGAGTTGAACCTTCCTTTAGACAGAGCAGATTTGAAAGTCTCTTTTTGTGGAATTTGCAAGTGGAGATTTCAAGCGCTTTGAGGCCAAAAGCAGAAAAGGAAATATTTTCCTATAAAAACTAGACAGAATCTTTCTCAGAAACTGCTCTGTGATGTGTGCGTTCAACTCACAGAGTTTAACTTTTCTTTTCATTCAGCAGTTTGGAAACACTCTGTTTGGAAAGTCTGCACGTGGATATTTTGACCTCTTTGAGGCCTACGTTGGAAACGGGTTTTTCTCTTGTAAGGCTAGACAGAAGAAATCTCAGTAACTTCCTTGTGTTGTGTGTATTCAACTGACAGAGTTGAACCTTCCTTTAGACAGAGCAGATTCGAAACACTCTTTTTCTGCAATTTGCAAGTGGAGACTTCAAGCGCTTTGAGGCCAAAGGCAGAAAAGGAAATATCTTCGTATAAAAACCCGACAGAATCATTCTCAGAAACTGCTCTGTGATGTGTGCGTTCAACTCACAGAGTTTAACTTTTCTTTTCATTCAGCAGTTTGGAAACACTCTGTTTGTAAAGTCTGCAAGTGGATATCTTGGCCTCTTAGAGGCCTTCGTTGGAAACGGGTTTTTTCATGTAAGGATAGACAGAGGAATTCCCAGTAACTTCCTTGTGTTGTGTGCATTCAACTCACAGAGTTGAATGATTCTTTACACAGAGCAGATTTGAGACACTCTTTTGGTGGAATTTGTAAGTGGAGAATTCAGCCGCTTTGAGGTCAACGGTAGAAAAGGAAATATCTTCGTATAAAAACTAGACAGAATGATTCTCAGAAACTGTTTTGTGATGTGTGCGTTCAACTCACAGAGTTTAACCTTTCTTTTCAAAGAGCAGTTAGGAAACACTCTGTTTGTAAAGTCTGCAAGTGGATATTCAGACCTCTTTGAGGCCTTCGTTGGAAACGGGATTTCTTCATATTATGCTAGACAGATGAATTCTCAGTAACTTCCTTGTGTTGTGTGTATTCAACTCACAGAGTTGAACGATCCTTTACACAGAGCAGATTTGAAACACTGTTTTTCTGGAATTTGCAAGTGGAGATGTCAGCCGCTTTGAGGTCAATGGTAGAAAAGGAAATATCTTCGTATAAAAACTAGACAGAATGATTCTCAGAAACTCCTTTGTGATGTGTGCGTTCAACTCACAGAGTTTAACCTTTCTTTTCACAGAGCAGTTAGGAAACACTCTGTTTGTGAAGCCTGCCAGTGGATATTCGGACCTCTTTGAGGCCTTCGTTGGAAACGGGATTTCTTCATATTATGCTAGACAGAAGATTTCTCAGTAACTTCTTTGGGTTGTGTGTATGCAACTCACAGAGTTCAACCTTCCTTTAGACAGAGCAGATTTGAAACACTCTTTTTGTGGAATTTGCAAGTGGAGATTTCAAGCGCTTCGATGCCAATGGTAGAAAAGGAAATATCTTCGTATAAAAACAAGACAAACTCGTTCCCAGACACTGCGTAGTGATGTGTGTGTTTAACTCACAGAGTTTAACCTTTCTTTTCATACAGCATTCTGGAAACCCTCTGTTTGTAAAGTCTGCAAGTGGATATTTGGACCTCTTAGATGCCTTCGTTGGAAACGGGATTTCTTCATATAATGCTAGAGGGAAGAATTCTTAGTAACTTCTTTGTGTTGTGTGTATTCAACTGACAGAGTTGAACCTTCCTTTAGACAGAGCAGATTTGAAAGTCTCTTTTTGTGGAATTTGCAAGTGGAGATTTCAAGCGCTTTGAGGCCAAAAGCAGAAAAGGAAATATTTTCCTATAAAAACTCGACAGAATCTTTCTCAGAAACTGCTCTGGGATGTGTGCGTTCAACTCACAGAGTTTAACTTTTCTTTTCATTCAGCAGTTTGGAAACACTCTGTTTGGAAAGTCTGCACGTGGATATTTTGACCTCTTTGAGGCCTTCGTTGGAAACGGGTTTTTTTCATGTAAGGCTAGACAGAAGAAATCTCAGTAACTTCCTTGTGTTGTGTGTATTCAACTGACAGAGTTGAACCTTCCTTTAGACAGAGCAGATTCGAAACACTCTTTTTCTGCAATTTGCAAGTGGAGACTTCAAGCGCTTTGAGGCCAAAGGCAGAAAAGGAAATATCTTCGTATAAAAACCCGACAGAATCATTCTCAGAAACTGCTCTGTGATGTGTGCGTTCAACTCACAGAGTTTAACTTTTCTTTTCATTCAGCAGTTTGGAAACACTCTGTTTGTAAAGTCTGCAAGTGGATATCTTGGCCTCTTAGAGGCCTTCGTTGGAAGCGGGTTTTTTCATGTAAGGATAGACAGAGGAATTCCCAGTAACTTCCTTGTGTTGTGTGCATTCAACTCACAGAGTTGAATGATTCTTTACACAGAGCAGATTTGAGACACTCTTTTGGTGGAATTTGTAAGTGGAGAATTCAGCCGCTTTGAGGTCAACGGTAGAAAAGGAAATATCTTCGTATAAAAACTAGACAGAATGATTCTCAGAAACTGTTTTGTGATGTGTGCGTTCAACTCACAGAGTTTAACCTTTCTTTTCAAAGAGCAGTTAGGAAACACTCTGTTTGTAAAGTCTGCAAGTGGATATTCAGACCTCTTTGAGGCCTTCGTTTGAAACGGGATTTCTTCATATTATGCTAGACAGATGAATTCTCAGTAACTTCCCTTGTGTTGTGTGTATTCAACTCACAGAGTTGAACGATCCTTTACACAGAGCAGATTTGAAACACTGTTTTTCTGGAATTTGCAAGTGGAGATTTCAGCCGCTTTGAGGTCAATGGTAGAAAAGGAAATATCTTCGTATAAAAACTAGACAGAATGATTCTCAGAAACTCCTTTGTGATGTGTGCGTTCAACTCACAGAGTTTAACCTTTCTTTTCACAGAGCAGTTAGGAAACACTCTGTTTGTGAAGCCTGCCAGTGGATATTCGGACCTCTTTGAGGCCTTCGTTGGAAACGGGATTTCTTCATATTATGCTAGACAGAAGATTTCTCAGTAACTTCTTTGTGTTGTGTGTATGCAACTCACAGAGTTCAACCTTCCTTTAGACAGAGCAGATTTGAAACACTCTTTTTGTGGAATTTGCAAGTGGAGATTTCAAGCGCTTCGATGCCAATGGTAGAAAAGGAAATATCTTCGTATAAAAACAAGACAAACTCGTTCCCAGACACTGCGTAGTGATGTGTGTGTTTAACTCACAGAGTTTCACCTTTCTTTTCATACAGCATTCTGGAAACCCTCTGTTTGTAAAGTCTGCAAGTGGATATTTGGACCTCTTAGATGCCCTCGTTGGAAACGGGATTTCTTCATATAATGCTAGAGGGAAGAATTCTTAGTAACTTCTTTGTGTTGTGTGTATTCAACTGACAGAGTTGAACCTTCCTTTAGACAGAGCAGATTTGAAAGTCTCTTTTTGTGGAATTTGCAAGTGGAGATTTCAAGCGCTTTGAGGCCAAAAGCAGAAAAGGAAATATTTTCCTATAAAAACTAGACAGAATCATTCTCAGAAACTGCTCTGTGATGTGTGTGTTCAACTCACAGAGTTTAACTTTCTTTTCATTCAGCAGTTTGGAAACACTCTGTTTGGAAAGTCTGCACGTGGATATTTTGACCTCTTTGAGGCCTTCGTTGGAAACGGGTTTTTTTCATGTAAGGCTAGACAGAAGAAATCTCAGTAACTTCCTTGTGTTGTGTGTATTCAACTGACAGAGTTGAACCTTCCTTTAGACAGAGCAGATTCGAAACACTCTTTTTCTGCAATTTGCAAGTGGAGACTTCAAGCGCTTTGAGGCCAAAGGCAGAAAAGGAAATATCTTCGTATAAAAACCCGACAGAATCATTCTCAGAAACTGCTCTGTGATGTGTGCGTTCAACTCACAGAGTTTAACTTTTCTTTTCATTCAGCAGTTTGGAAACACTCTGTTTGTAAAGTCTGCAAGTGGATATCTTGGCCTCTTAGAGGCCTTCGTTGGAAACGGGTTTTTTCATGTAAGGTTAGACAGAGGAATTCCCAGTAACTTCCTTGTGTTGTGTGCATTCAACTCACAGAGTTGAATGATTCTTTACACAGAGCAGATTTGAGACACTCTTTTGGTGGAATTTGTAAGTGGAGAATTCAGCCGCTTTGAGGTCAACGGTAGAAAAGGAAATATCTTCGTATAAAAACTAGACAGAATGATTCTCAGAAACTGTTTTGTGATGTGTGCGTTCAACTCACAGAGTTTAACCTTTCTTTTCAAAGAGCAGTTAGGAAACACTCTGTTTGTAAAGTCTGCAAGTGGATATTCAGACCTCTTTGAGGCCTTCGTTGGAAACGGGATTTCTTCATATTATGCTAGACAGATGAATTCTCAGTAACTTCCTTGTGTTGTGTGTATTCAACTCACAGAGTTGAACGATCCTTTACACAGAGCAGATTTGAAACACTGTTTTTCTGGAATTTGCAAGTGGAGATTTCAGCCGCTTTGAGGTCAATGGTAGAAAAGGAAATATCTTCGTATAAAAACTAGACAGAATGATTCTCAGAAACTCCTTTGTGATGTGTGCGTTGAACTCACAGAGTTTAACCTTTCTTTTCACAGAGCAGTTAGGAAACACTCTGTTTGTGAAGCCTGCCAGTGGATATTCGGACCTCTTTGAGGCCTTCGTTGGAAACGGGATTTCTTCATATTATGCTAGACAGAAGATTTCTCAGTAACTTCTTTGTGTTGTGTGTATGCAACTCACAGAGTTCAACCTTCCTTTAGACAGAGCAGATTTGAAACACTCTTTTTGTGGAATTTGCAAGTGGAGATTTCAAGCGCTTCGATGCCAATGGTAGAAAAGGAAATATCTTCGTATAAAAACAAGACAAACTCGTTCCCAGACACTGCGTAGTGATGTGTGTGTTTAACTCACAGAGTTTAACCTTTCTTTTCATACAGCATTCTGGAAACCCTGTGTTTGTAAAGTCTGCAAGTGGATATTTGGACCTCTTAGATGCCTTCGTTGGAAACGGGATTTCTTCATATAATGCTAGAGGGAAGAATTCTTAGTAACTTCTTTGTGTTGTGTGTATTCAACTGACAGAGTTGAACCTTCCTTTAGACAGAGCAGATTTGAAAGTCTCTTTTTGTGGAATTTGCAAGTGGAGATTTCAAGCGCTTTGAGGCCAAAAGCAGAAAAGGAAATATTTTCCTATAAAAACTAGACAGAATCTTTCTCAGAAACTGCTCTGGGATGTGTGCGTTCAACTCACAGAGTTTAACTTTTCTTTTCATTCAGCAGTTTGGAAACACTCTGTTTGGAAAGTCTGCACGTGGATATTTTGACCTCTTTGAGGCCTTCGTTGGAAACGGGTTTTTTTCATGTAAGGCTAGACAGAAGAAATCTCAGTAACTTCCTTGTGTTGTGTGTATTCAACTGACAGAGTTGAACCTTCCTTTAGACAGAGCAGATTCGAAACACTCTTTTTCTGCAATTTGCAAGTGGAGACTTCAAGCGCTTTGAGGCCAAAGGCAGAAAAGGAAATATCTTCGTATAAAAACCCGACAGAATCTTTCTCAGAAACTGCTCTGTGATGTGTGCGTTCAACTCACAGAGTTTAACTTTTCTTTTCATTCAGCAGTTTGGAAACACTCTGTTTGTAAAGTCTGCAAGTGGATATCTTGGCCTCTTAGAGGCCTTCGTTGGAAACGGGTTTTTTCATGTAAGGATAGACAGAGGAATTCCCAGTAACTTCCTTGTGTTGTGTGCATTCAACTCACAGAGTTGAATGATTCTTTACACAGAGCAGATTTGAGACACTCTTTGGGTGGAATTTGTAAGTGGAGAATTCAGCCGCTTTGAGGTCAACGGTAGAAAAGGAAATATCTTCGTATAAAAACTAGACAGAATGATTCTCAGAAACTGTTTTGTGATGTGTGCGTTCAACTCACAGAGTTTAACCTTTCTTTTCAAAGAGCAGTTAGGAAACACTCTGTAAAGTCTGCAAGTGGATATTCAGACCTCTTTGAGGCCTTCGTTGGAAACGGGATTTCTTCATATAATGCTAGAGGGATGAATTCTCAGTAACTTCCTTGTGTTGTGTGTATTCAACTCACAGAGTTGAACGATCCTTTACACAGAGCAGATTTGAAACACTGTTTTTCTGGAATTTGCAAGTGGAGATTTCAGCCGCTTTGAGGTCAATGGTAGAAAAGGAAATATCTTCGTATAAAAACTAGACAGAATGATTCTCAGAAACTCCTTTGTGATGTGTGCGTTCAACTCACAGAGTTTAACCTTTCTTTTCACAGAGCAGTTAGGAAACACTCTGTTTGTGAAGCCTGCCAGTGGATATTCGGACCTCTTTGAGGCCTTCGTTGGAAACGTGATTTCTTCATATTATGCTAGACAGAAGATTTCTCAGTAACTTCTTTGTGTTGTGTGTATGCAACTCACAGAGTTCAACCTTCCTTTAGACAGAGCAGATTTGAAACACTCTTTTTGTGGAATTTGCAAGTGGAGATTTCAAGCGCTTCGATGCCAATGGTAGAAAAGGAAATATCTTCGTATAAAAACAAGACAAACTCGTTCCCAGACACTGCGTAGTGATGTGTGTGTTTAACTCACAGAGTTTAACCTTTCTTTTCATACAGCATTCTGGAAACCCTCTGTTTGTAAAGTCTGCAAGTGGATATTTGGACCTCTTAGATGCCTTCGTTGGAAACGGGATTTCTTCATATAATGCTAGAGGGAAGAATTCTTAGTAACTTCTTTGTGTTGTGTGTATTCAACTGACAGAGTTGAACCTTCCTTTAGACAGAGCAGATTTGAAAGTCTCTTTTTGTGGAATTTGCAAGTGGAGATTTCAAGCGCTTTGAGGCGAAAAGCAGAAAAGGAAATATTTTCCTATAAAAGCTAGACAGAATCTTTCTCAGAAACTGCTCTGGGATGTGTGCGTTCAACTCACAGAGTTTAACTTTTCTTTTCATTCAGCAGTTTGGAAACACTCTGTTTGGAAAGTCTGCACGTGGATATTTTGACCTCTTTGAGGCCTTCGTTGGAAACGGGTTTTTTTCATGTAAGGCTAGACAGAAGAAATCTCAGTAACTTCCTTGTGTTGTGTGTATTCAACTGACAGAGTTGAACCTTCCTTTAGACAGAGCAGATTCGAAACACTCTTTTTCTGCAATTTGCAAGTGGAGACTTCAAGCGCTTTGAGGCCAAAGGCAGAAAAGGAAATATCTTCGTATAAAAACCCGACAGAATCATTCTCAGAAACTGCTCTGTGATGTGTGCATTCAACTCACAGAGTTTAACTTTTCTTTTCATTCAGCAGTTTGGAAACACTCTGTTTGTAAAGTCTGCAAGTGGATATCTTGGCCTCTTAGAGGCCTTCGTTGGAAACGGGTTTTTTCATGTAAGGATAGACAGAGGAATTCCCAGTAACTTCCTTGTGTTGTGTGCATTCAACTCACAGAGTTGAACGATTCTTTACACAGAGCAGATTTGAGACACTCTTTTGGTGGAATTTGTAAGTGGAGAATTCAGCCGCTTTGAGGTCAACGGTAGAAAAGGAAATATCTTCGTATAAAAACTAGACAGAATGATTCTCAGAAACTGTTTTGTGATGTGTGCGTTCAACTCACAGAGTTTAACTTTTCTTTTCAGAGAGCAGTTAGGAAACACTCTGTAAAGTCTGCAAGTGGATATTCAGACCTCTTTGAGGCCTTCGTTGGAAACGGGATTTCTTCATATTATGCTAGACAGATGAATTCTCAGTAACTTCCTTGTGTTGTGTGTATTCAACTCACAGAGTTGAACGATCCTTTACACAGAGCAGATTTGAAACACTGTTTTTCTGGAATTTGCAAGTGGAGATTTCAGCCGCTTTGTGGTCAATGGTAGAAAAGGAAATATCTTCGTATAAAAACTAGACAGAATGATTCTCAGAAACTCCTTTGTGATGTGTGCGTTCAACTCACAGAGTTTAACCTTTCTTTTCACAGAGCAGTTAGGAAACACTCTGTTTGTGAAGCCTGCCAGTGGATATTCGGACCTCTTTCAGGCCTTCGTTGGAAACGGGATTTCTTCATATTATGCTAGACAGAAGATTTCTCAGTAACTTCTTTGTGTTGTGTGTATGCAACTCACAGAGTTGAACCTTCCTTTAGACAGAGCAGATTTGAAACACTCTTTTTGTGGAATTTGCAAGTGGAGATTTCAAGCGCTTCGATGCCAATGGTAGAAAAGGAAATATCTTCGTATAAAAACAAGACAAACTCGTTCCCAGACACTGCGTAGTGATGTGTGTGTTTAACTCACAGAGTTTAACCTTTCTTTTCATACAGCATTCTGGAAACCCTCTGTTTGTAAAGTCTGCAAGTGGATATTTGGACCTCTTAGATGCCTTCGTTGGAAACGGGATTTCTTCATATAATGCTAGAGGGAAGAATTCTTAGTAACTTCTTTGTGTTGTGTGTATTCAACTGACAGAGTTGAACCTTCTTTTAGACAGAGCAGATTTGAAAGTCTCTTTTTGTGGAATTTGCAAGTGGAGATTTCAAGCGCTTTGAGGCCAAAAGCAGAAAAGGAAATATTTTCCTATAAAAACTCGACAGAATCTTTCTCAGAAACTGCTCTGGGATGTGTGTGTTCAACTCACAGAGTTTAACTTTTCTTTTCATTCAGCAGTTTGGAAACACTCTGTTTGGAAAGTCTGCACGTGGATATTTTGACCTCTTTGAGGCCTTCGTTGGAAACGGGTTTTTTTCATGTAAGGCTAGACAGAAGAAATCTCAGTAACTTCCTTGTGTTGTGTGTATTCAACTGACAGAGTTGAACCTTCCTTTAGACAGAGCAGATTCGAAACACTCTTTTTCTGCAATTTGCAAGTGGAGACTTCAAGCGCTTTGAGGCCAAAGGCAGAAAAGGAAATATCTTCGTATAAAAACCCGACAGAATCATTCTCAGAAACTGCTCTGTGATGTGTGCGTTCAACTCACAGAGTTTAACTTTTCTTTTCATTCAGCAGTTTGGAAACACTCTGTTTGTAAAGTCTGCAAGTGGATATCTTGGCCTCTTAGAGGCCTTCGTTGGAAACGGGTTTTATCATGTAAGGTTAGACAGAGGAATTCCCAGTAACTTCCTTGTGTTGTGTGCATTCAACTCACAGAGTTGAATGATTCTTTACACAGAGCAGATTTGAGACACTCTTTTGGTGGAATTTGTAAGTGGAGAATTCAGCCGCTTTGAGGTCAACGGTAGAAAAGGAAATATCTTCGTATAAAAACTAGACAGAATGATTCTCAGAAAGTGTTTTGTGATGTGTGCGTTCAACTCACAGAGTTTAACCTTTCTTTTCAAAGAGCAGTTAGGAAACACTCTGTTTGTAAAGTCTGCAAGTGGATATTCAGACCTCTTTGAGGCCTTCGTTGGAAACGGGATTTCTTCATATTATGCTAGACAGATGAATTCTCAGTAACTTCCTTGTGTTGTGTGTATTCAACTCACAGAGTTAAACGATCCTTTACACAGAGCAGATTTGAAACACTGTTTTTGTGGAATTTGCAAGTGGAGATTTCAGCCGCTTTGAGGTCAATGGTAGAAAAGGAAATATCTTCGTATAAAAACTAGACAGAATGATTCTCAGAAACTCCTTTGTGATGTGTGCGTTCAACTCACAGAGTTTAACCTTTCTTTTCACAGAGCAGTTAGGAAACACTCTGTTTGTGAAGCCTGCCAGTGGATATTCGGACCTTTTTGAGGCCTTCGTTGGAAACGGGATTTCTTCATATTATGCTAGACAGAAGATTTCTCAGTAACTTCTTTGTGTTGTGTGTATGCAACTCACAGAGTTCAACCTTCCTTTAGACAGAGCAGATTTGAAACACTCTTTTTGTGGAATTTGCAAGTGGAGATTTCAAGCGCTTCGATGCCAATGGTAGAAAAGGAAATATCTTCGTATAAAAACAAGACAAACTCGTTCCCAGACACTGCGTAGTGATATGTGTGTTTAACTCACAGAGTTTAACCTTTCTTTTCATACAGCATTCTGGAAACCCTGTGTTTGTAAAGTCTGCAAGTGGATATTTGGACCTCTTAGATGCCTTCGTTGGAAACGGGATTTCTTCATATAATGCTAGAGGGAAGAATTCTTAGTAACTTCTTTGTGTTGTGTGTATTCAACTGACAGAGTTGAACCTTCCTTTAGACAGAGCAGATTTGAAAGTCTCTTTTTGTGGAATTTGCAAGTGGAGATTTCAAGCGCTTTGAGGCCAAAAGCAGAAAAGGAAATATTTTCCTATAAAAACTCGACAGAATCTTTCTCAGAAACTGCTCTGGGATGTGTGCGTTCAACTCACAGAGTTTAACTTTTCTTTTCATTCAGCAGTTTGGAAACACTCTGTTTGGAAAGTCTGCACGTGGATATTTTGACCTCTTTGAGGCCTTCGTTGGAAACGGGTTTTTTTCATGTAAGGCTAGACAGAAGAAATCTCAGTAACTTCCTTGTGTTGTGTGTATTCAACTGACAGAGTTGAACCTTCCTTTAGACAGAGCAGATTCGAAACACTCTTTTTCTGCAATTTGCAAGTGGAGACTTCAAGCGCTTTGAGGCCAAAGGCAGAAAAGGAAATATCTTCGTATAAAAACCCGACAGAATCATTCTCAGAAACTGCTCTGTGATGTGTGCGTTCAACTCACAGAGTTTAACTTTTCTTTTCATTCAGCAGTTTGGAAACACTCTGTTTGTAAAGTCTGCAAGTGGATATCTTGGCCTCTTAGAGGCCTTCGTTGGAAACGGGTTTTTTCATTTAAGGTTAGACAGAGGAATTCCCAGTAACTTCCTTGTGTTGTGTGCATTCAACTCACACAGTTGAATGATTCTTTACACAGAGCAGATTTGAGACACTGTTGGTGGAATTTGTAAGTGGAGAATTCAGCCGCTTTGAGGTCAATGGTAGAAAAGGAAATATCTTCGTATAAAAACTAGACAGAATGATTCTCAGAAACTGTTTTGTGATGTGTGCGTTCAACTCACAGAGTTTAACCTTTCTTTTCAAAGAGCAGTTAGGAAACACTCTGTTTGTAAAGTCTGCAAGCGGATATTCAGACCTCTTTGAGGCCTTCGTTGGAAACGGGATTTCTTCATATTATGCTAGACAGATGAATTCTCAGTAACTTCCTTGTGTTGTGTGTATTCAACTCACAGAGTTGAACGATCCTTTACACAGAGCAGATTTGAAACACTGTTTTTCTGGAATTTGCAAGTGGAGATTTCAGCCGCTTTGAGGTCAATGGTAGAAAAGGAAATATCTTCGTATAAAAACTAGACAGAATGATTCTCAGAAACTCCTTTGTGATGTGTGCGTTCAACTCACAGAGTTTAACCTTTCTTTTCACAGAGCAGTTAGGAAACACTCTGTTTGTGAAGCCTGCCAGTGGATATTCGGACCTCTTTGAGGCCTTCGTTGGAAACGGGATTTCTTCATATTATGCTAGACAGAAGATTTCTCAGTAACTTCTTTGTGTTGTGTGTATGCAACTCACAGAGTTCAACCTTCCTTTAGACAGAGCAGATTTGAAACACTCTTTTTGTGGAATTTGCAAGTGGAGATTTCAAGCGCTTCGATGCCAATGGTAGAAAAGGAAATATCTTCGTAGAAAAACAAGACAAACTCGTTCCCAGACACTGCGTAGTGATGTGTGTGTTTAACTCACAGAGTTTAACCTTTCTTTTCATACAGCATTCTGGAAACCCTCTGTTTGTAAAGTCTGCAAGTGGATATTTGGACCTCTTAGATGCCTTCGTTGGAAACGGGATTTCTTCATATAATGCTAGAGGGAAGAATTCTTAGTAACTTCTTTGTGTTGTGTGTATTCAACTGACAGAGTTGAACCTTCCTTTAGACAGAGCAGATTTGAAAGTCTCTTTTTGTGGAATTTGCAAGTGGAGATTTCAAGCGCTTTGAGGCCAAAAGCAGAAAAGGAAATATTTTCCTATAAAAACTAGACAGAATCTTTCTCAGAAACTGCTCTGGGATGTGTGCGTTCAACTCACAGAGTTTAACTTTTCTTTTCATTCAGCAGTTTGGAAACACTCTGTTTGGAAAGTCTGCACGTGGATATTTTGACCTCTTTGAGGCCTTCGTTGGAAACGGGTTTTTTTCATGTAAGGCTAGACAGAAGAAATCTCAGTAACTTCCTTGTGTTGTGTGTATTCAACTGACAGAGTTGAACCTTCTTTTAGACAGAGCAGATTCGAAACACTCTTTTTCTGCAATTTGCAAGTGGAGACTTCAAGCGCTTTGAGGCCAAAGGCAGAAAAGGAAATATCTTCGTATAAAAACCCGACAGAATCATTCTCAGAAACTGCTCTGTGATGTGTGCGTTCAACTCACAGAGTTTAACTTTTCTTTTCATTCAGCAGTTTGGAAACACTCTGTTTGTAAAGTCTGCAAGTGGATATCTTGGACTCTTAGAGGCCTTCGTTGGAAACGGGTTTTTTCATGTAAGGTTAGACAGAGGAATTCCCAGTAACTTCCTTGTGTTGTGTGCATTCAACTCACAGAGTTGAATGATTCTTTACACAGAGCAGATTTGAGACACTCTTTTGGTGGAATTTGTTAGTGGAGAATTCAGCCGCTTTGAGGTCAACGGTAGAAAAGGAAATATCTTCGTATAAAAACTAGACAGAATGATTCTCAGAAACTGTTCTGTGATGTGTGCGTTCAACTCACAGAGTTTAACCTTTCTTTTCAAAGAGCAGTTAGGAAACACTCTGTTTGTAAAGTTTGCAAGTGGATATTCAGACCTCTTTGAGGCCTTCGTTGGAAACGGGATTTCTTCATATTATGCTAGACAGATGAATTCTCAGTAACTTCCTTGTGTTGTGTGTATTCAACTCACAGAGTTGAACGATCCTTTACACAGAGCAGATTTGAAACACTGTTATTCTGGAATTTGCAAGTGGAGATTTCAGCCGCTTTGAGGTCAATGGTAGAAAAAGAAATATCTTCGTATAAAAACTAGACAGAATGATTCTCAGAAACTCCTTTGTGATGTGTGCGTTCAACTCACAGTAGTTTAACCTTTCTTTTCACAGAGCAGTTAGGAAACACTCTGTTTGTGAAGCCTGCCAGTGGATATTCGGACCTCTTTGAGGCCTTCGTTGGAAACGGGATTTCTTCATATTATGCTAGACAGAAGATTTCTCAGTAACTTCTTTGTGTTGTGTGTATGCAACTCACAGAGTTCAACCTTCCTTTAGACAGAGCAGATTTGAAACACTCTTTTTGTGGAATTTGCAAGTGGAGATTTCAAGCGCTTCGATGCCAATGGTAGAAAAGGAAATATCTTCGTATAAAAACAAGACAAACTCGTTCCCAGACACTGCGTAGTGATGTGTGTGTTTAACTCACAGAGTTTAACCTTTCTTTTCATACAGCATTCTGGAAACCCTGTGTTTGTAAAGTCTGCAAGTGGATATTTGGACCTCTTAGATGCCTTCGTTGGAAACGGGATTTCTTCATATAATGCTAGAGGGAAGAATTCTTAGTAACTTCTTTGTGTTGTGTGTATTCAACTGACAGAGTTGAACCTTCCTTTAGACAGAGCAGATTTGAAAGTCTCTTTTTGTGGAATTTGCAAGTGGAGATTTCAAGCGCTTTGAGGCCAAAAGCAGAAAAGGAAATATTTTCCTATAAAAACTAGACAGAATCTTTCTCAGAAACTGCTCTGGGATGTGTGCGTTCAACTCACAGAGTTTAACTTTTCTTTTCATTCAGCAGTTTGGAAACACTCTGTTTGGAAAGTCTGCACGTGGATATTTTGACCTCTTTGAGGCCTTCGTTGGAAACGGGTTTTTTTCATGTAAGGCTAGACAGAAGAAATCTCAGTAACTTCCTTGTGTTGTGTGTATTCAACTGACAGTGTTGAACCTTCCTTTAGACAGAGCAGATTCGAAACACTCTTTTTCTGCAATTTGCAAGTGGAGACTTCAAGCGCTTTGAGGCCAAAGGCAGAAAAGGAAATATCTTCGTATAAAAACCCGACAGAATCATTCTCAGAAACTGCTCTGTGATGTGTGCGTTCAACTCACAGAGTTTAACTTTTCTTTTCATTCAGCAGTTTGGAAACACTCTGTTTGTAAAGTCTGCAAGTGGATATCTTGGCCTCTTAGAGGCCTTCGTTGGAAACGGGTTTTTTCATGTAAGGTTAGACAGAGGAATTCCCAGTAACTTCCTTGTGTTGTGTGCATTCAACTCACAGAGTTGAATGATTCTTTACACAGAGCAGATTTGAGACACTCTTTTGGTGGAATTTGTAAGTGGAGAATTCAGCTGCTTTGAGGTCAACGGTAGAAAAGGAAATATCTTCGTATAAAAACTAGACAGAATGATTCTCAGAAACTGTTTTGTGATGTGTGCGTTCAACTCACAGAGTTTAACCTTTCTTTTCAAAGAGCAGTTAGGAAACACTCTGTTTGTAAAGTCTGCAAGTGGATATTCAGACCTCTTTGAGGCCTTCGTTGGAAACGGGATTTCTTCATATTATGCTAGACAGATGAATTCTCAGTAACTTCCTTGTGTTGTGTGTATTCAACTCACAGAGTTGAACGATCCTTTACACAGAGCAGATTTGAAACACTGTTTTTCTGGAATTTGCAAGTGGAGATTTCAGCCGCTTTGAGGTCAATGGTAGAAAAGGAAATATCTTCGTATAAAAACTAGACAGAATGATTCTCAGAAACTCCTTTGTGATGTGTGCGTTCAACTCACAGAGTTTAACCTTTCTTTTCACAGAGCAGTTAGGAAACACTCTGTTTGTGAAGCCTGCCAGTGGATATTCGGACCTCTTTGAGGCCTTCGTTGGAAACGGGATTTCTTCATATTATGCTAGACAGAAGATTTCTCAGTAACTTCTTTGTGTTGTGTGTATGCAACTCACAGAGTTCAACCTTCCTTTAGACAGAGCAGATTTGAAACACTCTTTTTGTGGAATTTGCAAGTGGAGATTTCAAGCGCTTCGATGCCAATGGTAGAAAAGGAAATATCTTCGTAGAAAAACAAGACAAACTCGTTCCCAGACACTGCGTAGTGATGTGTGTGTTTAACTCACAGAGTTTAACCTTTCTTTTCATACAGCATTCTGGAAACCCTGTGTTTGTAAAGTCTGCAAGTGGATATTTGGACCTCTTAGATGCCTTCGTTGGAAACGGGATTTCTTCATATAATGCTAGAGGGAAGAATTCTTAGTAACTTCTTTGTGTTGTGTGTATTCAACTGACAGAGTTGAACCTTCCTTTAGACAGAGCAGATTTGAAAGTCTCTTTTTGTGGAATTTGCAAGTGGAGATTTCAAGCGCTTTGAGGCCAAAAGCAGAAAAGGAAATATTTTCCTATAAAAACTAGACAGAATCTTTCTCAGAAACTGCTCTGGGATGTGTGCGTTCAACTCACAGAGTTTAACTTTTCTTTTCATTCAGCAGTTTGGAAACACTCTGTTTGGAAAGTCTGCACGTGGATATTTTGACCTCTTTGAGGCCTTCGTTGGAAACGGGTTTTTTTCATGTAAGGCTAGACAGAAGAAATCTCAGTAACTTCCTTGTGTTGTGTGTATTCAACTGACAGAGTTGAACCTTCCTTTAGACAGAGCAGATTCGAAACACTCTTTTTCTGCAATTTGCAAGTGGAGACTTCAAGCGCTTTGAGGCCAAAGGCAGAAAAGGAAATATCTTCGTATAAAAACCCGACAGAATCATTCTCAGAAACTGCTCTGTGATGTGTGCGTTCAACTCACAGAGTTTAACTTTTCTTTTCATTCAGCAGTTTGGAAACACTCTGTTTGTAAAGTCTGCAAGTGGATATCTCGGCCTCTTAGAGGCCTTCGTTGGAAGCGGGTTTTTTCATGTAAGGATAGACAGAGGAATTCCCAGTAACTTCCTTGTGTTGTGTGCATTCAACTCACAGAGTTGAATGATTCTTTACACAGAGCACATTTGAGACACTCTTTTGGTGGAATTTGTAAGTGGAGAATTCAGCCGCTTTGAGGTCAACGGTAGAAAAGGAAATATCTTCGTATAAAAACTAGACAGAATGATTCTCAGAAACTGTTTTGTGATGTGTGCGTTCAACTCACAGAGTTTAACCTTTCTTTTCAAAGAGCAGTTAGGAAACACTCTGTTTGTAAAGTCTGCAAGAGGATATTCAGACCTCTTTGAGGCCTTCGTTGGAAACGGGATTTCTTCATATTATGCTAGACAGATGAATTCTCAGTAACTTCCTTGTGTTGTGTGTATTCAACTCACAGAGTTGAACGATCCTTTACACAGAGCAGATTTGAAACACTGTTTTTCTGGAATTTGCAAGTGGAGATTTCAGCCGCTTTGAGGTCAATGGTAGAAAAGGAAATATCTTCGTATAAAAACTAGACAGAATGATT
This sequence comes from Homo sapiens, assembly GCF_000001405.40. Lineage (NCBI taxonomy): Eukaryota > Metazoa > Chordata > Mammalia > Primates > Hominidae > Homo > Homo sapiens. The sequence goes on from NC_000016.10 coordinate 37,532,138, forward strand.
CTCAGAAACTCCTTTGTGATGTGTGCGTTCAACTCACAGAGTTTAACCTTTCTTTTTACAGAGCAGTTAGGAAACACTCTGTTTGTGAAGCCTGCCAGTGGATATTCGGACCTCTTTGAGGCCTTCGTTGGAAACGGGATTTCTTCATATTATGCTATTCAGAAGATTTCTCAGTAACTTCTTTGTGTTGTGTGTATGCAACTCACAGAGTTCAACCTTCCTTTAGACAGAGCAGATTTGAAACACTCTTTTTGTGGAATTTGCAAGTGGAGATTTCAAGCGCTTCGATGCCAATGGTAGAAAAGGAAATATCTTCGTATAAAAACAAGACAAACTCGTTCCCAGACACTGCGTAGTGATGTGTGTGTTTAACTCACAGAGTTTCACCTTTCTTTTCATACAGCATTCTGGAAACCCTGTGTTTGTAAAGTCTGCAAGTGGATATTTGGACCTCTTAGATGCCTTCGTTGGAAACGGGATTTCTTCATATAATGCTAGAGGGAAGAATTCTTAGTAACTTCTTTGTGTTGTGTGTATTCAACTGACAGAGTTGAACCTTCCTTTAGACAGAGCAGATTTGAAAGTCTCTTTTTGTGGAATTTGCAAGTGGAGATTTCAAGCGCTTTGAGGCCGAAAGCAGAAAAGGAAATATTTTCCTATAAAAACTCGACAGAATCTTTCTCAGAAACTGCTCTGGGATGTGTGCGTTCAACTCACAGAGTTTAACTTTTCTTTTCATTCAGCAGTTTGGAAACACTCTGTTTGGAAAGTCTGCACGTGGATATTTTGACCTCTTTGAGGCCTTCTTTGGAAACGGGTTTTTTTCATGTAAGGCTAGACAGAAGAAATCTCAGTAACTTCCTTGTGTTGTGTGTATTCAACTGACAGAGTTGAACCTTCCTTTAGACAGAGCAGATTCGAAACACTCTTTTTCTGCAATTTGCAAGTGGAGACTTCAAGCGCTTTGAGGCCAAAGGCAGAAAAGGAAATATCTTCGTATAAAAACCCGACAGAATCATTCTCAGAAACTGCTCTGTGATGTGTGCGTTCAACTCACAGAGTTTAACTTTTCTTTTCATTCAGCAGTTTGGAAACACTCTGTTTGTAAAGTCTGCAAGTGGATATCTTGGCCTCTTAGAGGCCTTCGTTGGAAACGGGTTTTTTCATGTAAGGTTAGACAGAGGAATTCCCAGTAACTTCCTTGTGTTGTGTGCATTCAACTCACAGAGTTGAATGATTCTTTACACAGAGCAGTTTTGAGACACTCTTTTGGTGGAATTTGTAAGTGGAGAATTCAGCCGCTTTGATGTCAACGGTAGAAAAGGAAATATCTTCGTATAAAAACTAGACAGAATGATTCTCAGAAACTGTTTTGTGATGTGTGCGTTCAACTCACAGAGTTTAACCTTTCTTTTCAAAGAGCAGTTAGGAAACACTCTGTTTGTAAAGTCTGCAAGTGGATATTCAGACCTCTTTGAGGCCTTCGTTGGAAACGGGATTTCTTCATATTATGCTAGACAGATGAATTCTCAGTAACTTCCTTGTGTTGTGTGTATTCAACTCACAGAGTTGAACGATCCTTTACACAGAGCAGATTTGAAACACTGTTTTTCTGGAATATGCAAGTGGAGATTTCAGCCGCTTTGAGGTCAATGGTAGAAAAGGAAATATCTTCGTATAAAAACTAGACAGAATGATTCTCAGAAACTCCTTTGTGATGTGTGCGTTCAACTCACAGAGTTTAACCTTTCTTTTCACAGAGCAGTTAGGAAACACTCTGTTTGTGAAGCCTGCCAGTGGATATTCGGACCTCTTTGAGGCCTTCGTTGGAAACGGGATTTCTTCATATTATGCTAGACAGAAGATTTCTCAGTAACTTCTTTGTGTTGTGTGTATGCAACTCACAGAGTTCAACCTTCCTTTAGACAGAGCAGATTTGAAACACTCTTTTTGTGGAATTTGCAAGTGGAGATTTCAAGCGCTTCGATGCCAATGGTAGAAAAGGAAATATCTTCGTATAAAAACAAGACAAACTCATTCCCAGACACTGCGTAGTGATGTGTGTGTTTAACTCACAGAGTTTAACCTTTCTTTTCATACAGCATTCTGGAAACCCTCTGTTTGTAAAGTCTGCAAGTGGATATTTGGACCTCTTAGATGCCTTCGTTGGAAACGGGATTTCTTCATATAATGCTAGAGGGAAGAATTCTTAGTAACTTCTTTGTGTTGTGTGTATTCAACTGACAGAGTTGAACCTTCCTTTAGACAGAGCAGATTTGAAAGTCTCTTTTTGTGGAATTTGCAAGTGGAGATTTCAAGCGCTTTGAGGCCAAAAGCAGAAAAGGAAATATTTTCCTATAAAAACTCGACAGAATCTTTCTCAGAAACTGCTCTGGGATGTGTGCGTTCAACTCACAGAGTTTAACTTTTCTTTTCATTCAGCAGTTTGGAAACACTCTGTTTGGAAAGTCTGCACGTGGATATTTTGACCTCTTTGAGGCCTTCGTTGGAAACGGGTTTTTTTCATGTAAGGCTAGACAGAAGAAATCTCAGTAACTTCCTTGTGTTGTGTGTATTCAACTGACAGAGTTGAACCTTCCTTTAGACAGAGCAGATTCGAAACACTCTTTTTCTGCAATTTGCAAGTGGACACTTCAAGCGCTTTGAGGCCAAAGGCAGAAAAGGAAATATCTTCGTATAAAAACCCGACAGAATCATTCTCAGAAACTGCTCTGTGATGTGTGCGTTCAACTCACAGAGTTTAACTTTTCTATTCATTCAGCAGTTTGGAAACACTCTGTTTGTAAAGTCTGCAAGTGGATATCTTGGCCTCTTAGAGGCCTTCGTTGGAAACGGGTTTTTTCATGTAAGGTTAGACAGAGGAATTCCCAGTAACTTCCTTGTGTTGTGTGCATTCAACTCACAGAGTTGAATGATTCTTTACACAGAGCAGATTTGAGACACTCTTTTGGTGGAATTTGTAAGTGGAGAATTCAGCCGCTTTGAGGTCAACGGTAGAAAAGGAAATATCTTCGTATAAAAACTAGACAGAATGATTCTCAGAAACTCCTTTGTGATGTGTGCGTTCAACTCACAGAGTTTAACCTTTCTTTTCACAGAGCAGTTAGGAAACACTCTGTTTGTGAAGCCTGCCAGTGGATATTCGGACCTCTTTGAGGCCTTCGTTGGAAACGGGATTTCTTCATATTATGCTAGACAGAAGATTTCTCAGTAACTTCTTTGTGTTGTGTGTATGCAACTCACAGAGTTCAACCTTCCTTTAGAGAGAGCATATTTGAAACACTCTTTTTGTGGAATTTGCAAGTGGAGATTTCAAGCGCTTCAATGCCAATGGTAGAAAAGGAAATATCTTCGTATAAAAACAAGACAAACTCGTTCCCAGACACTGCGTAGTGATGTGTGTGTTTAACTCACAGAGTTTAACCTTTCTTTTCATACAGCATTCTGGAAACCCTGTGTTTGTAAAGTCTGCAAGTGGATATTTGGACCTCTTAGATGCCTTCGTTGGAAACGGGATTTCTTCATATAATGCTAGAGGGAAGAATTCTTAGTAACTTCTTTGTGTTGTGTGTATTCAACTGACAGAGTTGAACCTTCCTTTAGACAGAGCAGATTTGAAAGTCTCTTTTTGTGGAATTTGCAAGTGGAGATTTCAAGCGCTTTGAGGCCAAAAGCAGAAAAGGAAATATTTTCCTATAAAAACTAGACAGAATCTTTCTCAGAAACTGCTCTGGGATGTGTGCGTTCAACTCACAGAGTTTAACTTTTCTTTTCATTCAGCAGTTTGGAAACACTCTGTTTGGAAAGTCTGCACGTGGATATTTTGACCTCTTTGAGGCCTTCGTTGGAAACGGGTTTTTTTCATGTAAGGCTAGACAGAAGAAATCTCAGTAACTTCCTTGTGTTGTGTGTATTCAACTGACAGAGTTGAACCTTCTTTTAGACAGAGCAGATTCGAAACACTCTTTTTCTGCAATTTGCAAGTGGAGACTTCAAGCGCTTTGAGGCCAAAGGCAGAAAAGGAAATATCTTCGTATAAAAACCCGACAGAATCATTCTCAGAAACTGCTCTGTGATGTGTGCGTTCAACTCACAGAGTTTAACTTTTCTTTTCATTCAGCAGTTTGGAAACACTCTGTTTGTAAAGTCTGCAAGTGGATATCTTGGCCTCTTAGAGGCCTTCGTTGGAAACGGGTTTTTTCATGTAAGGTTAGACAGAGGAATTCCCAGTAACTTCCTTGTGTTGTGTGCATTCAACTCACAGAGTTGAATGATTCTTTACACAGAGCAGATTTGAGACACACTTTTGGTGGAATTTGTAAGTGGAGAATTCAGCCGCTTTGAGGTCAACGGTAGAAAAGGAAATATCTTCGTATAAAAACTAGACAGAATGATTCTCAGAAACTGTTTTGTGATGTGTGCGTTCAACTCACAGAGTTTAACCTTTCTTTTCAAAGAGCAGTTAGGAAACACTCTGTTTGTAAAGTCTGCAAGTGGATATTCAGACCTCTTTGAGGCCTTCGTTGGAAACGGGATTTCTTCATATTATGCTAGACAGATGAATTCTCAGTAACTTCCTTGTGTTGTGTGTATTCAACTCACAGAGTTAAACGATCCTTTACACAGAGCAGATTTGAAACACTGTTTTTCTGGAATTTGCAAGTGGAGATTTCAGCCGCTTTGAGGTCAATGGTAGAAAAGGAAATATCTTCGTATAAGAACTAGACAGAATGATTCTCAGAAACTCCTTTGTGATGTGTGCGTTCAACTCACAGAGTTTAACCTTTCTTTTCACAGAGCAGTTAGGAAACACTCTGTTTGTGAAGCCTGCCAGTGGATATTCAGACCTCTTTGAGGCCTTCGTTGGAAACGGGATTTCTTCATATTATGCTAGACAGAAGATTTCTCAGTAACTTCTTTGTGTTGTGTGTATGCAACTCACAGAGTTCAACCTTCCTTTAGACAGAGCAGATTTGAAACACTCTTTTTGTGGAATTTGCAAGTGGAGATTTCAAGCGCTTCGATGCCAATGGTAGAAAAGGAAATATCTTCGTATAAAAACAAGACAAACTCGTTCCCAGACACTGCGTAGTGATGTGTGTGTTTAACTCACAGAGTTTCACCTTTCTTTTCATACAGCATTCTGGAAACCCTGTGTTTGTAAAGTCTGCAAGTGGATATTTGGACCTCTTAGATGCCTTCGTTGGAAACGGGATTTCTTCATATAATGCTAGAGGGAAGAATTCTTAGTAACTTCTTTGTGTTGTGTGTATTCAACTGACAGAGTTGAACCTTCCTTTAGACAGAGCAGATTTGAAAGTCTCTTTTTGTGGAATTTGCAAGTGGAGATTTCAAGCGCTTTGAGGCCAAAAGCAGAAAAGGAAATATTTTCCTATAAAAACTAGACAGAATCATTCTCAGAAACTGCTCTGTGATGTGTGTGTTCAACTCACAGAGTTTAACTTTCTTTTCATTCAGCAGTTTGGAAACACTCTGTTTGGAAAGTCTGCACGTGGATATTTTGACCTCTTTGAGGCCTTCGTTGGAAACGGGTTTTTTTCATGTAAGGCTAGACAGAAGAAATCTCAGTAACTTCCTTGTGTTGTGTGTATTCAACTGACAGAGTTGAACCTTCCTTTAGACAGAGCAGATTCGAAACACTCTTTTTCTGCAATTTGCAAGTGGAGACTTCAAGCGCTTTGAGGCCAAAGGCAGAAAAGGAAATATCTTCGTATAAAAACCCGACAGAATCATTCTCAGAAACTGCTCTGTGATATGTGCGTTCAACTCACAGAGTTTAACTTTTCTTTTCATTCAGCAGTTTGGAAACACTCTGTTTGTAAAGTCTGCAAGTGGATATCTTGGCCTCTTAGAGGCCTTCGTTGGAAACGGGTTTTTTCATGTAAGGTTAGACAGAGGAATTCCCAGTAACTTCCTTGTGTTGTGTGCATTCAACTCACAGAGTTGAATGATGCTTTACACAGAGCAGATTTGAGACACTCTTTTGGTGGAATTTGTTAGTGGAGAATTCAGCCGCTTTGAGGTCAACGGTAGAAAAGGAAATATCTTCGTATAAAAACTAGACAGAATGATTCTCAGAAACTGTTTTGTGATGTGTGCGTTCAACTCACAGAGTTTAACCTTTCTTTTCAAAGAGCAGTTAGGAAACACTCTGTTTGTAAAGTCTGCAAGTGGATATTCAGACCTCTTTGAGGCCTTCGTTGGAAACGGGATTTCTTCATATTATGCTAGACAGATGAATTCTCAGTAACTTCCTTGTGTTGTGTGTATTCAACTCACAGAGTTGAACGATCCTTTACACAGAGCAGATTTGAAACACTGTTTTTCAGGAATTTGCAAGTGGAGATTTCAGCCGCTTTGAGGTCAATGGTAGAAAAGGAAATATCTTCGTATAAAAACTAGACAGAATGATTCTCAGAAACTCCTTTGTGATGTGTGCGTTCAACTCACAGAGTTTAACCTTTCTTTTCACAGAGCAGTTAGGAAACACTCTGTTTGTGAAGCCTGCCAGTGGATATTCGGACCTCTTTGAGGCCTTCGTTGGAAACGGGATTTCTTCATATTATGCTAGACAGAAGATTTCTCAGTAACTTCTTTGTGTTGTGTGTATGCACCTCACAGAGTTCAACCTTCCTTTAGACAGAGCAGATTTGAAACACTCTTTTTGTGGAATTTGCAAGTGGAGATTTCAAGCGCTTCGATGCCAATGGTAGAAAAGGAAATATCTTCGTATAAAAACAAGACAAACTCGTTCCCAGACACTGCGTAGTGATGTGTGTGTTTAACTCACAGAGTTTCACCTTTCTTTTCATACAGCATTCTGGGAACCCTCTGTTTGTAAAGTCTGCAAGTGGATATTTGGACCTCTTAGATGCCTTCGTTGGAAACGGGATTTCTTCATATAATGCTAGAGGGAAGAATTCTTAGTAACTTCTTTGTGTTGTGTGTATTCAACTGACAGAGTTGAACCTTCCTTTAGACAGAGCAGATTTGAAAGTCTCTTTTTGTGGAATTTGCAAGTGGAGATTTCAAGCGCTTTGAGGCCAAAAGCAGAAAAGGAAATATTTTCCTATAAAAACTCGACAGAATCTTTCTCAGAAACTGCTCTGGGATGTGTGCGTTCAACTCACAGAGTTTAACTTTTCTTTTCATTCAGCAGTTTGGAAACACTCTGTTTGGAAAGTCTGCACGTGGATATTTTGACCTCTTTGAGGCCTTCGTTGGAAACGGGTTTTTTTCATGTAAGGCTAGACAGAAGAAATCTCAGTAACTTCCTTGTGTTGTGTGTATTCAACTGACAGAGTTGAACCTTCCTTTAGACAGAGCAGATTCGAAACACTCTTTTTCTGCAATTTGCAAGTGGAGACTTCAAGCGCTTTGAGGCCAAAGGCAGAAAAGGAAATATCTTCGTATAAAAACCCGACAGAATCATTCTCAGAAACTGCTCTGTGATGTGTGCGTTCAACTCACAGAGTTTAACTTTTCTTTTCATTCAGCAGTTTGGAAACACTCTGTTTGTAAAGTCTGCAAGTGGATATCTTGGCCTCTTAGAGGCCTTCGTTGGAAACGGGTTTTTTCATGTAAGGATAGACAGAGGAATTCCCAGTAACTTCCTTGTGTTGTGTGCATTCAACTCACAGAGTTGAATGATTCTTTACACAGAGCAGATTTGAGACACTCTTTGGGTGGAATTTGTAAGTGGAGAATTCAGCCGCTTTGAGGTCAACGGTAGAAAAGGAAATATCTTCGTATAAAATCTAGACAGAATGATTCTCAGAAACTGTTTTTTGATGTGTGCGTTCAACTCACAGAGTTTAACCTTTCTTTTCAAAGAGCAGTTAGGAAACACTCTGTTTGTAAAGTCTGCAAGTGGATATTCAGACCTCTTTGAGGCCTTCGTTGGAAACGGGATTTCTTCATATTATGCTAGACAGATGAATTCTCAGTAACTTCCCTTGTGTTGTGTGTATTCAACTCACAGAGTTGAACGATCCTTTACACAGAGCAGATTTGAAACACTGTTTTTCTGGAATTTGCAAGTGGAGATTTCAGCCGCTTTGAGGTCAATGGTAGAAAAGGAAATATCTTCGTATAAAAACTAGACAGAATGATTCTCAGAAACTCCTTTGTGATGTGTGCGTTCAACTCACAGAGTTTAACCTTTCTTTTCACAGAGCAGTTAGGAAACACTCTGTTTGTGAAGCCTGCCAGTGGATATTCGGACCTCTTTGAGGCCTTCGTTGGAAACGGGATTTCTTCATATTTTGCTAGACAGAAGATTTCTCAGTAACTTCTTTGTGTTGTGTGTATGCAACTCACAGAGTTCAACCTTCCTTTAGACAGAGCAGATTTGAAACACTCTTTTTGTGGAATTTGCAAGTGGAGATTTCAAGCGCTTCGATGCCAATGGTAGAAAAGGAAATATCTTCGTATAAAAACAAGACAAACTCGTTCCCAGACACTGCGTAGTGATGTGTGTGTTTAACTCACAGAGTTTAACCTTTCTTTTCATACAGCATTCTGGAAACCCTGTGTTTGTAAAGTCTGCAAGTGGATATTTGGACCTCTTAGATGCCTTCGTTGGAAACGGGATTTCTTCATATAATGCTAGAGGGAAGAATTCTTAGTAACTTCTTTGTGTTGTGTGTATTCAACTGACAGAGTTGAACCTTCCTTTAGACAGAGCAGATTTGAAAGTCTCTTTTTGTGGAATTTGCAAGTGGAGATTTCAAGCGCTTTGAGGCCAAAAGCAGAAAAGGAAATATTTTCCTATAAAAACTAGACAGAATCTTTCTCAGAAACTGCTCTGGGATGTGTGCGTTCAACTCACAGAGTTTAACTTTTCTTTTCATTCAGCAGTTTGGAAACACTCTGTTTGGAAAGTCTGCACGTGGATATTTTGACCTCTTTGAGGCCTTCGTTGGAAACGGGTTTTTTTCATGTAAGGCTAGACAGAAGAAATCTCAGTAACTTCCTTGTGTTGTGTGTATTCAACTGACAGAGTTGAACCTTCCTTTAGACAGAGCAGATTCGAAACACTCTTTTTCTGCAATTTGCAAGTGGAGACTTCAAGCGCTTTGAGGCCAAAGGCAGAAAAGGAAATATCTTCGTATAAAAACCCGACAGAATCATTCTCAGAAACTGCTCTGTGATGTGTGCGTTCAACTCACAGAGTTTAACTTTTCTTTTCATTCAGCAGTTTGGAAACACTCTGTTTGTAAAGTCTGCAAGTGGATATCTTGGCCTCTTAGAGGCCTTCGTTGGAAACGGGTTTTTTCATGTAAGGTTAGACAGAGGAATTCCCAGTAACTTCCTTGTGTTGTGTGCATTCAACTCACAGAGTTGAATGATTCTTTACACAGAGCACTTTTGAGACACTCTTTTGGTGGAATTTGTAAGTGGAGAATTCAGCCGCTTTGAGGTCAACGGTAGAAAAGGAAATATCTTCGTATAAAAACTAGACAGAATGATTCTCAGAAACTGTTTTGTGATGTGTGCGTTCAACTCACAGAGTTTAACCTTTCTTTTCAAAGAGCAGTTAGGAAACACTCTGTAAAATCTGCAAGTGGATATTCAGACCTCTTTGAGGCCTTCGTTGGAAACGGGATTTCTTCATATAATGCTAGAGGGAAGAATTCTTAGTAACTTCTTTGTGTTGTGTGTATTGAACTGACAGAGTTGAACCTTCCTTTAGACAGAGCAGATTTGAAAGTCTCTTTTTGTGGAATTTGCAAGTGGAGATTTCAAGCGCTTTGAGGCCAAAAGCAGAAAAGGAAATATTTTCTTATAAAAACTAGAGAGAATCATTCTCAGAAACTGCTCTGTGATGTGTGTGTTCAACTCACAGAGTTTAACTATCTTTTCATTCAGCAGTTTGGAAACACTCTGTTTGGAATGTCTGCACGTGGATATTTTGACCTCTTTGAGGCCTTCGTTGGAAACGGGTTTTTTTCATGTAAGGCTAGACAGAAGAAATCTCAGTAACTTCCTTGTGTTGTGTGTATTCAACTGACAGAGTTGAACCTTCCTTTAGACAGAGCAGATTCGAAACACTCTTTTTCTGCAATTTGCAAGTGGAGACTTCAAGCGCTTTGAGGCCAAAGGCAGAAAAGGAAATATCTTCGTATAAAAACCCGACAGAATCATTCTCAGAAACTGCTCTGTGATGTGTGCGTTCAACTCACAGAGTTTAACTTTTCTTTTCATTCAGCAGTTTGGAAACACTCTGTAAAGTCTGCAAGTGGATATCTTGGCCTCTTAGAGGCCTTCGTTGGAAACGGGTTTTATCATGTAAGGTTAGACAGAGGAATTCCCAGTAACTTCCTTGTGTTGTGTGCATTCAACTCACAGAGTTGAATGATTCTTTACACAGAGCAGATTTGAGACACTCTTTTGGTGGAATTTGTAAGTGGAGAATTCAGCCGCTTTGAGGTCAACGGTAGAAAAGGAAATATCTTCGTATAAAAACTAGACAGAATGATTCTCAGAAACTGTTTTGTGATGTGTGCGTTCAACTCACAGAGTTTAACCTTTCTTTTCAAAGAGCAGTTAGGAAACACTCTGTTTGTAAAGTCTGCAAGTGGATATTCAGACCTCTTTGAGGCCTTCGTTGGAAACGGGATTTCTTCATATTATGCTAGACAGATGAATTCTCAGTAACTTCCTTGTGTTGTGTGTATTCAACTCACAGAGTTGAACGATCCTTTACACAGAGCAGATTTGAAACACTGTTTTTCAGGAATTTGCAAGTGGAGATTTCAGCCGCTTTGAGGTCAATGGTAGAAAAGGAAATATCTTCGTATAAAAACTAGACAGAATGATTCTCAGAAACTCCTTTGTGATGTGTGCGTTCAACTCACAGAGTTTAACCTTTCTTTTCACAGAGCAGTTAGGAAACACTCTGTTTGTGAAGCCTGCCAGTGGATATTCGGACCTCTTTGAGGCCTTCGTTGGAAACGGGATTTCTTCATATTATGCTAGACAGAAGATTTCTCAGTAACTTCTTTGTGTTGTGTGTATGCAACTCACAGAGTTCAACCTTCCTTTAGACAGAGCAGATTTGAAACACTCTTTTTGTGGAATTTGCAAGTGGAGATTTCAAGCGCTTCGATGCCAATGGTAGAAAAGGAAATATCTTCGTATAAAAACAAGACAAACTCGTTCCCAGACACTGCGTAGTGATGTGTGTGTTTAACTCACAGAGTTTAACCTTTCTTTTCATACAGCATTCTGGAAACCCTGTGTTTGTAAAGTCTGCAAGTGGATATTTGGACCTCTTAGATGCCTTCGTTGGAAACGGGATTTCTTCATATAATGCTAGAGGGAAGAATTCTTAGTAACTTCTTTGTGTTGTGTGTATTCAACTGACAGAGTTGAACCTTCCTTTAGACAGAGCAGATTTGAAAGTCTCTTTTTGTGGAATTTGCAAGTGGAGATTTCAAGCGCTTTGAGGCCAAAAGCAGAAAAGGAAATATTTTCCTATAAAAACTAGACAGAATCTTTCTCAGAAACTGCTCTGGGATGTGTGCGTTCAACTCACAGAGTTTAACTTTTCTTTTCATTCAGCAGTTTGGAAACACTCTGTTTGGAAAGTCTGCACGTGGATATTTTGACCTCTTTGAGGCCTTCGTTGGAAACGGGTTTTTTTCATGTAAGGCTAGACAGAAGAAATCTCAGTAACTTCCTTGTGTTGTGTGTATTCAACTGACAGAGTTGAACCTTCCTTTAGACAGAGCAGATTCGAAACACTCTTTTTCTGCAATTTGCAAGTGGAGACTTCAAGCGCTTTGAGGCCAAAGGCAGAAAAGGAAATATCTTCGTATAAAAACCCGACAGAATCATTCTCAGAAACTGCTCTGTGATGTGTGCGTTCAACTCACAGAGTTTAACTTTTCTTTTCATTCAGCAGTTTGGAAACACTCTGTTTGTAAAGTCTGCAAGTGGATATCTTGGCCTCTTAGAGGCCTTCGTTGGAAACGGGTTTTTTCATGTAAGGATAGACACAGTAATTCCCAGTAACTTCCTTGTGTTGTGTGCATTCAACTCACAGAGTTGAATGATTCTTTACACAGAGCAGTTTTGAGACACTCTTTTGGTGGAATTTGTAAGTGGAGAATTCAGCCGCTTTGAGGTCAACGGTAGAAAAGGAAATATCTTCGTATAAAAACTAGACAGAATGATTCTCAGCAAACTGTTTTTTGATGTGTGCGTTCAACTCACAGAGTTTAACCTTTCTTTTCAGAGAGCAGTTAGGAAACACTCTGTTTGTAAAGTCTGCAAGTGGATATTCAGACCTCTTTGAGGCCTTCGTTGGAAACGGGATTTCTTCATATTATGCTAGACAGATGAATTCTCAGTAACTTCCTTGTGTTGTGTGTATTCAACTCACAGAGTTGAACGATCCTTTACACAGAGCAGATTTGAAACACTGTTTTTCTGGAATTTGCAAGTGGAGATTTCAGCCGCTTTGAGGTCAATGGTAGAAAAGGAAATATCTTCGTATAAAAACTAGACAGAATGATTCTCAGAAACTCCTTTGTGATGTGTGCGTTCAACTCACAGAGTTTAACCTTTCTTTTCACAGAGCAGTTAGGAAACACTCTGTTTGTGAAGCCTGCCAGTGGATATTCGGACCTCTTTGAGGCCTTCGTTGGAAACGGGATTTCTTCATATTATGCTAGACAGAAGATTTCTCAGTAACTTCTTTGGGTTGTGTGTATGCAACTCACAGAGTTCAACCTTCCTTTAGACAGAGCAGATTTGAAACACTCTTTTTGTGGAATTTGCAAGTGGAGATTTCAAACGCTTCGATGCCAATGGTAGAAAAGGAAATATCTTCGTATAAAAACAAGACAAACTCGTTCCCAGACACTGCGTAGTGATGTGTGTGTTTAACTCACAGAGTTTAACCTTTCTTTTCATACAGCATTCTGGAAACCCTCTGTTTGTAAAGTCTGCAAGTGGATATTTGGACCTCTTAGATGCCTTCGTTGGAAACGGGATTTCTTCATATAATGCTAGAGGGAAGAATTCTTAGTAACTTCTTTGTGTTGTGTGTATTCAACTGACAGAGTTGAACCTTCCTTTAGACAGAGCAGATTTGAAAGTCTCTTTTGGTGGAATTTGCAAGTGGAGATTTCAAGCGCTTTGAGGCCAAAAGCAGAAAAGGAAATATTTTCCTATAAAAACTTGACAGAATCTTTCTCAGAAACTGCTCTGGGATGTGTGCGTTCAACTCACAGAGTTTAACTTTTCTTTTCATTCAGCAGTTTGGAAACACTCTGTTTGGAAAGTCTGCACGTGGATATTTTGACCTCTTTGAGGCCTTCGTTGGAAACGGGTTTTTTTCATGTAAGGCTAGACAGAAGAAATCTCAGTAACTTCCTTGTGTTGTGTGTATTCAACTGACAGAGTTGAACCTTCCTTTAGACAGAGCAGATTCGAAACACTCTTTTTCTGCAATTTGCAAGTGGAGACTTCAAGCGCTTTGAGGCCAAAGGCAGAAAAGGAAATATCTTCGTATAAAAACCCGACAGAATCATTCTCAGAAACTGCTCTGTGATGTGTGCGTTCAACTCACAGAGTTTAACTTTTCTTTTCATTCAGCAGTTTGGAAACACTCTGTTTGTAAAGTCTGCAAGTGGATATCTTGGCCTCTTAGAGGCCTTTGTTGGAAACGGGTTTTTTCATGTAAGGTTAGACAGAGGAATTCCCAGTAACTTCCTTGTGTTGTGTGCATTCAACTCACAGAGTTGAATGATTCTTTACACAGAGCAGATTTGAGACACTCTTTTGGTGGAATTTGTAAGTGGAGAATTCAGCCGCTTTGAGGTCAACGGTAGAAAAGGAAATATCTTCGTATAAAAACTAGACAGAATGATTCTCAGAAACTGTTTTGTGATGTGTGCGTTCAACTCACAGAGTTTAACCTTTCTTTTCAAAGAGCAGTTAGGAAACACTCTGTTTGTAAAGTCTGCAAGTGGATATTCAGACCTCTTTGAGGCCTTCGTTGGAAACGGGATTTCTTCATATTATGCTAGACAGATGAATTCTCAGTAACTTCCTTGTGTTGTGTGTATTCAACTCACAGAGTTGAACGATCCTTTACACAGAGCAGATTTGAAACACTGTTTTTCTGGAATTTGCAAGTGGAGATTTCAGCCGCTTTGAGGTCAATGGTAGAAAAGGAAATATCTTCGTATAAAAACTAGACAGAATGATTCTCAGAAACTCCTTTGTGATGTGTGCGTTCAACTCACAGAGTTTAACCTTTCTTTTCACAGAGCAGTTAGGAAACACTCTGTTTGTGAAGCCTGCCAGTGGATATTCGGACCTCTTTGAGGCCTTCGTTGGAAACGGGATTTCTTCATATTATGCTAGACAGAAGATTTCTCAGTAACTTCTTTGTGTTGTGTGTATGCAACTCACAGAGTTCAACCTTCCTTTAGACAGAGCAGATTTGAAACACTCTTTTTGTGGAATTTGCAAGTGGAGATTTCAAGCGCTTCGATGCCAATGGTAGAAAAGGAAATATCTTCGTATAAAAACAAGACAAACTCGTTCCCAGACACTGCGTAGTGATGTGTGTGTTTAACTCACAGAGTTTCACCTTTCTTTTCATACAACATTCTGGAAACCCTGTGTTTGTAAAGTCTGCAAGTGGATATTTGGACCTCTTAGATGCCTTCGTTGGAAACGGGATTTCTTCATATAATGCTAGAGGGAAGAATTCTTAGTAACTTCTTTGTGTTGTGTGTATTCAACTGACAGAGTTGAACCTTCCTTTAGACAGAGCAGATTTGAAAGTCTTTTTTGTGGAATTTGCAAGTGGAGATTTCAAGCGCTTTGAGGCCAAAAGCAGAAAAGGAAATATTTTCCTATAAAAACTCGACAGAATCTTTCTCAGAAACTGCTCTGGGATGTGTGCGTTCAACTCACAGAGTTTAACTTTTCTTTTCATTCAGCAGTTTGGAAACACTCTGTTTGGAAAGTCTGCACGTGGATATTTTGACCTCTTTGAGGCCTTCGTTGGAAACGGGTTTTTTTCATGTAAGGCTAGACAGAAGAAATCTCAGTAACTTCCTTGTGTTGTGTGTATTCAACTGACAGAGTTGAACCTTCCTTTAGACAGAGCAGATTCGAAACACTCTTTTTCTGCAATTTGCAAGTGGAGACTTCAAGCGCTTTGAGGCCAAAGGCAGAAAAGGAAATATCTTCGTATAAAAACCCGACAGAATCATTCTCAGAAACTGCTCTGTGATGTGTGCGTTCAACTCACAGAGTTTAACTTTTCTTTTCATTCAGCAGTTTGGAAACACTCTGTTTGTAAAGTCTGCAAGTGGATATCTTGGCCTCTTAGAGGCCTTCGTTGGAAACGGGTTTTTTCATGTAAGGTTAGACAGAGGAATTCCCAGTAACTTCCTTGTGTTGTGTGCATTCAACTCACAGAGTTGAATGATTCTTTACACAGAGCAGTTTTGAGACACTCTTTTGGTGGAATTTGTAAGTGGAGAATTCAGCCGCTTTGAGGTCAACGGTAGAAAAGGAAATATCTTCGTATAAAAACTAGACAGAATGATTCTCAGAAACTGTTTTGTGATGTGTGCGTTCAACTCACAGAGTTTAACCTTTCTTTTCAAAGAGCAGTTAGGAAACACTCTGTTTGTAAAGTCTGCAAGTGGATATTCAGACCTCTTTGAGGCCTTCGTTGGAAACGGGATTTCTTCATATTATGCTAGACAGATGAATTCTCAGTAACTTCCTTGTGTTGTGTGTATTCAACTCACAGAGTTGAACGATCCTTTACACAGAGCAGATTTGAAACACTGTTTTTCTGGAATTTGCAAGTGGAGATTTCAGCCGCTTTGAGGTCAATGGTAGAAAAGGAAATATCTTCGTATAAAAACTAGACAGAATGATTCTCAGAAACTCCTTTGTGATGTGTGCGTTCAACTCACAGAGTTTAACCTTTCTTTTCACAGAGCAGTTAGGAAACACTCTGTTTGTGAAGCCTGCCAGTGGATATTCGGACCTCTTTGAGGCCTTCGTTGGAAACGGGATTTCTTCATATTATGCTAGACAGAAGATTTCTCAGTAACTTCTTTGTGTTGTGTGTATGCAACTCACAGAGTTCAACCTTCCTTTAGACAGAGCAGATTTGAAACACTCTTTTTGTGGAATTTGCAAGTGGAGATTTCAAGCGCTTCGATGCCAATGGTAGAAAAGGAAATATCTTCGTATAAAAACAAGACAAACTCGTTCCCAGACACTGCGTAGTGATGTGTGTGTTTAACTCACAGAGTTTCACCTTTCTTTTCATACAGCATTCTGGAAACCCTGTGTTTGAAAAGTCTGCAAGTGGATATTTGGACCTCTTAGATGCCTTCGTTGGAAACGGGATTTCTTCATATAATGCTAGAGGGACGAATTCTTAGTAACTTCTTTGTGTTGTGTGTATTCAACTGACAGAGTTGAACCTTCCTTTAGACAGAGCAGATTTGAAAGTCTCTTTTTGTGGAATTTGCAAGTGGAGATTTCAAGCGCTTTGAGGCCAAAAGCAGAAAAGGAAATATTTTCCTATAAAAACTCGACAGAATCTTTCTCAGAAACTGCTCTGGGATGTGTGCGTTCAACTCACAGAGTTTAACTTTTCATTCAGCAGTTTGGAAACACTCTGTTTGGAAAGTCTGCACGTGGATATTTTGACCTCTTTGAGGCCTTCGTTGGAAACGGGTTTTTTTCATGTAAGGCTAGACAGAAGAAATCTCAGTAACTTCCTTGTGTTGTGTGTATTCAACTGACAGAGTTGAACCTTCCTTTAGACAGAGCAGATTCGAAACACTCTTTTTCTGCAATTTGCAAGTGGAGACTTCAAGCGCTTTGAGGCCAAAGGCAGAAAAGGAAATATCTTCGTATAAAAACCCGACAGAATCATTCTCAGAAACTGCTCTGTGATGTGTGCGTTCAACTCACAGAGTTTAACTTTTCTTCTCATTCAGCAGTTTGGAAACACTCTGTTTGTAAAGTCTGCAAGTGGATATCTTGGCCTCTTAGAGGCCTTCGTTGGAAACGGGTTTTTTCATGTAAGGATAGACAGAGGAATTCCCAGTAACTTCCTTGTGTTGTGTGCATTCAACTCACAGAGTTGAATGATTCTTTACACAGAGCAGATTTGAGACACTCTTTGGGTGGAATTTGTAAGTGGAGAATTCAGCCGCTTTGAGGTCAACGGTAGAAAAGGAAATATCTTCGTATAAAATCTAGACAGAATGATTCTCAGAAACTGTTTTTTGATGTGTGCGTTCAACTCACAGAGTTTAACCTTTCTTTTCAGAGAGCAGTTAGGAAACACTCTGTTTGTAAAGTCTGCAAGTGGATATTCAGACCTCTTTGAGGCCTTCGTTGGAAACGGGATTTCTTCATATTATGCTAGACAGATGAATTCTCAGTAACTTCCTTGTGTTGTGTGTATTCAACTCACAGAGTTGAACGATCCTTTACACAGAGCAGATTTGAAACACTGTTTTTCTGGAATTTGCAAGTGGAGATGTCAGCCGCTTTGAGGTCAATGGTAGAAAAGGAAATATCTTCGTATAAAAACTAGACAGAATGATTCTCAGAAACTCCTTTGTGATGTGTGCGTTCAACTCACAGAGTTTAACCTTTCTTTTCACAGAGCAGTTAGGAAACACTCTGTTTGTGAAGCCTGCCAGTGGATATTCGGACCTCCTTTGAGGCCTTCGTTGGAAACGGGATTTCTTCATATTATGCTAGACAGAAGATTTCTCAGTAACTTCTTTGTGTTGTGTGTATGCAACTCACAGAGTTCAACCTTCCTTTAGACAGAGCAGATTTGAAACACTCTTTTTGTGGAATTTGCAAGTGGAGATTTCAAGCGCTTCGATGCCAATGGTAGAAAAGGAAATATCTTCGTATAAAAACAAGACAAACTCGTTCCCAGACACTGCGTAGTGATGTGTGTGTTTAACTCACAGAGTTTAACCTTTCTTTTCATACAGCATTCTGGAAACCCTCTGTTTGTAAAGTCTGCAAGTGGATATTTGGACCTCTTAGATGCCTTCGTTGGAAACGGGATTTCTTCATATAATGCTAGAGGGAAGAATTCTTAGTAACTTCTTTGTGTTGTGTGTATTCAACTGACAGAGTTGAACCTTCCTTTAGACAGAGCAGATTTGAAAGTCTCTTTTTGTGGAATTTGCAAGTGGAGATTTCAAGCGCTTTGAGGCCAAAAGCAGAAAAGGAAATATTTTCCTATAAAAACTAGACAGAATCTTTCTCAGAAACTGCTCTGGGATGTGTGCGTTCAACTCACAGAGTTTAACTTTTCTTTTCATTCAGCAGTTTGGAAACACTCTGTTTGGAAAGTCTGCACGTGGATATTTTGACCTCTTTGAGGCCTTCGTTGGAAACGGGTTTTTTTCATGTAAGGCTAGACAGAAGAAATCTCAGTAACTTCCTTGTGTTGTGTGTATTCAACTGACAGAGTTGAACCTTCCTTTAGACAGAGCAGATTCGAAACACTCTTTTTCTGCAATTTGCAAGTGGAGACTTCAAGCGCTTTGAGGCCAAAGGCAGAAAAGGATATATCTTCGTATAAAAACCCGACAGAATCATTCTCAGAAACTGCTCTGTGATGTGTGCGTTCAACTCACAGAGTTTAACTTTTCTTTTCATTCAGCAGTTTGGAAACACTCTGTTTGTAAAGTCTGCAAGTGGATATCTTGGCCTCTTAGAGGCCTTCGTTGGAAACGGGTTTTTTCCTGTAAGGTTAGACAGAGGAATTCCCACTAACTTCCTTGTGTTGTGTGCATTCAACTCACAGAGTTGAATGATTCTTTACACAGAGCAGATTTGAGACACTCTTTTGGTGGAATTTGTAAGTGGAGAATTCAGCCGCTTTGATGTCAACGGTAGAAAAGGAAATATCTTCGTATAAAAACTAGACAGAATGATTCTCAGAAACTGTTTTTTGATGTGTGCGTTCAACTCACAGAGTTTAACCTTTCTTTTCAGAGAGCAGTTAGGAAACACTCTGTTTGTAAAGTCTGCAAGTGGATATTCAGACCTCTTTGAGGCCTTCGTTGGAAACGGGATTTCTTCATATTATGCTAGACAGATGAATTCTCAGTAACTTCCTTGTGTTGTGTGTATTCAACTCACAGAGTTGAACGATCCTTTACACAGAGCAGATTTGAAACACTGTTTTTCTGGAATTTGCAAGTGGAGATTTCAGCCGCTTTGAGGTCAATGGTAGAAAAGGAAATATCTTCGTAGAAAAACTAGACAGAATGATTCTCAGAAACTCCTTTGTGATGTGTGCGTTCAACTCACAGAGTTTAACTTTTCTTTTCACAGAGCAGTTAGGAAACACTCTGTTTGTGAAGCCTGCCAGTGGATAATCGGACCTCTTTGAGGCCTTCGTTGGAAACGGGATTTCTTCATATTATGCTAGACAGAAGATTTCTCAGTAACTTCTTTGTGTTGTGTGTATGCAACTCACAGAGTTCAACCTTCCTTTAGACAGAGCAGATTTGAAACACTCTTTTTGTGGAATTTGCAAGTGGAGATTTCAAGCGCTTCGATGCCAATGGTAGAAAAGGAAATATCTTCGTAGAAAAACAAGACAAACTCGTTCCCAGACACTGCGTAGTGATGTGTGTGTTTAACTCACAGAGTTTCACCTTTCTTTTCATACAGCATTCTGGAAACCCTCTGTTTGTAAAGTCTGCAAGTGGATATTTGGACCTCTTAGATGCCTTCGTTGGAAACGGGATTTCTTCATATAATGCTAGAGGGAAGAATTCTTAGTAACTTCTTTGTGTTGTGTGTATTCAACTGACAGAGTTGAAGCTTCCTTTAGACAGAGCAGATTTGAAAGTCTCTTTTTGTGGAATTTGCAAGTGGAGATTTCAAGCGCTTTGAGGCCAAAAGCAGAAAAGGAAATATTTTCCTATAAAAACTAGACAGAATCATTCTCAGAAACTGCTCTGTGATGTGTGTGTTCAACTCACAGAGTTTAACTTTCTTTTCATTCAGCAGTTTGGAAACACTCTGTTTGGAAAGTCTGCACGTGGATATTTTGACCTCTTTGAGGCCTTCATTGGAAACGGGTTTTTTTCATGTAAGGCTAGACAGAAGAAATCTCAGTAACTTCCTTGTGTTGTGTGTATTCAACTGACAGAGTTGAACCTTCTTTTAGACAGAGCAGATTCGAAACACTCTTTTTCTGCAATTTGCAAGTGGAGACTTCAAGCGCTTTGAGGCCAAAGGCAGAAAAGGAAATATCTTCGTATAAAAACCCGACAGAATCATTCTCAGAAACTGCTCTGTGATGTGTGCGTTCAACTCACAGAGTTTAACTTTTCTTTTCATTCAGCAGTTTGGAAACACTCTGTTTGTAAAGTCTGCAAGTGGATATCTTGGCCTCTTAGAGGCCTTCGTTGGAAACGGG
Organism: Homo sapiens; assembly: GCF_000001405.40. Taxonomy (NCBI): domain Eukaryota; kingdom Metazoa; phylum Chordata; class Mammalia; order Primates; family Hominidae; genus Homo; species Homo sapiens. The sequence goes on from NC_000016.10 coordinate 37,552,650, forward strand.
TTTTTTCATGTAAGGTTAGACAGAGGAATTCCCAGTAACTTCCTTGTGTTGTGTGCATTCAACTCACAGAGTTGAATGATTCTTTAAACAGAGCAGATTTGAGACACTCTTTTGGTGGAATTTGTAAGTGGAGAATTCAGCCGCTTTGAGGTCAACGGTAGAAAAGGAAATATCTTTGTATAAAAACTAGACAGAATGATTCTCAGAAACTGTTTTGTGATGTGTGCGTTCAACTCACAGAGTTTAACCTTTCTTTTCAAAGAGCAGTTAGGAAACACTCTGTTTGTAAAGTCTGCAAGTGGATATTCAGACCTCTTTGAGGCCTTCGTTGGAAACGGGATTTCTTCATATTATGCTAGACAGATGAATTCTCAGTAACTTCCTTGTGTTGTGTGTATTCAACTCACAGAGTTGAACGATCCTTTACACAGAGCAGATTTGAAACACTGTTTTTCTGGAATTTGCAAGTGGAGATTTCAGCCGCTTTGAGGTCAATGGTAGAAAAGGAAATATCTTCGTATAAAAACTAGACAGAATGATTCTCAGAAACTCCTTTGTGATGTGTGCGTTCAACTCACAGAGTTTAACCTTTCTTTTCACAGAGCAGTTAGGAAACACTCTGTTTGTGAAGCCTGCCAGTGGATATTCGGACCTCTTTGAGGCCTTCGTTGGAAACGGGATTTCTTCATATTATGCTAGACAGAAGATTTCTCAGTAACTTCTTTGTGTTGTGTGTATGCAACTCACAGAGTTCAACCTTCCTTTAGACAGAGCAGATTTGAAACACTCTTTTTGTGGAATTTGCAAGTGGAGGTTTCAAGCACTTCGATGCCAATGGTAGAAAAGGAAATATCTTCGTATAAAAACAAGACAAACTCGTTCCCAGACACTGCGTAGTGATGTGTGTGTTTAACTCACAGAGTTTCACCTTTCTTTTCATACAGCATTCTGGAAACCCTGTGTTTGTAAAGTCTGCAAGTGGATATTTGGACCTCTTAGATGCCTTCGTTGGAAACGGGATTTCTTCATATAATGCTAGAGGGAAGAATTCTTAGTAACTTCTTTGTGTTGTGTGTATTCAACTGACAGAGTTGAACCTTCCTTTAGACAGAGCAGATTTGAAAGTCTCTTTTTGTGGAATTTGCAAGTGGAGATTTCAAGCGCTTTGAGGCCAAAAGCAGAAAAGGAAATATTTTCCTATAAAAACTTGACAGAATCTTTCTCAGAAACTGCTCTGGGATGTGTGCGTTCAACTCACAGAGTTTAACTTTTCTTTTCATTCAGCAGTTTGGAAACACTCTGTTTGGAAAGTCTGCACGTGGATATTTTGACCTCTTTGAGGCCTTCGTTGGAAACGGGTTTTTTTCATGTAAGGCTAGACAGAAGAAATCTCAGTAACTTCCTTGTGTTGTGTGTATTCAACTGACAGAGTTGAACCTTCCTTTAGACAGAGCAGATTCGAAACACTCTTTTTCTGCAATTTGCAAGTGGAGACTTCAAGCGCTTTGAGGCCAAAGGCAGAAAAGGAAATATCTTCGTATAAAAACCCGACAGAATCATTCTCAGAAACTGCTCTGTGATGTGTGCGTTCAACTCACAGAGTTTAACTTTTCTTTTCATTCAGCAGTTTGGAAACACTCTGTTTGTAAAGTCTGCAAGTGGATATCTTGGCCTCTTAGAGGCCTTCGTTGGAAGCGGGTTTTTTCATGTAAGGTTAGACAGAGGAATTCCCACTAACTTCCTTGTGTTGTGTGCATTCAACTCACAGAGTTGAATGATTCTTTACACAGAGCAGATTTGAGACACTCTTTTGGTGGAATTTGTAAGTGGAGAATTCAGCCGCTTTGATGTCAACGGTAGAAAAGGAAATATCTTCGTATAAAAACTAGACAGAATGATTCTCAGAAACTGTTTTGTGATGTGTGCTTTCAACTCACAGAGTTTAACCTTTCTTTTCAAAGAGCAGTTAGGAAACACTCTGTTTGTAAAGTCTGCAAGTGGATATTCAGACCTCTTTGAGGCCTTCGTTGGAAACGGGATTTCTTCATATTATGCTAGACAGATGAATTCTCAGTAACTTCCTTGTGTTGTGTGTATTCAACTCACAGAGTTAAACGATCCTTTACACAGAGCAGATTTGAAACACTGTTTTTCTGGAATTTGCAAGTGGAGATTTCAGCCGCTTTGAGGTCAATGGTAGAAAAGGAAATATCTTCGTATAAAAACTAGACAGAATGATTCTCAGAAACTCCTTTGTGATGTGTGCGTTCAACTCACAGAGTTTAACCTTTCTTTTCACAGAGCAGTTAGGAAACACTCTGTTTGTGAAGCCTGCCAGTGGATATTCGGACCTCTTTGAGGCCTTCGTTGGAAACGGGATTTCTTCATATTATGCTAGACAGAAGATTTCTCAGTAACTTCTTTGTGTTGTGTGTATGCAACTCACAGAGTTCAACCTTCCTTTAGACAGAGCAGATTTGAAACACTCTTTTTGTGGAATTTGCAAGTGGAGATTTCAAGCACTTTGAGGCCAAAAGCAGAAAAGGAAATATTTTCCTATAAAAGCTAGACAGAATCTTTCTCAGAAACTGCTCTGTGATGTGTGCGTTCAACTCACAGAGTTTAACTTTTCTTTTCATTCAGCAGTTTGGAAACACTCTGTTTGTAAAGTCTGCAAGTGGATATCTTGGCCTCTTAGAGGCCTTCGTTGGAAAAGGGTTTTTTCATGTAAGGATAGACAGAGGAATTCCCAGTAACTTCCTTGTGTTGTGTGCATTCAACTCACAGAGTTGAATGATTCTTTACACAGAGCAGATTTGAGACACTCTTGTGGTGGAATTTGTAAGTGGAGAATTCAGCCGCTTTGAGGTCAACGGTAGAAAAGGAAATATCTTCGTATAAAAACTAGACAGAATGATTCTCAGAAACTGTTTTGTGATGTGTGCGTTCAACTCACAGAGTTTAACCTTTCTTTTCAAAGAGCAGTTAGGAAACACTCTGTAAAGTCTGCAAGTGGATATTCAGACCTCTTTGAGGCCTTCGTTGGAAACGGGATTTCTTCATATCATGCTAGACAGATGAATTCTCAGTAACTTCCTTGTGTTGTGTGTATTCAACTCACAGAGTTGAACGATCCTTTACACAGAGCAGATTTGAAACACTGTTTTTCTGGAATTTGCAAGTGGAGATTTCAGCCGCTTTGAGGTCAATGGTAGAAAAAGAAATATCTTCGTATAAAAACTAGACAGAATGATTCTCAGAAACTCCTTTGTGATGTGTGCGTTCAACTCACAGAGTTTAACCTTTCTTTTCACAGAGCAGTTAGGAAACACTCCGTTTGTGAAGCCTGCCAGTGGATATTCGGACCTCTTTGAGGCCTTCGTTGGAAACGGGATTTCTTCATATTATGCTAGACAGAAGATTTCTCAGTAACTTCTTTGTGTTGTGTGTATGCAACTCACAGAGTTCAACCTTCCTTTAGACAGAGCAGATTTGAAACACTCTTTTTGTGGAATTTGCAAGTGGAGATTTCAAGCGCTTCGATGCCAATGGTAGAAAAGGAAATATCTTCGTAGAAAAACAAGACAAACTCGTTCCCAGACACTGCGTAGTGATGTGTGTGTTTAACTCACAGAGTTTCACCTTTCTTTTCATACAGCATTCTGGAAACCCTCTGTTTGTAAAGTCTGCAAGTGGATATTTGGACCTCTTAGATGCCTTCGTTGGAAACGGGATTTCTTCATATAATGCTAGAGGGAAGAATTCTTAGTAACTTCTTTGTGTTGTGTGTATTCAACTGACAGAGTTGAACCTTCCTTTAGACAGAGCAGATTTGAAAGTCTCTTTTTGTGGAATTTGCAAGTGGAGATTTCAAGCGCTTTGAGGCCAAAAGCAGAAAAGGAAATATTTTCCTATAAAAACTAGACAGAATCTTTCTCAGAAACTGCTCTGGGATGTGTGCGTTCAACTCACAGAGTTTAACTTTTCTTTTCATTCAGCAGTTTGGAAACACTCTGTTTGGAAAGTCTGCACGTGGATATTTTGACCTCTTTGAGGCCTTCGTTGGAAACGGGTTTTTTTCATGTAAGGCTAGACAGAAGAAATCTCAGTAACTTCCTTGTGTTGTGTGTATTCAACTGACAGAGTTGAACCTTCCTTTAGACAGAGCAGATTCGAAACACTCTTTTTCTGCAATTTGCAAGTGGAGACTTCAAGCGCTTTGAGGCCAAAGGCAGAAAAGGAAATATCTTCGTATAAAAACCCGACAGAATCATTCTCAGAAACTGCTCTGTGATGTGTGCGTTCAACTCACAGAGTTTAACTTTTCTTTTCATTCAGCAGTTTGGAAACACTCTGTTTGTAAAGTCTGCAGGTGGATATCTTGGCCTCTTAGAGGCCTTCGTTGGAAACGGGTTTTTTCATGTAAGGATAGACAGAGGAATTCCCAGTAACTTCCTTGTGTTGTGTGCATTCAACTCACAGAGTTGAATGATTCTTTACACAGAGCAGATTTGAGACACTCTTTTGGTGGAATTTGTAAGTGGAGAATTCAGCCGCTTTGAGGTCAACGGTAGAAAAGGAAATATCTTCGTATAAAAACTAGACAGAATGATTCTCAGAAACTGTTTTGTGATGTGTGCGTTCAACTCACAGAGTTTAACCTTTCTTTTCAAAGAGCAGTTAGGAAACACTCTGTTTGTAAAGTCTGCAAGTGGATATTCAGACCTCTTTGAGGCCTTCGTTGGAAACGGGATTTCTTCATATTATGCTAGACAGATGAATTCTCAGTAACTTCCTTGTGTTGTGTGTATTCAACTCACAGAGTTGAACGATCCTTTACACAGAGCAGATTTGAAACACTGTTTTTCTGGAATTTGCAAGTGGAGATTTCAGCCGCTTTGAGGTCAATGGTAGAAAAGGAAATATCTTCGTATAAAAACTAGACAGAATGATTCTCAGAAACTCCTTTGTGATGTGTGCGTTCAACTCACAGAGTTTAACCTTTCTTTTCACAGAGCAGTTAGGAAACACTCTGTTTGTGAAGCCTGCCAGTGGATATTCGGACCTCTTTGAGGCCTTCGTTGGAAACGGGATTTCTTCATATTATGCTAGACAAAAGATTTCTCAGTAACTTCTTTGTGTTGTGTATATGCAACTCACAGAGTTCAACCTTCCTTTAGACAGAGCAGATTTGAAACACTCTTTTTGTGGAATTTGCAAGTGGAGATTTCAAGCGCTTCGATGCCAATGGTAGAAAAGGAAATATCTTCGTATAAAAACAAGACAAACTCGTTCCCAGACACTGCGTAGTGATGTGTGTGTTTAACTCACAGAGTTTCACCTTTCTTTTCATACAGCATTCTGGAAACCCTGTGTTTGTAAAGTCTGCAAGTGGATATTTGGACCTCTTAGATGCCTTCGTTGGAAACGGGATTTCTTCATATAATGCTAGAGGGAAGAATTCTTAGTAACTTCTTTGTGTTGTGTGTATTCAACTGACAGAGTTGAACCTTCCTTTAGACAGAGCAGATTTGAAAGTCTCTTTTTGTGGAATTTGCAAGTGGAGATTTCAAGCGCTTTGAGGCCAAAAGCAGAAAAGGAAATATTTTCCTATAAAAACTCGACAGAATCTTTCTCAGAAACTGCTCTGGGATGTGTGCGTTCAACTCACAGAGTTTAACTTTTCATTCAGCAGTTTGGAAACACTCTGTTTGGAAAGTCTGCACGTGGATATTTTGACCTCTTTGAGGCCTTCGTTGGAAACGGGTTTTTTTCATGTAAGGCTAGACAGAAGAAATCTCAGTAACTTCCTTGTGTTGTGTGTATTCAACTGACAGAGTTGAACCTTCCTTTAGACAGAGCAGATTCGAAACACTCTTTTTCTGCAATTTGCAAGTGGAGACTTCAAGCGCTTTGAGGCCAAAGGCAGAAAAGGAAATATCTTCGTATAAAAACCCGACAGAATCATTCTCAGAAACTGCTCTGTGATGTGTGCGTTCAACTCACAGAGTTTAACTTTTCTTTTCATTCAGCAGTTTGGAAACACTCTGTTTGTAAAGTCTGCAAGTGGATATCTTGGCCTCTTAGAGGCCTTCGTTGGAAACGGGTTTTTTCATGTAAGGTTAGACAGAGGAATTCCCAGTAACTTCCTTGTGTTGTGTGCATTCAACTCACAGAGTTGAATGATTCTTTACACAGAGCAGATTTGAGACACTCTTTTGGTGGAATTTGTTAGTGGAGAATTCAGCCGCTTTGAGGTCAACGGTAGAAAAGGAAATATCTTCGTATAAAAACTAGACAGAATGATTCTCAGAAACTGTTTTGTGATGTGTGCGTTCAACTCACAGAGTTTAACCTTTCTTTTCAAAGATCAGTTAGGAAACACTCTGTTTGTAAAGTCTGCAAGTGGATATTCAGACCTCTTTGAGGCCTTCGTTGGAAACGGGATTTCTTCATATTATGCTAGACAGATGAATTCTCAGTAACTTCCTTGTGTTGTGTGTATTCAACTCACAGAGTTGAACGATCCTTTACACAGAGCAGATTTGAAACACTGTTTTTCTGGAATTTGCAAGTGGAGATTTCAGCCGCTTTGAGGTCAATGGTAGAAAAGGAAATATCTTCGTATAAAAACTAGACAGAATGATTCTCAGAAACTCCTTTGTGATGTGTGCGTTCAACTCACAGAGTTTAACCTTTCTTTTCACAGAGCAGTTAGGAAACACTCTGTTTGTGAAGCCTGCCAGTGGATATTCGGACCTCTTTGAGGCCTTCGTTGGAAACGGGATTTCTTCATATTATGCTAGACAGAAGATTTCTCAGTAACTTCTTTGTGTTGTGTGTATGCAACTCACAGAGTTCAACCTTCCTTTAGACAGAGCAGATTTGAAACACTCTTTTTGTGGAATTTGCAAGTGGAGATTTCAAGCGCTTCGATGCCAATGGTAGAAAAGGAAATATCTTCGTATAAAAACAAGACAAACTCGTTCCCAGACACTGCGTAGTGATGTGTGTGTTTAACTCACAGAGTTTAACCTTTCTTTTCATACAGCATTCTGGAAACCCTCTGTTTGTAAAGTCTGCAAGTGGATATTTGGACCTCTTAGATGCCTTCGTTGGAAACGGGATTTCTTCATATAATGCTAGAGGGAAGAATTCTTAGTAACTACTTTGTGTTGTGTGTATTCAACTGACAGAGTTGAACCTTCCTTTAGACAGAGCAGATTCGAAACACTCTTTTTCTGCAATTTGCAAGTGGAGACTTCAAGCGCTTTGAGGCCAAAGGCAGAAAAGGAAATATCTTCGTATAAAAACCCGACAGAATCATTCTCAGAAACTGCTCTGTGATGTGTGCGTTCAACTCACAGAGTTTTACTTTTCTTTTCATTCAGGAGTTTGGAAACACTCTGTTTGTAAAGTCTGCAAGTGGATATCTTGGCCTCTTAGAGGCCTTCATTGGAAACGGGTTTTTTCATGTAAGGTTAGACAGAGGAATTCCCAGTAACTTCCTTGTGTTGTGTGCATTCAACTCACAGAGTTGAATGATTCTTTACACAGAGCAGATTTGAGACACTCTTTTGGTGGAATTTGTAAGTGGAGAATTCAGCTGCTTTGAGGTCAACGGTAGAAAAGGAAATATCTTCGTATAAAAACTAGACAGAATGATTCTCAGAAACTGTTTTGTGATGTGTGCGTTCAACTCACAGAGTTTAACCTTTCTTTTCAAAGAGCAGTTAGGAAACACTCTGTTTGTAAAGTCTGCAAGTGGATATTCAGACCTCTTTGAGGCCTTCGTTGGAAACGGGATTTCTTCATATTATGCTAGACAGATGAATTCTCAGTAACTTCCTAGTGTTGTGTGTATTCAACTCACAGAGTTGAACGATCCTTTACACAGAGCAGATTTGAAACACTGTTTTTCTGGGATTTGCAAGTGGAGATTTCAGCTGCTTTGAGGTCAATGGTAGAAAAGGAAATATCTTCGTATAAAAACTAGACAGAATGATTCTCAGAAACTCCTTTGTGATGTGTGCGTTCAACTCACAGAGTTTAACCTTTCTTTTCACAGAGCAGTTAGGAAACACTCTGTTTGTGAAGCCTGCCAGTGGATATTCGGACCTCTTTGAGGCCTTCGTTGGAAACGGGATTTCTTCATATTATGCTAGACAGAAGATTTCTCAGTAACTTCTTTGTGTTGTGTGTATGCAACTCACAGAGTTCAACCTTCCTTTAGACAGAGCAGATTTGAAACACTCTTTTTGTGGAATTTGCAAGTGGAGATTTCAAGCGCTTCGATGCCAATGGTAGAAAAGGAAATATCTTCGTATAAAAACAAGACAAACTCGTTCCCAGACACTGCGTAGTGATGTGTGTGTTTAACTCACAGAGTTTAACCTTTCTTTTCATACAGCATTCTGGAAACCCTGTGTTTGTAAAGTCTGCAAGTGGATATTTGGACCTCTTAGATGCCTTCGTTGGAAACGGGATTTCTTCATATAATGCTAGAGGGAAGAATTCTTAATAACTTCTTTGTGTTGTGTGTATTCAACTGACAGAGTTGAACCTTCCTTTAGACAGAGCAGATTTGAAAGTCTCTTTTTGTGGAATTTGCAAGTGGAGATTTCAAGCGCTTTGAGGCCAAAAGCAGAAAAGGAAATATTTTCCTATAAAAACTCGACAGAATCTTTCTCAGAAACTGCTCTGGGATGTGTGCGTTCAACTCACAGAGTTTAACTTTTCTTTTCATTCAGCAGTTTGGAAACACTCTGTTTGGAAAGTCTGCACGTGGATATTTTGACCTCTTTGAGGCCTTCGTTGGAAACGGGTTTTTTTCATGTAAGGCTAGACAGAAGAAATCTCAGTAACTTCCTTGTGTTGTGTGTATTCAACTGACAGAGTTGAACCTTCCTTTAGACAGAGCAGATTCGAAACACTCTTTTTCTGCAATTTGCAAGTGGAGACTTCAAGCGCTTTGAGGCCAAAGGCAGAAAAGGAAATATCTTCGTATAAAAACCCGACAGAATCATTCTCAGAAACTGCTCTGTGACGTGTGCGTTCAACTCACAGAGTTTAACTTTTCTTTTCATTCAGCAGTTTGGAAACACTCTGTTTGTAAAGTCTGCAAGTGGATATCTTGGCCTCTTAGAGGCCTTCGTTGGAAACGGGTTTTTTCATGTAAGGTTAGACAGAGGAATTCCCAGTAACTTCCTTGTGTTGTGTGCATTCAACTCACAGAGTTGAATGATTCTTTACACAGAGCAGATTTGAGACACTCTTTTGGTGGAATTTGTAAGTGGAGAATTCAGCTGCTTTGAGGTCAACGGTAGAAAAGGAAATATCTTCGTATAAAAACTAGACAGAATGATTCTCAGAAACTGTTTTGTGATGTGTGCGTTCAACTCACAGAGTTTAACCTTTCTTTTCAAAGAGCAGTTAGGAAACACTCTGTTTGTAAAGTCTGCAAGTGGATATTCAGACCTCTTTGAGGCCTTCGTTGGAAACGGGATTTCTTCATATTATACTAGACAGATGAATTCTCAGTAACTTCCTTGTGTTGTGTGTATTCAACTCACAGAGTTGAACGATCCTTTACACAGAGCAGATTTGAAACACTGTTTTTCTGGAATTTGCAAGTGGAGATTTCAGCCGCTTTGAGGTCAATGGTAGAAAAGGAAATATCTTCGTATAAAAACTAGACAGAATGATTCTCAGAAACTCCTTTGTGATGTGTGCGTTCAACTCACAGAGTTTAACCTTTCTTTTCACAGAGCAGTTAGGAAACACTCTGTTTGTGAAGCCTGCCAGTGGATATTCGGACCTCTTTGAGGCCTTCGTTGGAAACGGGATTTCTTCATATTATGCTAGACAGAAGATTTCTCAGTAACTTCTTTGTGTTGTGTGTATGCAACTCACAGAGTTCAACCTTCCTTTAGACAGAGCAGATTTGAAACACTCTTTTTGTGGAATTTGCAAGTGGAGATTTCAAGCGCTTCGATGCCAATGGTAGAAAAGGAAATATCTTCGTATAAAAACAAGACAAACTCGTTCCCAGACACTGCGTAGTGATGTGTGTGTTTAACTCACAGAGTTTAACCTTTCTTTTCATACAGCATTCTGGAAACCCTGTGTTTGTAAAGTCTGCAAGTGGATATTTGGACCTCTTAGATGCCTTCGTTGGAAACGGGATTTCTTCATATAATGCTAGAGGGAAGAATTCTTAGTAACTTCTTTGTGTTGTGTGTATTCAACTGACAGAGTTGAACCTTCCTTTAGACAGAGCAGATTTGAAAGTCTCTTTTTGTGGAATTTGCAAGTGGAGATTTCAAGCGCTTTGAGGCCAAAAGCAGAAAAGGAAATATTTTCCTATAAAAACTCGACAGAATCTTTCTCAGAAACTGCTCTGGGATGTGTGCGTTCAACTCACAGAGTTTAACTTTTCTTTTCATTCAGCAGTTTGGAAACACTCTGTTTGGAAAGTCTGCACGTGGATATTTTGACCTCTTTGAGGCCTTCGTTGGAAACGGGTTTTTTTCATGTAAGGCTAGACAGAAGAAATCTCAGTAACTTCCTTGTGTTGTGTGTATTCAACTGACAGAGTTGAACCTTCCTTTAGACAGAGCAGATTCGAAACACTCTTTTTCTGCAATTTGCAAGTGGACACTTCAAGCGCTTTGAGGCCAAAGGCAGAAAAGGAAATATCTTCGTATAAAAACCCGACAGAATCATTCTCAGAAACTGCTCTGTGATGTGTGCGTTCAACTCACAGAGTTTAACTTTTCTTTTCATTCAGCAGTTTGGAAACACTCTGTTTGTAAAGTCTGCAAGTGGATATCTTGGCCTCTTAGAGGCCTTCGTTGGAAACGGGTTTTTTCATGTAAGGTTAGACAGAGGAATTCCCAGTAACTTCCTTGTGTTGTGTGCATTCAACTCACAGAGGTGAATGATTCTTTACACAGAGCAGATTTGAGACACTCTTTGGGTGGAATTTGTAAGTGGAGAATTCAGCCGCTTTGAGGTCAACGGTAGAAAAGGAAATACCTTCGTATAAAAACTAGACAGAATGATTCTCAGAAACTGTTTTGTGATGTGTGCGTTCAACTCACAGAGTTTAACCTTTCTTTTCAAAGAGCAGTTAGGAAACACTCTGTAAAGTCTGCAAGTGGATATTCAGACCTCTTTGAGGCCTTCGTTGGAAACGGGATTTCTTCATATAATGCTAGAGGGATGAATTCTCAGTAACTTCCTTGTGTTGTGTGTATTCAACTCACAGAGTTGAACGATCCTTTACACAGAGCAGATTTGAAACACTGTTTTTCTGGAATTTGCAAGTGGAGATTTCAGCCGCTTTGAGGTCAATGGTAGAAAAGGAAATATCTTCGTATAAAAACTAGACAGATAATGATTCTCAGAAACTCCTTTGTGATGTGTGCGTTCAACTCACAGAGTTTAACCTTTCTTTTCACAGAGCAGTTAGGAAACACTCTGTTTGTGAAGCCTGCCAGTGGATATTCGGACCTCTTTGAGGCCTTCGTTGGAAACGGGATTTCTTCATATTATGCTAGACAGAAGATTTCTCAGTAACTTCTTAGTGTTGTGTGTATGCAACTCACAGAGTTCAACCTTCCTTTAGACAGAGCAGATTTGAAACACTCTTTTTGTGGAATTTGCAAGTGGAGATTTCAAGCGCTTCGATGCCAATGGTAGAAAAGGAAATATCTTCGTATAAAAACTGGACAGAATGATTCTCAGAAACTCCTTTGTGATGTGTGCGTTCAACTCACAGAGTTTAACCTTTCTTTTCACAGAGCAGTTAGGAAACACTCTGTTTGTGAAGCCTGCCAGTGGATATTCGGACCTCTTTGAGGCCTTCGTTGGAAACGGGATTTCTTCATATTTTGCTAGACAGAAGATTTCTCAGTAACTTCTTTGTGTTGTGTGTATGCAACTCACAGAGTTCAACCTTCCTTTAGACAGAGCAGATTTGAAACACTCTTTTTGTGGAATTTGCAAGTGGAAATTTCAAGCACATCGATGCCAATGGTAGAAAAGGAAATATCTTCGTATAAAAACAAGACAAACTCGTTCCCAGACACTGCGTAGTGATGTGTGTGTTTAACTCACAGAGTTTAACCTTTCTTTTCATACAGCATTCTGGAAACCCTCTGTTTGTAAAGTCTGCAAGTGGATATTTGGACCTCTTAGATGCCTTCGTTGGAAACGGGATTTCTTCATATAATGCTAGAGGGAAGAATTCTTAGTAACTTCTTTGTGTTGTGTGTATTCAACTGACAGAGTTGAACCTTCCTTTAGACAGAGCAGATTTGAAAGTCTCTTTTTGTGGAATTTGCAAGTGGAGATTTCAAGCGCTTTGAGGCCAAAAGCAGAAAAGGAAATATTTTCCTATAAAAATTAGACAGAATCTTTCTCAGAAACTGCTCTGGGATGTGTGCGTTCAACTCACAGAGTTTAACTTTTCTTTTCATTCAGCAGTTTGGAAACACTCTGTTTGGAAAGTCTGCACGTGGATATTTTGACCTCTTTGAGGCCTTCGTTGGAAACGGGTTTTTTTCATGTAAGGCTAGACAGAAGAAATCTCAGTAACTTCCTTGTGTTGTGTGTATTCAACTGACAGAGTTGAACCTTCCTTTAGACAGAGCAGATTCGAAACACTCTTTTTCTGCAATTTGCAAGTGGAGACTTCAAGCGCTTTGAGGCCAAAGGCAGAAAAGGAAATATCTTCGTATAAAAACCCGACAGAATCATTCTCAGAAACTGCTCTGTGATGTGTGCGTTCAACTCACAGAGTTTAACTTTTCTTTTCATTCAGCAGTTTGGAAACACTCTGTTTGTAAAGTCTGCAAGTGGATATCTTGGCCTCTTAGAGGCCTTCGTTGGAAACGGGTTTTTTCATGTAAGGTTAGACAGAGGAATTCCCAGTAACTTCCTTGTGTTGTGTGCATTCAACTCACAGAGTTGAATGATTCTTTACACAGAGCAGATTTGAGACACTCTTTTGGTGGAATTTGTAAGTGGAGAATTCAGCCGCTTTGAGGTCAACGGTAGAAAAGGAAATATCTTCGTATAAAAACTAGACAGAATGATTCTCAGAAACTGTTTTGTGATGTGTGCGTTCAACTCACAGAGTTTAACCTTTCTTTTCAAAGAGCAGTTAGGAAACACTCTGTTTGTAAAGTCTGCAAGTGGATATTCAGACCTCTTTGAGGCCTTCGTTGGAAACGGGATTTCTTCATATTATGCTAGACAGATGAATTCTCAGTAACTTTCCTTGTGTTGTGTGTATTCAACTCACAGAGTTGAACGATCCTTTACACAGAGCAGATTTGAAACACTGTTTTTCTGGAATTTGCAAGTGGAGATTTCAGCCGCTTTGAGGTCAATGGTAGAAAAGGAAATATGCTTCGTATAAAAACTAGACAGAATGATTCTCAGAAACTCCTTTGTGATGTGTGCGTTCAACTCACAGAGTTTAACCTTTCTTTTCACAGAGCAGTTAGGAAACACTCTGTTTGTGAAGCCTGCCAGTGGATATTCGGACCTCTTTGAGGCCTTCGTTGGAAACGGGATTTCTTCATATTTTGCTAGACAGAAGATTTCTCAGTAACTTCTTTGTGTTGTGTGTATGCAACTCACAGAGTTCAACCTTCCTTTAGACAGAGCAGATTTGAAACACTCTTTTTGTGGAATTTGCAAGTGGAAATTTCAAGCGCATCGATGCCAATGGTAGAAAAGGAAATTTCTTCGTATAAAAACAAGACAAACTCGTTCCCAGACACTGCGTAGTGATGTGTGTGTTTAACTCACAGAGTTTAACCTTTCTTTTCATACAGCATTCTGGAAACCCTCTGTTTGTAAAGTCTGCAAGTGGATATTTGGACCTCTTAGATGCCTTCGTTGGAAACGGGATTTCTTCATATAATGCTAGAGGGAAGAATTCTTAGTAACTTCTTTGTGTTGTGTGTATTCAACTGACAGAGTTGAACCTTCCTTTAGACAGAGCAGATTTGAAAGTCTCTTTTTGTGGAATTTGCAAGTGGAGATTTCAAGCGCTTTGAGGCCAAAAGCAGAAAAGGAAATATTTTCCTATAAAAACTAGACAGAATCTTTCTCAGAAACTGCTCTGGGATGTGTGCGTTCAACTCACAGAGTTTAACTTTTCTTTTCCATTCAGCAGATTTGGAAACACTCTGTTTGGAAAGTCTGCACGTGGATATTTTGACCTCTTTGAGGCCTTCGTTAGAAACGGGTTTTTTTCATATAAGGCTAGACAGAAGAAATCTCAGTAACTTCCTTGTGTTGTGTGTATTCAACTGACAGAGTTGAACCTTCCTTTAGACAGAGCAGATTCGAAACACTCTTTTTCTGCAATTTGCAAGTGGAGACTTCAAGCGCTTTGAGGCCAAAGGCAGAAAAGGAAATATCTTCGTATAAAAACCCGACAGACTCATTCTCAGAAACTGCTCTGTGATGTGTGCGTTCAACTCACAGAGTTTAACTTTTCTTTTCATTCAGCAGTTTGGAAACACTCTGTTTGTAAAGTCTGCAAGTGGATATCTTGGCCTCTTAGAGGCCTTCGTTGGAAACGGGTTTTTTCATGTAAGGATAGACAGAGGAATTCCCAGTAACTTCCTTGTGTTGTGTGCATTCAACTCACAGAGTTGAATGATTCTTTACACAGAGCAGATTTGAGACACTCTTTGGGTGGAATTTGTAAGTGGAGAATTCAGCCGCTTTGAGGTCAACGGTAGAAAAGGAAATATCTTCGTATAAAATCTAGACAGAATGATTCTCAGAAACTGTTTTGTGATGTGTGCGTTCAACTCACAGAGTTTAACCTTTCTTTTCAGAGAGCAGTTAGGAAACACTCTGTTTGTAAAGTCTGCAAGTGGATATTCAGACCTCTTTGAGGCCTTCGTTGGAAACGGGATTTCTTCATATTATGCTAGACAGATGAATTCTCAGTAACTTCCTTGTGTCGTGTGTATTCAACTCACAGAGTTGAACGATCCTTTACACAGAGCAGATTTGAAACACTGTTTTTCTGGAATTTGCAAGTGGAGATTTCAGCCGATTTGAGGTCAATGGTAGAAAAGGAAATATCTTCGTATAAAAAC
This sequence comes from Homo sapiens, assembly GCF_000001405.40. Classification (NCBI taxonomy): domain Eukaryota; kingdom Metazoa; phylum Chordata; class Mammalia; order Primates; family Hominidae; genus Homo; species Homo sapiens. Next base: position 37,567,781 of record NC_000016.10, read on the forward strand.
TAGACAGAATGATTCTCAGAAACTCCTTTGTGATGTGTGCGTTCAACTCACAGAGTTTAACCTTTCTTTTCACAGAGCAGTTAGGAAACACTCTGTTTGTGAAGCCTGCCAGTGGATATTCGGACCTCTTTGAGGCCTTCGTTGGAAACGGGATTTCTTCATATTATGCTAGACAGAAGATTTCTCAGTAACTTCTTTGTGTTGTGTGTATGCAACTCACAGAGTTCAACCTTCCTTTAGACAGAGCAGATTTGAAACACTCTTTTTGTGGAATTTGCAAGTGGAGATTTCAAGCGCTTCGATGCCAATGGTAGAAAAGGAAATATCTTCGTATAAAAACAAGACAAACTCGTTCCCAGACACTGCGTAGTGATGTGTGTGTTTAACTCACAGAGTTTCACCTTTCTTTTCATACAGCATTCTGGAAACCCTCTGTTTGTAAAGTCTGCAAGTGGATATTTGGACCTCTTAGATGCCTTCGTTGGAAACGGGATTTCTTCATATAATGCTAGAGGGAAGAATTCTTAGTAACTTCTTTGTGTTGTGTGTATTCAACTGACAGAGTTGAACCTTCCTTTAGACAGAGCAGATTTGAAAGTCTCTTTTTGTGGAATTTGCAAGTGGAGATTTCAAGCGCTTTGAGGCCAAAAGCAGAAAAGGAAATATTTTCCTATAAAAACTAGACAGAATCTTTCTCAGAAACTGCTCTGGGATGTGTGCGTTCAACTCACAGAGTTTAACTTTTCTTTTCATTCAGCAGTTTGGAAACACTCTGTTTGGAAAGTCTGCACGTGGATATTTTGACCTCTTTGAGGCCTTCGTTGGAAACGGGTGTTTTTCATGTAAGGCTAGACAGAAGAAATCTCAGTAAATTCCCTTGTGTTGTGTGTATTCAACTGACAGAGTTGAACCTTCCTTTAGACAGAGCAGATTCGAAACACTCTTTTTCTGCAATTTGCAAGTGGAGACTTCAAGCGCTTTGAGGCCAAAGGCAGAAAAGGAAATATCTTCGTATAAAAACCCGACAGAATCATTCTCAGAAACTGCTCTGTGATGTGTGCGTTCAACTCACAGAGTTTAACTTTTCTTTTCATTCAGCAGTTTGGAAACACTCTGTTTGTAAAGTCTGCATGTGGATATCTTGGCCTCTTAGAGGCCTTCGTTGGAAACGGGTTTTTTCATGTAAGGATAGACAGATGAATTCTCAGTAACTTCCTTGTGTTGTGTGTATTCAACTCAGAGAGTTGAACGATCCTTTACACAGAGCAGATTTGAAACACTGTTTTTCTGGAATTTGCAAGTGGAGATTTCAGCCGCTTTCAGGTCAACGGTAGAAAAGGAAATATCTTCGTATAAAAACTAGACAGAATGATTCTCAGAAACTGTTTTGTGATGTGTGCGTTCAACTCACAGAGTTTAACCTTTCTTTTCAAAGAGCAGTTAGGAAACACTCTGTAAAGTCTGCAAGTGGATATTCAGACCTCTTTGAGGCCTTCGTTGGAAACGGGATTTCTTCATATTATGCTAGACAGATGAATTCTCAGTAACTTTCCTTGTGTTGTGTGTATTCAACTCACAGAGTTGAACGATCCTTTACACAGAGCAGATTTGAAACACTGTTTTTCTGGAATTTGCAAGTGGAGATTTCAGCCGCTTTGAGGTCAATGGTAGAAAAGGAAATATGCTTCGTATAAAAACTAGACAGAATGATTCTCAGAAACTCCTTTGTGATGTGTGCGTTCAACTCACAGAGTTTAACCTTTCTTTTCACAGAGCAGTTAGGAAACACTCTGTTTGTGAAGCCTGCCAGTGGATATTCGGACCTCTTTGAGGCCTTCGTTGGAAACGGGATTTCTTCATATTATGCTAGACAGAAGATTTCTCAGTAACTTCTTTGTGTTGTGTGTATGCAACTCACAGAGTTCAACCTTCCTTTAGACAGAGCAGATTTGAAACACTCTTTTTGTGGAATTTGCAAGTGGAGATTTCAAGCGCTTCGATGCCAATGGTAGAAAAGGAAATATCTTCGTATAAAAACAAGACAAACTCGTTCCCAGACACTGCGTAGTGATGTGTGTGTTTAACTCACAGAGTTTAACCTTTCTTTTCATACAGCATTCTGGAAACCCTCTGTTTGTAAAGTCTGCAAGTGGATATTTGGACCTCTTAGATGCCTTCGTTGGAACGGGATTTCCTCATATAATGCTAGAGGGAAGAATTCTTAGTAACTTCTTTGTGTTGTGTGTATTCAACTGACAGAGTTGAACCTTCCTTTAGACAGAGCAGATTTGAAAGTCTCTTTTTGTGGAATTTGCAAGTGGAGATTTCAAGCGCTTTGAGGCCAAAAGCAGAAAAGGAAATATTTTCCTATAAAAACTCGACAGAATCTTTCTCAGAAACTGCTCTGGGACGTGTGCGTTCAACTCACAGAGTTTAACTTTTCTTTTCATTCAGCAGTTTGGAAACACTCTGTTTGGAAAGTCTGCACGTGGATATTTTGACCTCTTTGAGGCCTTTGTTGGAAACGGGTTTTTTTCATGTAAGGCTAGACAGAAGATATCTCAGTAACTTCCTTGTGTTGTGTGTATTCAACTGACAGAGTTGAACCTTCCTTTAGACAGAGCAGATTCGAAACACTCTTTTTCTGCAATTTGCAAGTGGAGACTTCAAGCGCTTTGAGGCCAAAGGCAGAAAAGGAAATATCTTCGTATAAAAACCCGACAGAATCATTCTCAGAAACTGCTCTGTGATGTGTGCGTTCAACTCACAGAGTTTAACTTTTCTATTCATTCAGCAGTTTGGAAACACTCTGTTTGTAAAGTCTGCAAGTGGATATCTTGGCCTCTTAGAGGCCTTCGTTGGAAACGGGTTTTTTCATGTAAGGTTAGACAGAGGAATTCCCAGTAACTTCCTTGTGTTGTGTGCATTCAACTCACAGAGTTGAATGATTCTTTACACAGAGCAGATTTGAGACACTCTTTTGGTGGAATTTGTAAGTGGAGAATTCAGCCGCTTTGAGGTCAACGGTAGAAAAGGAAATATCTTCGTATAAAAACTAGACAGAATGATTCTCAGAAACTCCTTTGTGATGTGTGCGTTCAACTCACAGAGTTTAACCTTTCTTTTCACAGAGCAGTTAGGAAACACTCTGTTTGTGAAGCCTGCCAGTGGATATTCGGACCTCTTTGAGGCCTTCGTTGGAAACGGGATTTCTTCATATTATGCTAGACAGAAGATTTCTCAGTAACTTCTTTGTGTTGTGTGTATGCAACTCACAGAGTTCAACCTTCCTTTAGAGAGAGCATATTTGAAACACTCTTTTTGTGGAATTTGCAAGTGGAGATTTCAAGCGCTTCGATGCCAATGGTAGAAAAGGAAATATCGTCGTATAAAAACAAGACAAAACTCGTTCCCAGACACTGCGTAGTGATGTGTGTGTTTAACTCACAGAGTTTAACCTTTCTTTTCATACAGCATTCTGGAAACCCTGTGTTTGTAAAGTCTGCAAGTGGATATTTGGACCTCTTAGATGCCTTCGTTGGAAACGGGATTTCTTCATATAATGCTAGAGGGAAGAATTCTTAGTAACTTCTTTGTGTTGTGTGTATTCAACTGACAGAGTTGAACCTTCCTTTAGACAGAGCAGATTTGAAAGTCTCTTTTTGTGGAATTTGCAAGTGGAGATTTCAAGCGCTTTGAGGCCAAAAGCAGAAAAGGAAATATTTTCCTATAAAAACTCGACAGAATCTTTCTCAGAAACTGCTCTGGGATGTGTGCGTTCAACTCACAGAGTTTAACTTTTCTTTTCATTCAGCAGTTTGGAAACACTCTGTTTGGAAAGTCTGCACGTGGATATTTTGACCTCTTTGAGGCCTTCGTTGGAAACGGGTTTTTTTCATGTAAGGCTAGACAGAAGAAATCTCAGTAACTTCCTTGTGTTGTGTGTATTCAACTGACAGAGTTGAACCTTCCTTTAGACAGAGCAGATTCGAAACACTCTTTTTCTGCAATTTGCAAGTGGAGACTTCAAGCGCTTTGAGGCCAAAGGCAGAAAAGGAAATATCTTCGTATAAAAACCCGACAGAATCATTCTCAGAAACTGCTCTGTGATGTGTGCGTTCAACTCACAGAGTTTAACTTTTCTTTTCATTCAGCAGTTTGGAAACACTCTGTTTGTAAAGTCTGCAAGTGGATATCTTGGCCTCTTAGAGGCCTTCGTTGGAAACGGGTTTTTTCATGTAAGGTTAGACAGAGGAATTCCCAGTAACTTCCTTGTGTTGTGTGCATTCAACTCACAGAGTTGAATGATTCTTTACACAGAGCAGATTTGAGACACTCTTTTGGTGGAATTTGTAAGTGGAGAATTCAGCCGCTTTGAGGTCAACGGTAGAAAAGGAAATATCTTCGTATAAAAACTAGACAGAATGATTCTCAGAAACTGTTTTGTGATGTGTGCGTTCAACTCACAGAGTTTAACCTTTCTTTTCAAAGAGCAGTTAGGAAACACTCTGTTTGTAAAGTCTGCAAGTGGATATTCAGACCTCTTTGAGGCCTTCGTTGGAAACGGGGTTTCTTCATATTATGCTAGACAGATGAATTCTCAGTAACTTCCTTGTGTTGTGTGTATTCAACTCACAGAGTTGAACGATCCTTTACACAGAGCAGATTTGAAACACTGTTTTTCTGGAATTTGCAAGTGGAGATTTCAGCCGCTTTGAGGTCAATGGTAGAAAAGGAAATATCTTCGTATAAAAACTAGACAGAATGATTCTCAGAAACTCCTTTGTGATGTGTGCGTTCAACTCACAGAGTTTAACCTTTCTTTTCACAGAGCAGTTAGGAAACACTCTGTTTGTGAAGCCTGCCAGTGGATATTCGGACCTCTTTGAGGCCTTCGTTGGAAACGGGATTTCTTCATATTATGCTAGACAGAAGATTTCTCAGTAACTTCTTTGTGTTGTGTGTATGCAACTCACAGAGTTCAACCTTCCTTTAGACAGAGCAGATTTGAAACACTCTTTTTGTGGAATTTGCAAGTGGAGATTTCAAGCGCTTCGATGCCAATGGTAGAAAAGGAAATATCTTCGTATAAAAACGACAAACTCGTTCCCAGACACTGCGTAGTGATGTGTGTGTTTAACTCACAGAGTTTAACCTTTCTTTTCATACAGCATTCTGGAAACCCTGTGTTTGTAAAGTCTGCAAGTGGATATTTGGACCTCTTAGATGCCTTCGTTGGAAACGGGATTTCTTCATATAATGCTAGAGGGAAGAATTCTTAGTAACTTCTTTGTGTTGTGTGTATTCAACTGACAGAGTTGAACCTTCCTTTAGACAGAGCAGATTTGAAAGTCTCTTTCTGTGGAATTTGCAAGTGGAGATTTCAAGCGCTTTGAGGCCAAAAGCAGAAAAGGAAATATTTTCCTATAAAAACTCGACAGAATCTTTCTCAGAAACTGCTCTGGGATGTGTGCGTTCAACTCACAGAGTTTAACTTTTCTTTTCATTCAGCAGTTTGGAAACACTCTGTTTGGAAAGTCTGCACGTGGATATTTTGACCTCTTTGAGGCCTTCGTTGGAAACGGGTTTTTTTCATGTAAGGCTAGACAGAAGAAATCTCAGTAACTTCCTTGTGTTGTGTGTATTCAACTGACAGAGTTGAACCTTCCTTTAGACAGAGCAGATTCGAAACACTCTTTTTCTGCAATTTGCAAGTGGAGACTTCAAGCGCTTTGAGGCCAAAGGCAGAAAAGGAAATATCTTCGTATAAAAACCCGACAGAATCATTCTCAGAAACTGCTCTGTGATGTGTGCGTTCAACTCACAGAGTTTAACTTTTCTTTTCATTCAGCAGTTTGGAAACACTCTGTTTGTAAAGTCTGCAAGTGGATATCTTGGCCTCTTAGAGGCCTTCGTTGGAAACGGGTTTTTTCATGTAAGGTTAGACAGAGGAATTCCCAGTAACTTCCTTGTGTTGTGTGCATTCAACTCACAGAGTTGAATGATTCTTTACACAGAGCAGATTTGAGACACTCTTTTGGTGGAATTTGTAAGTGGAGAATTCAGCCGCTTTGAGGTCAACGGTAGAAAAGGAAATATCTTCGTATAAAAACTAGACAGAATGATTCTCAGAAACTGTTTTGTGATGTGTGCGTTCAACTCACAGAGTTTAACCTTTCTTTTCAAAGAGCAGTTAGGAAACACTCTGTTTGTAAAGTCTGCAAGTGGATATTCAGACCTCTTTGAGGCCTTCGTTGGAAACGGGGTTTCTTCATATTATGCTAGACAGATGAATTCTCAGTAACTTCCTTGTGTTGTGTGTATTCAACTCACAGAGTTGAACGATCCTTTACACAGAGCAGATTTGAAACACTGTTTTTCTGGAATTTGCAAGTGGAGATTTCAGCCGCTTTGAGGTCAATGGTAGAAAAGGAAATATCTTCGTATAAAAACTAGACAGAATGATTCTCAGAAACTCCTTTGTGATGTGTGCGTTCAACTCACAGAGTTTAACCTTTCTTTTCACAGAGCAGTTAGGAAACACTCTGTTTGTGAAGCCTGCCAGTGGATATTCGGACCTCTTTGAGGCCTTCGTTGGAAACGGGATTTCTTCATATTATGCTAGACAGAAGATTTCTCAGTAACTTCTTTGTGTTGTGTGTATGCAACTCACAGAGTTCAACCTTCCTTTAGACAGAGCAGATTTGAAACACTCTTTTTGTGGAATTTGCAAGTGGAGATTTCAAGCGCTTCGATGCCAATGGTAGAAAAGGAAATATCTTCGTATAAAAACAAGACAAACTCGTTCCCAGACACTGCGTAGTGATGTGTGTGTTTAACTCACAGAGTTTAACCTTTCTTTTCATACAGCATTCTGGAAACCCTCTGTTTGTAAAGTCTGCAAGTGGATATTTGGACCTCTTAGATGCCTTCGTTGCAAACGGGATTTCTTCATATAATGCTAGAGGGAAGAATTCTTAGTAACTTCTTTGTGTTGTGTGTATTCAACTGACAGAGTTGAACCTTCCTTTAGACAGAGCAGATTTGAAAGTCTCTTTTTGTGGAATTTGCAAGTGGAGATTTCAAGCGCTTTGAGGCCAAAAGCAGAAAAGGAAATATTTTCCTATAAAAACTCGACAGAATCTTTCTCAGAAACTGCTCTGGGATGTGTGCGTTCAACTCACAGAGTTTAACTTTTCTTTTCATTCAGCAGTTTGGAAACACTCTGTTTGGAAAGTCTGCACGTGGATATTTTGACCTCTTTGAGGCCTTCGTTGGAAACGGGTTTTTTTCATGTAAGGCTAGACAGAAGAAATCTCAGTAACTTCCTTGTGTTGTGTGTATTCAACTGACAGAGTTGAACCTTCCTTTAGACAGAGCAGATTCGAAACACTCTTTTTCTGCAATTTGCAAGTGGAGACTTCAAGCGCTTTGAGGCCAAAGGCAGAAAAGGAAATATCTTCGTATAAAAACCCGACAGAATCATTCTCAGAAACTGCTCTGTGATGTGTGCGTTCAACTCACAGAGTTTAACTTTTCTTTTCATTCAGCAGTTTGGAAACACTCTGTTTGTAAAGTCTGCAAGGGGATATCTTGGCCTCTTAGAGGCCTTCGTTGGAAACGGGTTTTTTCATTTAAGGTTAGACAGAATTCCCAGTAACTTCCTTGTGTTGTATGCATTCAACTCACAGAGTTGAATGATTCTTTACACAGAGCAGATTTGAGACACTCTTTTGGTGGAATTTGTAAGTGGAGAATTCAGCCGCTTTGAGGTCAACGGTAGAAAAGGAAATATCTTCGTATAAAAACTAGACAGAATGATTCTCAGAAACTGTTTTGTGATGTGTGCTTTCAACTCACAGAGTTTAACCTTTCTTTTCAAAGAGCAGTTAGGAAACACTCTGTTTGTAAAGTCTGCAAGTGGATATTCAGACCTCTTTGAGGCCTTCATTGGAAACGGGATTTCTTCATATTATGCTAGACAGATGAATTCTCAGTAACTTCCTTGTGTTGTGTGTATTCAACTCACAGAGTTAAACGATCCTTTACACAGAGCAGATTTGAAACACTGTTTTTCTGGAATTTGCAAGTGGAGATTTCAGCCGCTTTGAGGTCAATGGTAGAAAAGGAAATATCTTCGTATAAAAACTAGACAGAATGATTCTCAGAAACTCCTTTGTGATGTGTGCGTTCAACTCACAGAGTTTAACCTTTCTTTTCACAGAGCAGTTAGGAAACACTCTGTTTGTGAAGCCTGCCAGTGGATATTCGGACCTCTTTGAGGCCTTCGTTGGAAACGGGATTTCTTCATATTATGCTAGACAGAAGATTTCTCAGTAACTTCTTTGTGTTGTGTGTATGCAACTCACAGAGTTCAACCTTCCTTTAGACAGAGCAGATTTGAAACACTCTTTTTGTGGAATTTGCAAGTGGAGATTTCAAGCGCTTCGATGCCAATGGTAGAAAAGGAAATATCTTCGTATAAAAACAAGACAAACTCGTTCCCAGACACTGCGTAGTGATGTGTGTGTTTAACTCACAGAGTTTAACCTTTCTTTTCATACAGCATTCTGGAAACCCTGTGTTTGTAAAGTCTGCAAGTGGATATTTGGACCTCTTAGATGCCTTCGTTGGAAACGGGATTTCTTCATATAATGCTAGAGGGAAGAATTCTTAGTAACTTCTTTGTGTTGTGTGTATTCAACTGACAGAGTTGAACCTTCCTTTAGACAGAGCAGATTTGAAAGTCTCTTTCTGTGGAATTTGCAAGTGGAGATTTCAAGCGCTTTGAGGCCAAAAGCAGAAAAGGAAATATTTTCCTATAAAAACTCGACAGAATCTTTCTCAGAAACTGCTCTGGGATGTGTGCGTTCAACTCACAGAGTTTAACTTTTCTTTTCATTCAGCAGTTTGGAAACACTCTGTTTGGAAAGTCTGCACGTGGATATTTTGACCTCTTTGAGGCCTTCGTTGGAAACGGGTTTTTTTCATGTAAGGCTAGACAGAAGAAATCTCAGTAACTTCCTTGTGTTGTGTGTATTCAACTGACAGAGTTGAACCTTCCTTTAGACAGAGCAGATTCGAAACACTCTTTTTCTGCAATTTGCAAGTGGAAACTTCAAGCGCTTTGAGGCCAAAGGCAGAAAAGGAAATATCTTCGTATAAAAACCCGACAGAATCACTCTCAGAAACTGCTCTGTGATGTGTGCGTTCAACTCACAGAGTTTAACTTTTCTTTTCATTCAGCAGTTTGGAAACACTCTGTTTGTAAAGTCTGCAAGTGGATATCTTGGCCTCTTAAAGGCCTTCGTTGGAAACGGGTTTTTTCATGTAAGGTTAGACAGAGGAATTCCCAGTAACTTCCTTGTGTTGTGTGCATTCAACTCACAGAGTTGAATGATTCTTTACACAGAGCAGATTTGAGACACTCTTTTGGTGGAATTTGTAAGTGGAGAATTCAGCCGCTTTGAGGTCAACGGTAGAAAAGGAAATATCTTCGTATAAAAACTAGACAGAATGATTCTCAGAAACTGTTTTGTGATGTGTGCGTTCAACTCACAGAGTTTAACCTTTCTTTTCAAAGAGCAGTTAGGAAACACTCTGTTCGTAAAATCTGCAAGTGGATATTCAGACCTCTTTGAGGCCTTCGTTGGAAACGGGATTTCTTCATATTATGCTAGACAGATGAATTCTCAGTAACTTCCTTGTGTTGTGTGTATTCAACTCACAGAGTTAAACGATCCTTTACACAGAGCAGATTTGAAACACTGTTTTTCTGGAATTTGCAAGTGGAGATTTCAGCCGCTTTGAGGTCAATGGTAGAAAAGGAAATATCTTCGTATAAAAACTAGACAGAATGATTCTCAGAAACTCCTTTGTGATGTGTGCGTTCAACTCACAGAGTTTAACCTTTCTTTTCACAGAGCAGTTAGGAAACACTCTGTTTGTGAAGCCTGCCAGTGGATATTCGGACCTCTTTGAGGCCTTCGTTGGAAACGGGATTTCTTCATATTATGCTAGACAGAAGATTTCTCAGTAACTTCTTTGTGTTGTGTGTATGCAACTCACAGAGTTCAACCTTCCTTTAGACAGAGCAGATTTGAAACACTCTTTTTGTGGAATTTGCAAGTGGAGATTTCAAGCGCTTTGAGGCCAAAAGCAGAAAAGGAAATATTTTCCTATAAAAACTAGACAGAATCTTTCTCAGAAACTGCTCTGTGATGTGTGCGTTCAACTCACAGAGTTTAACTTTTCTTTTCATTCAGCAGTTTGGAAACACTCTGTTTGTAAAGTCTGCAAGTGGATATCTTGGCCTCTTAGAGGCCTTCGTTGGAAACGGGTTTTTTCATGTAAGGATAGACAGAGGAATTCCCAGTAACTTCCTTGTGTTGTGTGCATTCAACTCACAGAGTTGAATGATTCTTTACACAGAGCAGATTTGAGACACTCTTTTGGTGGAATTTGTAAGTGGAGAATTCAGCCGCTTTGAGGTCAACGGTAGAAAAGGAAATATCTTCGTATAAAAACTAGACAGAATGATTCTCAGAAACTGTTTTGTGATGTGTGCGTTCAACTCACAGAGTTTAACCTTTCTTTTCAAAGAGCAGTTAGGAAACACTCTGTTTGTAAAGTCTGCAAGTGGATATTCAGACCTCTTTGAGGCCTTCGTTGGAAACGAGATTTCTTCATATTATGCTAGACAGATGAATTCTCAGTAACTTCCTTGTGTTGTGTGTATTCAACTCACAGAGTTGAACGATCCTTTACACAGAGCAGATTTGAAACACTGTTTTTCTGGAATTTGCAAGTGGAGATTTCAGCCGCTTTGAGGTCAATGGTAGAAAAGGAAATATCTTCGTATAAAAACTAGACAGAATGATTCTCAGAAACTCCTTTGTGATGTGTGCGTTCAACTCACAGAGTTTAACCTTTCTTTTCACAGAGCAGTTAGGAAACACTCTGTTTGTGAAGCCTGCCAGTGGATATTCGGACCTCTTTGAGGCCTTCGTTGGAAACGGGATTTCTTCATATTATGCTAGACAGAAGATTTCTCAGTAACTTCTTTGTGTTGTGTGTATGCAACTCACAGAGTTCAACCTTCCTTTAGACAGAGCAGATTTGAAACACTCTTTTTGTGGAATTTGCAAGTGGAGATTTCAAGCGCTTCGATGCCAATGGTAGAAAAGGAAATATCTTCGTAGAAAAACAAGACAAACTCGTTCCCAGACACTGCGTAGTGATGTGTGTGTTTAACTCACAGAGTTTAACCTTTCTTTTCATACAGCATTCTGGAAACCCTCTGTTTGTAAAGTCTGCAAGTGGATATTTGGACCTCTTAGATGCCTTCGTTGGAAACGGGATTTCTTCATATAATGCTAGAGGGAAGAATTCTTAGTAACTTCTTTGTGTTGTGTGTATTCAACTGACAGAGTTGAACCTTCCTTTAGACAGAGCAGATTTGAAAGTCTCTTTTTCTGGAATTTGCAAGTGGAGATTTCAAGCGCTTTGAGGCCAAAAGCAGAAAAGGAAATATTTTCCTATAAAAACTAGAGAGAATCATTCTCAGAAACTGCTCTGTGATGTGTGTGTTCAACTCACAGAGTTTAACTTTCTTTTCATTCAGCAGTTTGGAAACACTCTGTTTGGAAAGTCTGCACGTGGATATTTTGACCTCTTTGAGGCCTTCGTTGGAAACGGGTTTTTTTCATGTAAGGCTAGACAGAAGAAATCTCAGTAACTTCCTTGTGTTGTGTGTATTCAACTGACAGAGTTGAACCTTCCTTTAGACAGAGCAGATTCGAAACACTCTTTTTCTGCAATTTGCAAGTGGAGACTTCAAGCGCTTTGAGGCCAAAGGCAGAAAAGGAAATATCTTCGTATAAAAACCCGACAGAATCATTCTCAGAAACTGCTCTGTGATGTGTGCGTTCACCTCACAGAGTTTAACTTTTCTTTTCATTCAGCAGTTTGGAAACACTCTGTTTGTAAAGTCTGCAAGTGGATATCTTGGCCTCTTAGAGGCCTTCGTTGGAAACGGGTTTTTTCATGTAAGGTTAGACAGAGGAATTCCCAGTAACTTCCTTGTGTTGTGTGCATTCAACTCACAGAGTTGAATGATTCTTTACACAGAGCAGATTTGAGACACTCTTTTGGTGGAATTTGTAAGTGGAGAATTCAGCCGCTTTGAGGTCAACGGTAGAAAAGGAAATATCTTCGTATAAAAACTAGACAGAATGATTCTCAGAAACTGTTTTGTGATGTGTGCGTTCAACTCACAGAGTTTAACCTTTCTTTTCAAAGAGCAGTTAGGAAACACTCTGTTTGTAAAGTCTGCAAGTGGATATTCAGACCTCTTTGAGGCCTTCGTTGGAAACGGGATTTCTTCATATTATGCTAGACAGATGAATTCTCAGTAACTTCCTTGTGTTGTGTGTATTCAACTCACAGAGTTGAACGATCCTTTACACAGAGCAGATTTGAAACACTGTTTTTCTGGAATTTGCAAGTGGAGATTTCAGCCGCTTTGAGGTCAATGGTAGAAAAGGAAATATCTTCGTATAAAAACTAGACAGAATGATTCTCAGAAACTCCTTTGTGATGTGTGCGTTCAACTCACAGAGTTTAACCTTTCTTTTCACAGAGCAGTTAGGAAACACTCTGTTTGTGAAGCCTGCCAGTGGATATTCGGACCTCTTTGAGGCCTTCGTTGGAAACGGGATTTCTTCATATTATGCTAGACAGAAGATTTCTCAGTAACTTCTTTGTGTTGTGTGTATGCAACTCACAGAGTTCAACCTTCCTTTAGACAGAGCAGATTTGAAACACTCTTTTTGTGGAATTTGCAAGTGGAGATTTCAAGCGCTTCGATGCCAATGGTAGAAAAGGAAATATCTTCGTAGAAAAACAAGACAAACTCGTTCCCAGACACTGCGTACTGATGTGTGTGTTTAACTCACAGAGTTTAACCTTTCTGTTCATACAGCATTCTGGAAACCCTCTGTTTGTAAAGTCTGCAAGTGGATATTTGGACCTCTTAGATGCCTTCGTTGCAAACGGGATTTCTTCATATAATGCTAGAGGGAAGAATTCTTAGTAACTTCTTTGTGTTGTGTGTATTCAACTGACAGAGTTGAACCTTCCTTTAGACAGAGCAGATTTGAAAGTCTCTTTTTGTGGAATTTGCAAGTGGAGATTTCAAGCGCTTTGAGGCCAAAAGCAGAAAAGGAAATATTTTCCTATAAAAACTAGACAGAATCATTCTCAGAAACTGCTCTGTGATGTGTGTGTTCAACTCACAGAGTTTAACTTTCTTTTCATTCAGCAGTTTGGAAACACTCTGTTTGGAAAGTCTGCACGTGGATATTTTGACCTCTTTGAGGCCTTCGTTGGAAACGGGTTTTTTTCATGTAACGCTAGACAGAAGAAATCTCAGTAACTTTCCTTGTGTTGTGTGTATTCAACTGACAGAGTTGAACCTTCTTTTAGACAGAGCAGATTCGAAACACTCTTTTTCTGCAATTTGCAAGTGGAGACTTCAAGCGCTTTGAGGCCAAAGGCAGAAAAGGAAATATCTTCGTATAAAAACCCGACAGAATCATTCTCAGAAACTGCTCTGTGATGTGTGCGTTCAACTCACAGAGTTTAACTTTTCTTTTCATTCAGCAGTTTGGAAACACTCTGTTTGTAAAGTCTGCAAGTGGATATCTTGGCCTCTTAGAGGCCTTCGTTGGAAACGGGTTTTTTCATGTAAGGATAGACACAGGAATTCCCAGTAACTTCCTTGTGTTGTGTGCATTCAACTCACAGAGTTGAATGATTCTTTACACAGAGCAGTTTTGAGACACTCTTTTGGTGGAATTTGTAAGTGGAGAATTCAGCCGCTTTGAGGTCAACGGTAGAAAAGGAAATATCTTCGTATAAAAACTAGACAGAATGATTCTCAGAAACTGTTTTGTGATGTGTGCGTTCAACTCACAGAGTTTAACCTTTCTTTTCAAAGAGCAGTTAGGAAACACTCTGTTTGTAAAGTCTGCAAGAGGATATTCAGACCTCTTTGAGGCCTTCGTTGGAAACGGGATTTCTTCATATTATGCTAGACAGATGAATTCTCAGTAACTTCCTTGTGTTGTGTGTATTCAACTCACAGAGTTGAACGATCCTTTACACAGAGCAGATTTGAAACACTGTTTTTCTGGAATTTGCAAGTGGAGATTTCAGCCGCTTTGAGGTCAATGGTAGAAAAGGAAATATCTTCGTATAAAAACTAGACAGAATGATTCTCAGAAACTCCTTTGTGATGTGTGCGTTCAACTCACAGAGTTTAACCTTTCTTTTCACAGAGCAGTTAGGAAACACTCTGTTTGTGAAGCCTGCCAGTGGATATTCGGACCTCTTTGAGGCCTTCGTTGGAAACGGGATTTCTTCATATTATGCTATTCAGAAGATTTCTCAGTAACTTCTTTGTGTTGTGTGTATGCAACTCACAGAGTTCAACCTTCCTTTAGACAGAGCAGATTTGAAACACTCTTTTTGTGGAATTTGCAAGTGGAGATTTCAAGCGCTTCGATGCCAATGGTAGAAAAGGAAATATCTTCGTATAAAAACAAGACAAACTCGTTCCCAGACACTGCGTAGTGATGTGTGTGTTTAACTCACAGAGTTTAACCTTTCTTTTCATACAGCATTCTGGAAACCCTGTGTTTGTAAAGTCTGCAAGTGGATATTTGGACCTCTTAGATGCCTTCGTTGGAAACGGGATTTCTTCATATAATGCTAGAGGGAAGAATTCTTAGTAACTTCTTTGTGTTGTGTGTATTCAACTGACAGAGTTGAACCTTCCTTTAGACAGAGCAGATTTGAAAGTCTCTTTTTGTGGAATTTGCAAGTGGAGATTTCAAGCGCTTTGAGGCCAAAAGCAGAAAAGGAAATATTTTCCTATAAAAACTCGACAGAATCTTTCTCAGAAACTGCTCTGGGATGTGTGCGTTCAACTCACAGAGTTTAACTTTTCTTTTCATTCAGCAGTTTGGAAACACTCTGTTTGGAAAGTCTGCACGTGGATATTTTGACCTCTTTGAGGCCTTCGTTGGAAACGGGTTTTTTTCATGTAAGGCTAGACAGAAGAAATCTCAGTAACTTCCTTGTGTTGTGTGTATTCAACTGACAGAGTTGAACCTTCCTTTAGACAGAGCAGATTCGAAACACTCTTTTTCTGCAATTTGCAAGTGGAGACTTCAAGCGCTTTGAGGCCAAAGGCAGAAAAGGAAATATCTTCGTATAAAAACCCGACAGAATCATTCTCAGAAACTGCTCTGTGATGTGTGCGTTCAACTCACAGAGTTTAACTTTTCTTTTCATTCAGCAGTTTGGAAACACTCTGTTTGTAAAGTCTGCAAGTGGATATCTTGGCCTCTTAGAGGCCTTCGTTGGAAACGGGTTTTTTCATGTAAGGTTAGACAGAGGAATTCCCAGTAACTTCCTTGTGTTGTGTGCATTCAACTCACAGAGTTGAATGATTCTTTACACAGAGCAGATTTGAGACACTCTTTTGGTGGAATTTGTAAGTGGAGAATTCAGCCGCTTTGAGGTCAACGGTAGAAAAGGAAATATCTTCGTATAAAAACTAGACAGAATGATTCTCAGAAACTGTTTTGTGATGTGTGCGTTCAACTCACAGAGTTTAACCTTTCTTTTCAAAGAGCAGTTAGGAAACACTCTGTTTGTAAAGTCTGCAAGTGGATATTCAGACCTCTTTGAGGCCTTCGTTGGAAACGGGATTTCTTCATATTATGCTAGACAGATGAATTCTCAGTAACTTCCTTGTGTTGTGTGTATTCAACTCACAGAGTTAAACGATCCTTTACACAGAGCAGATTTGAAACACTGTTTTTCTGGAATTTGCAAATGGAGATTTCAGCCACTTTGAGGTCAATGGTAGAAAAGGAAATATCTTCGTATAAAAACTAGACAGAATGATTCTCAGAAACTCCTTTGTGATGTGTGCGTTCAACTCACAGAGTTTAACCTTTCTTTTCACAGAGCAGTTAGGAAACACTCTGTTTGTGAAGCCTGCCAGTGGATATTCGGACCTCTTTGAGGCCTTCGTTGGAAACGGGATTTCTTCATATTATGCTAGACAGAAGATTTCTCAGTAACTTCTTTGTGTTGTGTGTATGCAACTCACAGAGTTCAACCTTCCTTTAGACAGAGCAGATTTGAAACACTCTTTTTGTGGAATTTGCAAGTGGAGATTTCAAGCGCTTTGAGGCCAAAAGCAGAAAAGGAAATATTTTCCTATAAAAACTAGACAGAATCTTTCTCAGAAACTGCTCTGTGATGTGTGCGTTCAACTCACAGAGTTTAACTTTTCTTTTCATTCAGCAGTTTGGAAACACTCTGTTTGTAAAGTCTGCAAGTGGATATCTTGGCCTCTTAGAGGCCTTCGTTGGAAACGGGTTTTTTCATATAAGGATAGACAGAGGAATTCCCAGTAACTTCCTTGTGTTGTGTGCATTCAACTCACAGAGTTGAATGATTCTTTACACAGAGCAGATTTGAGACACTCTTTTGGTGGAATTTGTAAGTGGAGAATTCCGCCGCTTTGAGGTCAATGGTAGGCAAGGAAATATCTTCGTATAAAAACAAGACAGAATGATTCTCAGAAACTGTTTTGTGATGTGTGCGTTCAACTCACAGAGTTTAACCTTTCTTTTCAAAGAGCAGTTAGGAAACACTCTGTTTGTAAAGTCTGCAAGTGGATATTCAGACCTCTTTGAGGCCTTCGTTGGAAACGGGATTTCTTCATATTATGCTAGACAGATGAATTCTCAGTAACTTCCCTTGTGTTGTGTGTATTCAACTCACAGAGTTGAACGATCCTTTACACAGAGCAGATTTGAAACACTGTTTTTCTGGAATTTGCAAGTGGAGATTTCAGCCGCTTTGAGGTCAATGGTAGAAAAGGAAATATCTTCGTATAAAAACTAGACAGAATGATTCTCAGAAACTCCTTTGTGATGTGTGCGTTCAACTCACAGAGTTTAACCTTTCTTTTCACAGAGCAGTTAGGAAACACTCTGTTTGTGAAGCCTGCCAGTGGATATTCGGACCTCTTTGAGGCCTTCGTTGGAAACGGGATTTCTTCATATTATGCTAGACAGAAGATTTCTCAGTAACTTCTTTGTGTTGTGTGTATGCAACTCACAGAGTTCAACCTTCCTTTAGACAGAGCAGATTTGAAACACTCTTTTTGTGGAATTTGCAAGTGGAGATTTCAAGCGCTTCGATGCCAATGGTAGAAAAGGAAATATCTTCGTATAAAAACAAGACAAACTCGTTCCCAGACACTGCGTAGTGATGTGTGTGTTTAACTCACAGAGTTTAACCTTTCTTTTCATACAGCATTCTGGAAACCCTGTGTTTGTAAAGTCTGCAAGTGGATATTTGGACCTCTTAGATGCCTTCGTTGGAAACGGGATTTCTTCATATAATGCTAGAGGGAAGAATTCTTAGTAACTTCTTTGTGTTGTGTGTATTCAACTGACAGAGTTGAACCTTCCTTTAGACAGAGCAGATTTGAAAGTCTCTTTTTGTGGAATTTGCAAGTGGAGATTTCAAGCGCTTTGAGGCCAAAAGCAGAAAAGGAAATATTTTCCTATAAAAACTAGACAGAATCATTCTCAGAAACTGCTCTGTGATGTGTGCGTTCAACTCACAGAGTTTAACTTTTCTTTTCATTCAGCAGTTTGGAAACACTGTTTGGAAAGTCTGCACGTGGATATTTTGACCTCTTTGAGGCCTTCGTTGGAAACGGGTTTTTTTCATGTAAGGCTAGACAGAAGAAATCTCAGTAACTTCCTTGTGTTGTGTGTATTCAACTGACAGAGTTGAACCTTCCTTTAGACAGAGCAGATTCGAAACACTCTTTTTCTGCAATTTGCAAGTGGAGACTTCAAGCGCTTTGAGGCCAAAGGCAGAAAAGGAAATATCTTCGTATAAAAACCCGACAGAATCATTCTCAGAAACTGCTCTGTGATGTGTGCGTTCAACTCACAGAGTTTAACTTTTCTTTTCATTCAGCAGTTTGGAAACACTCTGTTTGTAAAGTCTGCAAGTGGATATCTTGGCGTCTTAGAGGCCTTCGTTGGAAACGGGTTTTTTCATGTAAGGATAGACAGAGGAATTCCCAGTAACTTCCTTGTGTTGTGTGCATTCAACTCACAGAGTTGAATGATTCTTTACACAGAGCAGATTTGAGACACTCTTTTGGTGGAATTTGTAAGTGGAGAATTCAGCCGCTTTGAGGTCAACGGTAGAAAAGGAAATATCTTCGTATAAAAACTAGACAGAATGATTCTCAGAAACTGTTTTGTGATGTGTGCGTTCAACTCACACAGTTTAACCTTTCTTTTCAGAGAGCAGTTAGGAAACACTCTGTTTGTAAAGTCTGCAAGTGGATATTCAGACCTCTTTGAGGCCTTCGTTGGAAACGGGATTTCTTCATATTATGCTAGACAGATGAATTCTCAGTAACTTCCTTGTGTTGTGTGTATTCAACTCACAGAGTTGAACGATCCTTTACACAGAGCAGATTTGAAACACTGTTTTTCTGGAATTTGCAAGTGGAGATGTCAGCCGCTTTGAGGTCAATGGTAGAAAAGGAAATATCTTCGTATAAAAACTAGACAGAATGATTCTCAGAAACTCCTTTGTGATGTGTGCGTTCAACTCACAGGGTTTAACCTTTCTTTTCACAGAGCAGTTAGGAAACACTCTGTTTGTGAAGCCTGCCAGTGGATATTCGGACCTCTTTGAGGCCTTCGTTGGAAACGGGATTTCTTCATATTATGCTAGACAGAAGATTTCTCAGTAACTTCTTTGTGTTGTGTGTATGCAACTCACAGAGTTCAACCTTCCTTTAGACAGAGCAGATTTGAAACACTCTTTTTGTGGAATTTGCAAGTGGAGATTTCAAGCGCTTCGATGCCAATGGTAGAAAAGGAAATATCTTCGTATAAAAACAAGACAAACTCGTTCCCAGACACTGCGTAGTGATGTGTGTGTTTAACTCACAGAGTTTAACCTTTCTTTTCATACAGCATTCTGGAAACCCTGTGTTTGTAAAGTCTGCAAGTGGATATTTGGACCTCTTAGATGCCTTCGTTGGAAACGGGATTTCTTCATATAATGCTAGAGGGAAGAATTCTTAGTAACTTCTTTGTGTTGTGTGTATTCAACTGACAGAGTTGAACCTTCCTTTAGACAGAGCAGATTTGAAAGTCTCTTTTTGTGGAATTTGCAAGTGGAGATTTCAAGCGCTTTGAGGCCAAAAGCAGAAAAGGAAATATTTTCCTATAAAAACTCGACAGAATCTTTCTCAGAAACTGCTCTGGGACGTGTGCGTTCAACTCACAGAGTTTAACTTTTCTTTTCATTCAGCAGTTTGGAAACACTCTGTTTGGAAAGTCTGCACGTGGATATTTTGACCTCTTTGAGGCCTTTGTTGGAAACGGGTTTTTTTCATGTAAGGCTAGACAGAAGAAATCTCAGTAACTTCCTTGTGTTGTGTGTATTCAACTGACAGAGTTGAACCTTCCTTTAGACAGAGCAGATTCGAAACACTCTTTTTCTGCAATTTGCAAGTGGAGACTTCAAGCGCTTTGAGGCCAAAGGCAGAAAAGGAAATATCTTCGTATAAAAACCCGACAGAATCATTCTCAGAAACTGCTCTGTGATGTGTGCGTTCAACTCACAGAGTTTAACTTTTCTTTTCATTCAGCAGTTTGGAAACACTCTGTTTGTAAAGTCTGCAAGTGGATATCTTGGCCTCTTAGAGGCCTTCGTTGGAAACGGGTTTTTTCATGTAAGGTTAGACAGAGGAATTCCCAGTAACTTCCTTGTGTTGTGTGCATTCAACTCACAGAGTTGAATGATTCTTTACACAGAGCAGTTTTGAGACACTCTTTTGGTGGAATTTGTAAGTGGAGAATTCAGCCGCTTTGAGGTCAACGGTAGAAAAGGAAATATCTTCGTATAAAAACTAGACAGAATGATTCTCAGAGACTGTTTTGTGATGTGTGCGTTCAACTCACAGAGTTTAACCTTTCTTTTCAAAGAGCAGTTAGGAAACACTCTGTTTGTAAAGTCTGCAAGTGGATATTCAGACCTCTTTGAGGCCTTCGTTGGAAACGGGATTTCTTCATATTATGCTAGACAGATGAATTCTCAGTAACTTCCTTGTGTTGTGTGTATTCAACTCACAGAGTTGAACGATCCTTTACACAGAGCAGATTTGAAACACTGTTTTCCTGGAATTTGCAAGTGGAGATTTCAGCCGCTTTGAGGTCAATGGTAGAAAAGGAAATATCTTCGTATAAAAACTAGACAGAATGATTCTCAGAAACTCCTTTGTGATGTGTGCGTTCAACTCACAGAGTTTAACCTTTCTTTTCACAGAGCAGTTAGGAAACACTCTGTTTGTGAAGCCTGCCAGTGGATATTCGGACCTCTTTGAGGCCTTCGTTGGAAACGGGATTTCTTCATATTATGCTAGACAGAAGATTTCTCAGTAACTTCTTTGTGTTGTGTGTATGCAACTCACAGAGTTCAACCTTCCTTTAGACAGAGCAGATTTGAAACACTCTTTTTGTGGAATTTGCAAGTGGAGATTTCAAGCGCTTCGATGCCAATGGTAGAAAAGGAAATATCTTCGTATAAAAACAAGACAAACTCGTTCCCAGACACTGCGTAGTGATGTGTGTGTTTAACTCACAGAGTTTCACCTTTCTTTTCATACAGCATTCTGGAAACCCTCTGTTTGTAAAGTCTGCAAGTGGATATTTGGACCTCTTAGATGCCTTCGTTGGAAACGGGATTTCTTCATATAATGCTAGAGGGAAGAATTCTTAGTAACTTCTTTGTGTTGTGTGTATTCAACTGACAGAGTTGAACCTTCCTTTAGACAGAGCAGATTTGAAAGTCTCTTTTTGTGGAATTTGCAAGTGGAGATTTCAAGCGCTTTGAGGCCAAAGGCAGAAAAGGAAATATCTTCGTATAAAAACCCGACAGAATCATTCTCAGAAACTGCTCTGTGATGTGTGCGTTCAACTCACAGAGTTTAACTTTTCTTTTCATTCAGCAGTTTGGAAACACTGTTTGGAAAGTCTGCACGTGGATATTTTGACCTCTTTGAGGCCTTCGTTGGAAACGGGTTTTTTTCATGTAAGGCTAGACAGAAGAAATCTCAGTAACTTCCTTGTGTTGTGTGTATTCAACTGACAGAGTTGAACCTTCCTTTAGACAGAGCAGATTCGAAACACTCTTTTTCTGCAATTTGCAAGTGGAGACTTCAAGCGCTTTGAGGCCAAAGGCAGAAAAGGAAATATCTTCGTATAAAAACCCGACAGAATCATTCTCAGAAACTGCTCTGTGATGTGTGCGTTCAACTCACAGAGTTTAACTTTTCTTTTCATTCAGCAGTTTGGAAACACTCTGTTTGTAAAGTCTGCAAGTGGATATCTTGGCCTCTTAGAGGCCTTCGTTGGAAACGGGTTTTTTCATGTAAGGATAGACAGAGGAATTCCCAGTAACTTTCCTTGTGTTGTGTGCATTCAACTCACAGAGTTGAATGATTCTTTACACAGAGCAGATTTGAGACACTCTTTGGGTGGAATTTGTAAGTGGAGAATTCAGCCGCTTTGAGGTCAACGGTAGAAAAGGAAATATCTTCGTATAAAAACTAGACAGAATGATTCTCAGAAACTGTTTTGTGATGTGTGCGTTCAACTCACAGAGTTTAACCTTTCTTTTCAAAGAGCAGTTAGGAAACACTCTGTTTGTAAAGTCTGCAAGCGGATATTCAGACCTCTTTGAGGCCTTCGTTGGAAACGGGATTTCTTCATATTATGCTAGACAGATGAATTCTCAGTAACTTCCTTGTGTTGTGTGTATTCAACTCACAGAGTTGAACGATCCTTTACACAGAGCAGATTTGAAACACTGTTTTTCTGGAATTTGCAAGTGGAGATTTCAGCCGCTTTGAGGTCAATGGTAGAAAAGGAAATATCTTCGTATAAAAACTAGACAGAATGATTCTCAGAAACTCCTTTGTGATGTGTGCGTTCAACTCACAGAGTTTAACCTTTCTTTTCACAGAGCAGTTAGGAAACACTCTGTTTGTGAAGCCTGCCAGTGGATATTCGGACCTCTTTGAGGCCTTCGTTGGAAACGGGATTTCTTCATATTATGCTAGACAGAAGATTTCTCAGTAACTTCTTTGTGTTGTGTGTATGCAACTCACAGAGTTCAACCTTCCTTTAGACAGAGCAGATTTGAAACACTCTTTTTGTGGAATTTGCAAGTGGAGATTTCAAGCGCTTCGATGCCAATGGTAGAAAAGGAAATATCTTCGTATAAAAACAAGACAAACTCGTTCCCAGACACTGCGTAGTGATGTGTGTGTTTAACTCACAGAGTTTAACCTTTCTTTTCATACAGCATTCTGGAAACCCTGTGTTTGTAAAGTCTGCAAGTGGATATTTGGACCTCTTAGATGCCTTCGTTGGAAACGGGATTTCTTCATATAATGCTAGAGGGAAGAATTCTTAGTAACTTCTTTGTGTTGTGTGTATTCAACTGACAGAGTTGAACCTTCCTTTAGACAGAGCAGATTTGAAAGTCTCTTTTTGTGGAATTTGCAAGTGGAGATTTCAAGCGCTTTGAGGCCAAAAGCAGAAAAGGAAATATTTTCCTATAAAAACTAGACAGAATCTTTCTCAGAAACTGCTCTGGGATGTGTGCGTTCAACTCACAGAGTTTAACTTTTCTTTTCATTCAGCAGTTTGGAAACACTCTGTTTGGAAAGTCTGCACGTGGATATTTTGACCTCTTTGAGGCCTTCGTTGGAAACGGGTTTTTTTCATGTAAGGCTAGACAGAAGAAATCTCAGTAACTTCCTTGTGTTGTGTGTATTCAACTGACAGAGTTGAACCTTCTTTTAGACAGAGCAGATTCGAAACACTCTTTTTCTGCAATTTGCAAGTGGAGACTTCAAGCGCTTTGAGGCCAAAGGCAGAAAAGGAAATATTCTTCGTATAAAAACCCGACAGAATCATTCTCAGAAACTGCTCTGTGATGTGTGCGTTCAACTCACAGAGTTTAACTTTTCTTTTCATTCAGCAGTTTGGAAACACTCTGTTTGTAAAGTCTGCAAGTGGATATCTTGGCCTCTTAGAGGCCTTCGTTGGAAGCGGGTTTTTTCATGTAAGGTTAGACAGAGGAATTCCCACTAACTTCCTTGTGTTGTGTGCATTCAACTCACAGAGTTGAATGATTCTTTACACAGAGCAGATTTGAGACACTCTTTTGGTGGAATTTGTAAGTGGAGAATTCAGCCGCTTTGATGTCAACGGTAGAAAAGGAAATATCTTCGTATAAAAACTAGACAGAATGATTCTCAGAAACTGTTTTGTGATGTGTGCTTTCAACTCACAGAGTTTAACCTTTCTTTTCAAAGAGCAGTTAGGAAACACTCTGTTTGTAAAGTCTGCAAGTGGATATTCAGACCTCTTTGAGGCCTTCGTTGGAAACGGGATTTCTTCATATTATGCTAGACAGATGAATTCTCAGTAACTTCCTTGTGTTGTGTGTATTCAACTCACAGAGTTGAACGATCCTTTACACAGAGCAGATTTGAAACACTGTTTTTCTGGAATTTGCAAGTGGAGATGTCAGCCGCTTTGAGGTCAATGGTAGAAAAGGAAATATCTTCGTATAAAAACTAGACAGAATGATTCTCAGAAACTCCTTTGTGATGTGTGCGTTCAACTCACAGAGTTTAACCTTTCTTTTCACAGAGCAGTTAGGAAACACTCTGTTTGTGAAGCCTGTCAGTGGATATTCGGACCTCTTTGAGGCCTTCGTTGGAAACGGGATTTCTTCATATTATGCTAGACAGAAGATTTCTCAGTAACTTCTTTGTGTTGTGTGTATGCAACTCACAGAGTTCAACCTTCCTTTAGACAGAGCAGATTTGAAACACTCTTTTTGTGGAATTTGCAAGTGGAGATTTCAAGCGCTTCGATGCCAATGGTAGAAAAGGAAATATCTTCGTATAAAAACAAGACAAACTCGTTCCCAGACACTGCGTAGTGATGTGTGTGTTTAACTCACAGAGTTTAACCTTTCTTTTCATACAGCATTCTGGAAACCCTGTGTTTGTAAAGTCTGCAAGTGGATATTTGGACCTCTTAGATGCCTTCGTTGGAAACGGGATTTCTTCATATAATGCTAGAGGGAAGAATTCTTAGTAACTTCTTTGTGTTGTGTGTATTCAACTGACAGAGTTGAACCTTCCTTTAGACAGAGCAGATTTGAAAGTCTCTTTCTGTGGAATTTGCAAGTGGAGATTTCAAGCGCTTTGAGGCCAAAAGCAGAAAAGGAAATATTTTCCTATAAAAACTCGACAGAATCTTTCTCAGAAACTGCTCTGGGATGTGTGCGTTCAACTCACAGAGTTTAACTTTTCTTTTCATTCAGCAGTTTGGAAACACTCTGTTTGGAAAGTCTGCACGTGGATATTTTGACCTCTTTGAGGCCTTCGTTGGAAACGGGTTTTTTTCATGTAAGGCTAGACAGAAGAAATCTCAGTAACTTCCTTGTGTTGTGTGTATTCAACTGACAGAGTTGAACCTTCCTTTAGACAGAGCAGATTCGAAACACTCTTTTTCTGCAATTTGCAAGTGGAGACTTCAAGCGCTTTGAGGCCAAAGGCAGAAAAGGAAATATCTTCGTATAAAAACCCGACAGAATCATTCTCAGAAACTGCTCTGTGATGTGTGCGTTCAACTCACAGAGTTTAACTTTTCTTTTCATTCAGCAGTTTGGAAACACTCTGTTTGTAAAGTCTGCAAGTGGATATCTTGGCCTCTTAGAGGCCTTCGTTGGAAACGGGTTTTTTCATGTAAGGATAGACAGAGGAATTCCCAGTAACTTCCTTGTGTTGTGTGCATTCAACTCACAGAGTTGAATGATTCTTTACACAGAGCAGATTTGAGACACTCTTTTGGTGGAATTTGTAAGTGGAGAATTCAGCCGCTTTGAGGTCAACGGTAGAAAAGGAAATATCTTCGTATAAAAACTAGACAGAATGATTCTCAGAAACTGTTTTGTGATGTGTGCGTTCAACTCACAGAGTTTAACCTTTCTTTTCAAAGAGCAGTTAGGAAACACTCTGTTTGTAAAGTCTGCAAGTGGATATTCAGACCTCTTTGAGGCCTTCGTTGGAAACGGGATTTCTTCATATTATGCTAGACAGATGAATTCTCAGTAACTTCCTTGTGTTGTGTGTATTCAACTCACAGAGTTGAACGATCCTTTACACAGAGCAGATTTGAAACACTGTTTTTCTGGAATTTGCAAGTGGAGATTTCAGCCGCTTTGAGGTCAATGGTAGAAAAGGAAATATCTTCGTATAAAAACTAGACAGAATGATTCTCAGAAACTCCTTTGTGATGTGTGCGTTCAACTCACAGAGTTTAACCTTTCTTTTCACAGAGCAGTTAGGAAACACTCTGTTTGTGAAGCCTGCCAGTGGATATTCGGACCTCTTTGAGGCCTTCGTTGGAAACGGGATTTCTTCATATTATGCTAGACAGAAGATTTCTCAGTAACTTCTTTGTGTTGTGTGTATGCAACTCACAGAGTTCAACCTTCCTTTAGACAGAGCAGATTTGAAACACTCTTTTTGTGGAATTTGCAAGTGGAGATTTCAAGCGCTTCGATGCCAATGGTAGAAAAGGAAATATCTTCGTATAAAAACAAGACAAACTCGTTCCCAGACACTGCGTAGTGATGTGTGTGTTTAACTCACAGAGTTTCACCTTTCTTTTCATACAGCATTCTGGAAACCCTCTGTTTGTAAAGTCTGCAAGTGGATATTTGGACCTCTTAGATGCCTTCGTTGCAAACGGGATTTCTTCATATAATGCTAGAGGGAAGAATTCTTAGTAACTTCTTTGTGTTGTGTGTATTCAACTGACAGAGTTGAACCTTCCTTTAGACAGAGCAGATTTGAAAGTCTCTTTTTGTGGAATTTGCAAGTGGAGATTTCAAGCGCTTTGAGGCCAAAAGCAGAAAAGGAAATATTTTCCTATAAAAACTAGACAGAATCTTTCTCAGAAACTGCTCTGGGATGTGTGCGTTCAACTCACAGAGTTTAACTTTTCTTTTCATTCAGCAGTTTGGAAACACTCTGTTTGGAAAGTCTGCACGTGGATATTTTGACCTCTTTGAGGCCTTCGTTGGAAACGGGTTTTTTTCATGTAACGCTAGACAGAAGAAATCTCAGTAACTTTCCTTGTGTTGTGTGTATTCAACTGACAGAGTTGAACCTTCTTTTAGACAGAGCAGATTCGAAACACTCTTTTTCTGCAATTTGCAAGTGGAGACTTCAAGCGCTTTGAGGCCAAAGGCAGAAAAGGAAATATCTTCGTATAAAAACCCGACAGAATCATTCTCAGAAACTGCTCTGTGATGTGTGCGTTCAACTCACAGAGTTTAACTTTTCTTTTCATTCAGCAGTTTGGAAACACTCTGTTTGTAAAGTCTGCAAGTGGATATCTTGGCCTCTTAGAGGCCTTCGTTGGAAGCGGGTTTTTTCATGTAAGGTTAGACAGAGGAATTCCCACTAACTTCCTTGTGTTGTGTGCATTCAACTCACAGAGTTGAATGATTCTTTACACAGAGCAGATTTGAGACACTCTTTTGGTGGAATTTGTAAGTGGAGAATTCAGCCGCTTTGATGTCAACGGTAGAAAAGGAAATATCTTCGTATAAAAACTAGACAGAATGATTCTCAGAAACTGTTTTGTGATGTGTGCTTTCAACTCACAGAGTTTAACCTTTCTTTTCAAAGAGCAGTTAGGAAACACTCTGTTTGTAAAGTCTGCAAGTGGATATTCAGACCTCTTTGAGGCCTTCGTTGGAAACGGGATTTCTTCATATTATGCTAGACAGATGAATTCTCAGTAACTTCCTTGTGTTGTGTGTATTCAACTCACAGAGTTGAACGATCCTTTATACAGAGCAGATTTGAAACACTGTTTTTCTGGAATTTGCAAGTGGAGATTTCAGCCGCTTTGAGGTCAATGGTAGAAAAGGAAATATCTTCGTATAAAAACTGGACAGAATGATTCTCAGAAACTCCTTTGTGATGTGTGCGTTCAACTCACAGAGTTTAACCTTTCTTTTCACAGAGCAGTTAGGAAACACTCTGTTTGTGAAGCCTGCCAGTGGATATTCGGACCTCTTTGAGGCCTTCGTTGGAAACGGGATTTCTTCATATTATGCTAGACAGAAGATTTCTCAGTAACTTCTTTGTGTTGTGTGTATGCAACTCACAGAGTTCAACCTTCCTTTAGACAGAGCAGATTTGAAACACTCTTTTTGTGGAATTTGCAAGTGGAGATTTCAAGCGCTTCGATGCCAATGGTAGAAAAGGAAATATCTTCGTATAAAAACAAGACAAACTCGTTCCCAGACACTGCGTAGTGATGTGTGTGTTTAACTCACAGAGTTTAACCTTTCTTTTCATACAGCATTCTGGAAACCCTGTGTTTGTAAAGTCTGCAAGTGGATATTTGGACCTCTTAGATGCCTTCGTTGGAAACGGGATTTCTTCATATAATGCTAGAGGGAAGAATTCTTAGTAACTTCTTTGTGTTGTGTGTATTCAACTGACAGAGTTGAACCTTCCTTTAGACAGAGCAGAGTTGAAAGTCTCTTTTTGTGGAATTTGCAAGTGGAGATTTCAAGCGCTTTGAGGGCAAAAGCAGAAAAGGAAATATTTTCCTATAAAAACTCGACAGAATCTTTCTCAGAAACTGCTCTGGGATGTGTGCGTTCAACTCACAGAGTTTAACTTTTCTTTTCATTCAGCAGTTTGGAAACACTCTGTTTGGAAAGTCTGCACGTGGATATTTTGACCTCTTTGAGGCCTTCGTTGGAAACGGGTTTTTTTCATGTAAGGCTAGACAGAAGAAATCTCAGTAACTTCCTTGTGTTGTGTGTATTCAACTGACAGAGTTGAACCTTCCTTTAGACAGAGCAGATTCGAAACACTCTTTTTCTGCAATTTGCAAGTGGAGACTTCAAGCGCTTTGAGGCCAAAGGCAGAAAAGGAAATATCTTCGTATAAAAACCCGACAGAATCATTCTCAGAAACTGCTCTGTGATGTGTGCGTTCAACTCACAGAGTTTAACTTTTCTTTTCATTCAGCAGTTTGGAAACACTCTGTTTGTAAAGTCTGCAAGTGGATATCTTGGCCTCTTAGAGGCCTTCGTTGGAAACGGGTTTTTTCATGTAAGGATAGACAGAGGAATTCCCAGTAACTTCCTTGTGTTGTGTGCATTCAACTCACAGAGTTGAATGATTCTTTACACAGAGCAGATTTGAGACACTCTTTTGGTGGAATTTGTAAGTGGAGAATTCAGCCGCTTTGAGGTCAACGGTAGAAAAGGAAATATCTTCGTATAAAAACTAGACAGAATGATTCTCAGAAACTGTTTTTTGATGTGTGCGTTCAACTCACAGAGTTTAACCTTTCTTTTCAAAGAGCAGTTAGGAAACACTCTGTTTGTAAAGTCTGCAAGTGGATATTCAGACCTCTTTGAGGCCTTCGTTGGAAACGGGATTTCTTCATATTATGCTAGACAGATGAATTCTCAGTAACTTCCTTGTGTTGTGTGTATTCAACTCACAGAGTTGAACGATCCTTTACACAGAGCAGATTTGAAACACTGTTTTTCTGGAATTTGCAAGTGGAGATTTCAGCCGCTTTGAGGTCAATGGTAGAAAAGGAAATATCTTCGTATAAAAACTAGACAGAATGATTCTCAGAAACTCCTTTGTGATGTGTGCGTTCAACTCACAGAGTTTAACCTTTCTTTTCACAGAGCAGTTAGGAAACACTCTGTTTGTGAAGCCTGCCAGTGGATATTCGGACCTCTTTGAGGCCTTCGTTGGAAACGGGATTTCTTCATATTATGCTAGACAGAAGATTTCTCAGTAACTTCTTTGTGTTGTGTGTATGCAACTCACAGAGTTCAACCTTCCTTTAGACAGAGCAGATTTGAAACACTCTTTTTGTGGAATTTGCAAGTGGAGATTTCAAGCGCTTCGATGCCAATGGTAGAAAAGGAAATATCTTCGTATAAAAACAAGACAAACTCGTTCCCAGACACTGCGTAGTGATGTGTGTGTTTAACTCACAGAGTTTAACCTTTCTTTTCATACAGCATTCTGGAAACCCTCTGTTTGTAAAGTCTGCAAGTGGATATTTGGACCTCTTAGATGCCTTCGTTGGGAACGGGATTTCTTCATATAATGCTAGAGGGAAGAATTCTTAGTAACTTCTTTGTGTTGTGTGTATTCAACTGACAGAGTTGAACCTTCCTTTAGACAGAGCAGATTTGAAAGTCTCTTTTTGTGGAATTTGCAAGTGGAGATTTCAAGCGCTTTGAGGCCAAAAGCAGAAAAGGAAATATTTTCCTATAAAACCTCGACAGAATCTTTCTCCGAAACTGCTCTGGGATGTGTGCGTTCAACTCACAGAGTTTAACTTTTCTTTTCATTCAGCAGTTTGGAAACACTCTGTTTGGAAAGTCTGCACGTGGATATTTTGACCTCTTTGAGGCCTTCGTTGGAAACGGGTTTTTTTCATGTAAGGCTAGACAGAAGAAATCTCAGTAACTTCCTTGTGTTGTGTGTATTCAACTGACAGAGTTGAACCTTCCTTTAGACAGAGCAGATTCGAAACACTCTTTTTCTGCAATTTGCAAGTGGAGACTTCAAGCGCTTTGAGGCCAAAGGCAGAAAAGGAAATATCTTCATATAAAAACCCGACAGAATCATTCTCAGAAACTGCTCTGTGATGTGTGCGTTCAACTCACAGAGTTTAACTTTTCTTTTCATTCAGCAGTTTGGAAACACTCTGTTTGTAAAGTCTGCAAGTGGATATCTTGGCCTCTTAGAGGCCTTCGTTGGAAACGGGTTTTTTCATGTAAGGTTAGACAGAGGAATTCCCAGTAACTTCCTTGTGTTGTGTGCATTCAACTCACAGAGTTGAATGATTCTTTACACAGAGCAGATTTGAGACACTCTTTTGGTGGAATTTGTAAGTGGAGAATTCAGCCGCTTTGAGGTCAACGGTAGAAAAGGAAATATCTTCGTATAAAAACTAGACAGAATGATTCTCAGAAACTGTTTTGTGATGTGTGCGTTCAACTCACAGAGTTTAACCTTTCTTTTCAAAGAGCAGTTAGGAAACACTCTGTTTGTAAAGTCTGCAAGTGGATATTCAGACCTCTTTGAGGCCTTCGTTGGAAACGGGATTTCTTCATATTATGCTAGACAGATGAATTCTCAGTAACTTCCTTGTGTTGTGTGTATTCAACTCACAGAGTTGAACGATCCTTTACACAGAGCAGATTTGAAACACTGTTTTTCTGGAATTTGCAAGTGGAGATTTCAGCCGCTTTGAGGTCAATGGTAGAAAAAGAAATATCTTCGTATAAAAACTAGACAGAATGATTCTCAGAAACTCCTTTGTGATGTGTGCGTTCAACTCACAGAGTTTAACCTTTCTTTTCACAGAGCAGTTAGGAAACACTCTGTTTGTGAAGCCTGCCAGTGGATATTCGGACCTCTTTGAGGCCTTCGTTGGAAACGGGATTTCTTCATATTATGCTAGACAGAAGATTTCTCAGTAACTTCTTTGTGTTGTGTGTATGCAACTCACAGAGTTCAACCTTCCTTTAGACAGAGCAGATTTGAAACACTCTTTTTGTGGAATTTGCAAGTGGAGATTTCAAGCGCTTCGATGCCAATGGTAGAAAAGGAAATATCTTCGTATAAAAACAAGACAAACTCGTTCCCAGACACTGCGTAGTGATGTGTGTGTTTAACTCACAGAGTTTAACCTTTCTTTTCATACAGCATTCTGGAAACCCTGTGTTTGTAAAGTCTGCAAGTGGATATTTGGACCTCTTAGATGCCTTCGTTGGAAACGGGATTTCTTCATATAATGCTAGAGGGAAGAATTCTTAGTAACTTCTTTGTGTTGTGTGTATTCAACTGACAGAGTTGAACCTTCCTTTAGACAGAGCAGATTTGAAAGTCTCTTTTTGTGGAATTTGCAAGTGGAGATTTCAAGCGCTTTGAGGCCAAAAGCAGAAAAGGAAATATTTTCCTATAAAAACTCGACAGAATCTTTCTCAGAAACTGCTCTGGGATGTGTGCGTTCAACTCACAGAGTTTAACTTTTCTTTTCATTCAGCAGTTTGGAAACACTCTGTTTGGAAAGTCTGCACGTGGATATTTTGACCTCTTTGAGGCCTTCGTTGGAAACGGGTTTTTTTCATGTAAGGCTAGACAGAAGAAATCTCAGTAACTTCCTTGTGTTGTGTGTATTCAACTGACAGAGTTGAACCTTCCTTTAGACAGAGCAGATTCGAAACACTCTTTTTCTGCAATTTGCAAGTGGAGACTTCAAGCGCTTTGAGGCCAAAGGCAGAAAAGGAAATATCTTCGTATAAAAACCCGACAGAATCATTCTCAGAAACTGCTCTGTGATGTGTGCGTTCAACTCACAGAGTTTAACTTTTCTTTTCATTCAGCAGTTTGGAAACACTCTGTTTGTAAAGTCTGCAAGTGGATATCTTGGCCTCTTAGAGGCCTTCGTTGGAAACGGGTTTTTTCATGTAAGGTTAGACAGAGGAATTCCCAGTAACTTCCTTGTGTTGTGGGCATTCAACTCACAGAGTTGAATGATTCTTTACACAGAGCAGATTTGAGACACTCTTTGGGTGGAATTTGTAAGTGGAGAATTCAGCCGCTTTGAGGTCAACGGTAGAAAAGGAAATATCTTCGTATAAAAACTAGACAGAATGATTCTCAGAAACTGTTTTGTGATGTGTGCGTTCAACTCACAGAGTTTAACCTTTCTTTTCAAAGAGCAGTTAGGAAACACTCTGTAAAGTCTGCAAGTGGATATTCAGACCTCTTTGAGGCCTTCGTTGGAAACGGGATTTCTTCATATTATGCTAGACAGATGAATTCTCAGTAACTTCCTTGTGTTGTGTGTATTCAACTCACAGAGTTGAACGATCCTTTACACAGAGCAGATTTGAAACACTGTTTTTCTGGAATTTGCAAGTGGAGATGTCAGCCGCTTTGAGGTCAATGGTAGAAAAGGAAATATCTTCGTATAAAAACTAGACAGAATGATTCTCAGAAACTCCTTTGTGATGTGTGCGTTCAACTCACAGAGTTTAACCTTTCTTTTCACAGAGCAGTTAGGAAACACTCTGTTTGTGAAGCCTGCCAGTGGATATTCAGACCTCTTTCAGGCCTTCGTTGGAAACGGGATTTCTTCATATTATGCTAGACAGAAGATTTCTCAGTAACTTCTTTGTGTTGTGTGTATGCAACTCACAGAGTTCAACCTTCCTTTAGACAGAGCAGATTTGAAACACTCTTTTTGTGGAATTTGCAAGTGGAGATTTCAAGCGCTTCGATGCCAATGGTAGAAAAGGAAATATCTTCGTATAAAAACAAGACAAACTCGTTCCCAGACACTGCGTACTGATGTGTGTGTTTAACTCACAGAGTTTAACCTTTCTGTTCATACAGCATTCTGGAAACCCTCTGTTTGTAAAGTCTGCAAGTGGATATTTGGACCTCTTAGATGCCTTCTTTGGAAACGGGATTTCTTCATATAATGCTAGAGGGAAGAATTCTTAGTAACTTCTTTGTGTTGTGTGTATTCAACTGACAGAGTTGAACCTTCCCTTTAGACAGAGCAGATTTGAAAGTCTCTTTTTGTGGAATTTGCAAGTGGAGATTTCAAGCGCTTTGAGGCCAAAAGCAGAAAAGGAAATATTTTCCTATAAAAACTCGACAGAATCTTTCTCAGAAACTGCTCTGGGATGTGTGCGTTCAACTCACAGAGTTTAACTTTTCTTTTCATTCAGCAGTTTGGAAACACTCTGTTTGGAAAGTCTGCACGTGGATATTTTGACCTCTTTGAGGCCTTCGTTGGAAACGGGTTTTTTTCATGTAAGGCTAGACAGAAGAAATCTCAGTAACTTCCCTTGTGTTGTGTGTATTCAACTGACAGAGTTGAACCTTCCTTTAGACAGAGCAGATTCGAAACACTCTTTTTCTGCAATTTGCAAGTGGAAACTTCAAGCGCTTTGAGGCCAAAGGCAGAAAAGGAAATATCTTCGTATAAAAACCCGACAGAATCACTCTCAGAAACTGCTCTGTGATGTGTGCGTTCAACTCACAGAGTTTAACTTTTCTTTTCATTCAGCAGTTTGGAAACACTCTGTTTGTAAAGTCTGCAAGTGGATATCTTGGCCTCTTAGAGGCCTTCGTTGGAAACGGGTTTTTTCATGTAAGGATAGACAGAGGAATTCCCAGTAACTTCCTTGTGTTGTGTGCATTCAACTCACAGAGTTGAATGATTCTTTACACAGAGCAGATTTGAGACACTCTTTGGGTGGAATTTGTAAGTGGAGAATTCAGCCGCTTTGAGGTCAACGGTAGAAAAGGAAATATCTTCGTATAAAATCTAGACAGAATGATTCTCAGAAACTGTTTTGTGATGTGTGCGTTCAACTCACAGAGTTTAACCTTTCTTTTCAAAGAGCAGTTAGGAAACACTCTGTTTGTAAAGTCTGCAAGTGGATATTCAGACCTCTTTGAGGCCTTCGTTGGAAACGGGATTTCTTCATATTATGCTAGACAGATGAATTCTCAGTAACTTCCCTTGTGTTGTGTGTATTCAACTCACAGAGTTGAACGATCCTTTACACAGAGCAGATTTGAAACACTGTTTTTCTGGAATTTGCAAGTGGAGATTTCAGCTGCTTTGAGGTCAATGGTAGAAAAGGAAATATCTTCGTATAAAAACTAGACAGAATGATTCTCAGAAACTCCTTTGTGATGTGTGCGTTCAACTCACAGAGTTTAACCTTTCTTTTCACAGAGCAGTTAGGAAACACTCTGTTTGTGAAGCCTGCCAGTGGATATTCGGACCTCTTTGAGGCCTTCGTTGGAAACGGGATTACTTCATATTATGCTAGACAGAAGATTTCTCAGTAACTTCTTTGTGTTGTGTGTATGCAACTCACAGAGTTCAACCTTCCTTTAGACAGAGCAGATTTGAAACACTCTTTTTGTGGAATTTGCAAGTGGAGATTTCAAGCGCTTTGAGGCCAAAAGCAGAAAAGGAAATATTTTCCTATAAAAACTAGACAGAATCTTTCTCAGAAACTGCTCTGGGATGTGTGCGTTCAACTCACAGAGTTTAACTTTTCTTTTCATTCAGCAGTTTGGAAACACTCTGTTTGGAAAGTCTGCACGTGGATATTTTGACCTCTTTGAGGCCTTCGTTGGAAACGGGTTTTTTTCATGTAAGGCTAGACAGAAGAAATCTCAGTAACTTCCTTGTGTTGTGTGTATTCAACTGACAGAGTTGAACCTTCTTTTAGACAGAGCAGATTCGAAACACTCTTTTTCTGCAATTTGCAAGTGGAGACTTCAAGCGCTTTGAGGCCAAAGGCAGAAAAGGGAATATCTTCGTATAAAAACCCGACAGAATCATTCTCAGAAACTGCTCTGTGATGTGTGCGTTCAACTCACAGAGTTTAACTTTTCTTTTCATTCAGCAGTTTGGAAACACTCTGTTTGTAAAGTCTGCAAGTGGATATCTTGGCCTCTTAGAGGCCTTCGTTGGAAACGGGTTTTTTCATGTAAGGATAGACAGAGGAATTCCCAGTAACTTCCTTGTGTTGTGTGCATTCAACTCACAGAGTTGAACGATTCTTTACACAGAGCAGATTTGAGACACTCTTTTGGTGGAATTTGTAAGTGGAGAATTCAGCCGCTTTGAGGTCAACGGTAGAAAAGGAAATATCTTCGTATAAAAACTAGACAGAATGATTCTCAGAAACTGTTTTGTGATGTGTGCGTTCAACTCACAGAGTTTAACCTTTCTTTTCAGAGAGCAGTTAGGAAACACTCTGTAAAGTCTGCAAGTGGATATTCAGACCTCTTTGAGGCCTTCGTTGGAAACGGGATTTCTTCATATTATGCTAGACAGATGAATTCTCAGTAACTTCCTTGTGTTGTGTGTATTCAACTCACAGAGTTGAACGATCCTTTACACAGAGCAGATTTGAAACACTGTTTTTCTGGAATTTGCAAGTGGAGATTTCAGCCGCTTTGAGGTCAATGGTAGAAAAGGAAATATCTTCGTATAAAAACTAGACAGAATGATTCTCAGAAACTCCTTTGTGATGTGTGCGTTCAACTCACAGAGTTTAACCTTTCTTTTCACAGAGCAGTTAGGAAACACTCTGTTTGTGAAGCCTGCCAGTGGATATTCGGACCTCTTTGAGGCCTTCGTTGGAAACGGGATTTCTTCATATTATGCTAGACAGAAGATTTCTCAGTAACTTCTTTGTGTTGTGTGTATGCAACTCACAGAGTTCAACCTTCCTTTAGACAGAGCAGATTTGAAACACTCTTTTTGTGGAATTTGCAAGTGGAGATTTCAAGCGCTTCGATGCCAATGGTAGAAAAGGAAATATCTTCGTATAAAAACAAGACAAACTCGTTCCCAGACACTGCGTAGTGATGTGTGTGTTTAACTCACAGAGTTTCACCTTTCTTTTCATACAGCATTCTGGAAACCCTGTGTTTGTAAAGTCTGCAAGTGGATATTTGGACCTCTTAGATGCCTTCGTTGGAAACGGGATTTCTTCATATAATGCTAGAGGGAAGAATTCTTAGTAACTTCTTTGTGTTGTGTGTATTCAACTGACAGAGTTGAACCTTCCTTTAGACAGAGCAGATTTGAAAGTCTCTTTTTGTGGAATTTGCAAGTGGAGATTTCAAGCGCTTTGAGGCCAAAAGCAGAAAAGGAAATATTTTCCTATAAAAACTCGACAGAATCTTTCTCAGAAACTGCTCTGGGATGTGTGCGTTCAACTCACAGAGTTTAACTTTTCTTTTCATTCAGCAGTTTGGAAACACTCTGTTTGGAAAGTCTGCACGTGGATATTTTGACCTCTTTGAGGCCTTCGTTGGAAACGGGTTTTTTTCATGTAAGGCTAGACAGAAGAAATCTCAGTAACTTCCTTGTGTTGTGTGTATTCAACTGACAGAGTTGAACCTTCCTTTAGACAGAGCAGATTCGAAACACTCTTTTTCTGCAATTTGCAAGTGGAGACTTCAAGCGCTTTGAGGCCAAAGGCAGAAAAGGAAATATCTTCGTATAAAAACCCGACAGAATCATTCTCAGAAACTGCTCTGTGATGTGTGCGTTCAACTCACAGAGTTTAACTTTTCTTTTCATTCAGCAGTTTGGAAACACTCTGTTTGTAAAGTCTGCAAGTGGATATCTTGGCCTCTTAGAGGCCTTCGTTGGAAACGGGTTTTTTCATGTAAGGATACACACAGGAATTCCCAGTAACTTCCTTGTGTTGTGTGCATTCAACTCACAGAGTTGAATGATTCTTTACACAGAGCAGATTTGAGACACTCTTTGGGTGGAATTTGTAAGTGGAGAATTCAGCCGCTTTGAGGTCAACGGTAGAAAAGGAAATATCTTCGTATAAAAACTAGACAGAATGATTCTCAGAAACTGTTTTGTGATGTGTGCGTTCAACTCACAGAGTTTAACCTTTCTTTTCAAAGAGCAGTTAGGAAACACTCTGTAAAGTCTGCAAGTGGATATTCAGACCTCTTTGAGGCCTTCGTTGGAAACGGGATTTCTTCATATAATGCTAGAGGGATGAATTCTCAGTAACTTCCTTGTGTTGTGTGTATTCAACTCACAGAGTTGAACGATCCTTTACACAGAGCAGATTTGAAACACTGTTTTTCTGGAATTTGCAAGTGGAGATTTCAGCCGCTTTGAGGTCAATGGTAGAAAAGGAAATATCTTCGTATAAAAACTAGACAGAATGATTCTCAGAAACTCCTTTGTGATGTGTGCGTTCAACTCACAGAGTTTAACCTTTCTTTTCACAGAGCAGTTAGGAAACACTCTGTTTGTGAAGCCTGCCAGGGGATATTCGGACCTCTTTGAGGCCTTCGTTGGAAACGGGATTTCTTCATATTTTGCTAGACAGAAGATTTCTCAGTAACTTCTTTGTGTTGTGTGTATACAACTCACAGAGTTCAACCTTCCTTTAGACAGAGCAGATTTGAAACACTCTTTTTGTGGAATTTGCAAGTGGAAATTTCAAGCGCATCGATGCCAATGGTAGAAAAGGAAATATCTTCGTATAAAAACAAGACAAACTCGTTCCCAGACACTGCGTAGTGATGTGTGTGTTTAACTCACAGAGTTTCACCTTTCTTTTCATACAGCATTCTGGAAACCCTCTGTTTGTAAAGTCTGCAAGTGGATATTTGGACCTCTTAGATGCCTTCGTTGGAAACGGGATTTCTTCATATAATGCTAGAGGGAAGAATTCTTAGTAACTTCTTTGTGTTGTGTGTATTCAACTGACAGAGTTGAACCTTCCTTTAGACAGAGCAGATTTGAAAGTCTCTTTTTCTGGAATTTGCAAGTGGAGATTTGAAGCGCTTTGAGGCCAAAAGCAGAAAAGGAAATATTTTCCTATAAAAACTAGACAGAATCTTTCTCAGAAACTGCTCTGGGATGTGTGCGTTCAACTCACAGAGTTTAACTTTTCTTTTCATTCAGCAGTTTGGAAACACTCTGTTTGGAAAGTCTGCACGTGGATATTTTGACCTCTTTGAGGCCTTCGTTGGAAACGGGTTTTTTTCATGTAAGGCTAGACAGAAGAAATCTCAGTAACTTCCTTGTGTTGTGTGTATTCAACTGACAGAGTTGAACCTTCCTTTAGACAGAGCAGATTTGAAACACTCTTTTTCTGCAATTTGCACGTGGAAACTTCAAGCGCTTTGAGGCCAAAGGCAGAAAAGGAAATATCTTCGTATAAAAACCCGACAGAATCACTCTCAGAAACTGCTCTGTGATGTGTGCGTTCAACTCACAGAGTTTAACTTTTCTTTTCATTCAGCAGTTTGGAAACACTCTGTTTGTAAAGTCTGCAAGTGGATATCTTGGCCTCTTAGAGGCCTTCGTTGGAAACGGGTTTTTTCATGTAAGGTTAGACAGAGGAATTCCCACTAACTTCCTTGTGTTGTGTGCATTCAACTCACAGAGTTGAATGATTCTTTACACAGAGCAGATTTGAGACACTCTTTTGGTGGAATTTGTAAGTGGAGAATTCAGCCGCTTTGAGGTCAACGGTAGAAAAGGAAATATCTTCGTATAAAAACTAGACAGAATGATTCTCAGAAACTGTTTTGTGATGTGTGCGTTCAACTCACAGAGTTTAACCTTTCTTTTCAAAGAGCAGTTAGGAAACACTCTGTTTGTAAAGTCTGCAAGTGGATATTCAGACCTCTTTGAGGCCTTCGTTGGAAACGGGATTTCTTCATATTATGCTAGACAGATGAATTCTCAGTAACTTCCTTGTGTTGTGTGTATTCAACTCACAGAGTTGAACGATCCTTTACACAGAGCAGATTTGAAACACTGTTTTTCTGGAATTTGCAAGTGGAGATTTCAGCCGCTTTGAGGTCAATGGTAGAAAAGGAAATATCTTCGTATAAAAACTAGACAGAATGATTCTCAGAAACTCCTTTGTGATGTGTGCGTTCAACTCACAGAGTTTAACCTTTCTTTTCACAGAGCAGTTAGGAAACACTCTGTTTGTGAAGCCTGCCAGTGGATATTCGGACCTCTTTGAGGCCTTCGTTGGAAACGGGATTTCTTCATATTATGCTAGACAGAAGATTTCTCAGTAACTTCTTTGTGTTGTGTGTATGCAACTCACAGAGTTCAACCTTCCTTTAGACAGAGCAGATTTGAAACACTCTTTTTGTGGAATTTGCAAGTGGAGATTTCAAGCGCTTCGATGCCAATGGTAGAAAAGGAAATATCTTCGTATAAAAACAAGACAAACTCGTTCCCAGACACTGCGTAGTGATGTGTGTGTTTAACTCACAGAGTTTCACCTTTCTTTTCATACAGCATTCTGGAAACCCTCTGTTTGTAAAGTCTGCAAGTGGATATTTGGACCTCTTAGATGCCTTCGTTGGAAACGGGATTTCTTCATATAATGCTAGAGGGAAGAATTCTTAGTAACTTCTTTGTGTTGTGTGTATTCAACTGACAGAGTTGAACCTTCCTTTAGACAGAGCAGATTTGAAAGTCTCTTTTTGTGGAATTTGCAAGTGGAGATTTCAAGCGCTTTGAGGCCAAAAGCAGAAAAGGAAATATTTTCCTATAAAAACTAGACAGAATCTTTCTCAGAAACTGCTCTGGGATGTGTGCATTCAACTCACAGAGTTTAACTTTTCTTTTCATTCAGCAGTTTGGAAACACTCTGTTTGGAAAGTCTGCACGTGGATATTTTGACCTCTTTGAGGCCTTCGTTGGAAACGGGTTTTTTTCATGTAAGGCTAGACAGAAGAAATCTCAGTAACTTCCTTGTGTTGTGTGTATTCAACTGACAGAGTTGAACCTTCTTTTAGACAGAGCAGATTCGAAACACTCTTTTTCTGCAATTTGCAAGTGGAGACTTCAAGCGCTTTGAGGCCAAAGGCAGAAACGGAAATATCTTCGTATAAAAACCCGACAGAATCATTCTCAGAAACTGCTCTGTGATGTGTGCGTTCAACTCACAGAGTTTAACTTTTCTTTTCATTCACCAGTTTGGAAACACTCTGTTTGTAAAGTCTGCAAGTGGATATCTTGGCCTCTTAGAGGCCTTCGTTGGAAACGGGTTTTTTCATGTAAGGTTAGACAGAGGAATTCCCAGTAACTTCCTTGTGTTGTGTGCATTCAACTCACAGAGTTGAATGATTCTTTACACAGAGCAGATTTGAGACACTCTTTTGGTGGAATTTGTTAGTGGAGAATTCAGCCGCTTTGAGGTCAACGGTAGAAAAGGAAATATCTTCGTATAAAAACTAGACAGAATGATTCTCAGAAACTGTTTTGTGATGTGTGCGTTCAACTCACAGAGTTTAACCTTTCTTTTCAAAGAGCAGTTAGGAAACACTCTGTTTGTAAAGTCTGCAAGTGGATATTCAGACCTCTTTGAGGCCTTCGTTGGAAACGGGATTTCTTCATATTATGCTAGACAGAAGATTTCTCAGTAACTTCTTTGTGTTGTGTGTATGCAACTCACAGAGTTCAACCTTCCTTTAGACAGAGCAGATTTGAAACACTCTTTTTGTGGAATTTGCAAGTGGAGATTTCAAGCGCTTCGATGCCAATGGTAGAAAAGGAAATATCTTCGTATAAAAACAAGACAAACTCGTTCCCAGACACTGCGTAGTGATGTGTGTGTTTAACTCACAGAGTTTAACCTTTCTTTTCATACAGCATTCTGGAAACCCTCTGTTTGTAAAGTCTGCAAGTGGATATTTGGACCTCTTAGATGCCTTCGTTGGAAACGGGATTTCTTCATATAATGCTAGAGGGAAGAATTCTTAGTAACTTCTTTGTGTTGTGTGTATTCAACTGACAGAGTTGAACCTTCCTTTAGACAGAGCAGATTTGAAAGTCTCTTTTTGTGGAATTTGCAAGTGGAGATTTCAAGCGCTTTGAGGCCAAAAGCAGAAAAGGAAATATTTTCCTATAAAAACTCGACAGAATCTTTCTCAGAAACTGCTCTGGGATGTGTGCGTTCAACTCACAGAGTTTAACTTTTCTTTTCATTCAGCAGTTTGGAAACACTCTGTTTGGAAAGTCTGCACGTGGATATTTTGACCTCTTTGAGGCCTTCGTTGGAAACGGGTTTTTTTCATGTAAGGCTAGACAGAAGAAATCTCAGTAACTTCCTTGTGTTGTGTGTATTCAACTGACAGAGTTGAACCTTCCTTTAGACAGAGCAGATTCGAAACACTCTTTTTCTGCAATTTGCAAGTGGAGACTTCAAGCGCTTTGAGGCCAAAGGCAGAAAAGGAAATATCTTCGTATAAAAACCCGACAGAATCATTCTCAGAAACTGCTCTGTGATGTGTGCGTTCAACTCACAGAGTTTAACTTTTCTTTTCATTCAGCAGTTTGGAAACACTCTGTTTGTAAAGTCTGCAAGTGGATATCTTGGCCTCTTAGAGGCCTTCGTTGGAAACGGGTTTTTTCATGTAAGGTTAGACAGAGGAATTCCCAGTAACTTCCTTGTGTTGTGTGCATTCAACTCACAGAGTTGAATGATTCTTTACACAGAGCAGTTTTGAGACACTCTTTTGGTGGAATTTGTAAGTGGAGAATTCAGCCGCTTTGAGGTCAACGGTAGAAAAGGAAATATCTTCGTATAAAAACTAGACAGAATGATTCTCAGAAACTGTTTTGTGATGTGTGCGTTCAACTCACAGAGTTTAACCTTTCTTTTCAAAGAGCAGTTAGGAAACACTCTGTTTGTAAAGTCTGCAAGAGGATATTCAGACCTCTTTGAGGCCTTCGTTGGAAACGGGATTTCTTCATATTATGCTAGACAGATGAATTCTCAGTAACTTCCTTGTGTTGTGTGTATTCAACTCACAGAGTTGAACGATCCTTTACACAGAGCAGATTTGAAACACTGTTTTTCTGGAATTTGCAAGTGGAGATTTCAGCCGCTTTGAGGTCAATGGTAGAAAAGGAAATATCTTCGTATAAAAACTAGACAGAATGATTCTCAGAAACTCCTTTGTGATGTGTGCGTTCAACTCACAGAGTTTAACCTTTCTTTTCACAGAGCAGTTAGGAAACACTCTGTTTGTGAAGCCTGCCAGTGGATATTCGGACCTCTTTGAGGCCTTCGTTGGAAACGGGATTTCTTCATATTATGCTAGACAGAAGATTTCTCAGTAACTTCTTTGTGTTGTGTGTATGCAACTCACAGAGTTCAACCTTCCTTTAGACAGAGCAGATTTGAAACACTCTTTTTGTGGAATTTGCAAGTGGAGATTTCAAGCGCTTCGATGCCAATGGTAGAAAAGGAAATATCTTCGTATAAAAACAAGACAAACTCGTTCCCAGACACTGCGTAGTGATGTGTGTGTTTAACTCACAGAGTTTAACCTTTCTTTTCATACAGCATTCTGGAAACCCTGTGTTTGTAAAGTCTGCAAGTGGATATTTGGACCTCTTAGATGCCTTCGTTGGAAACGGGATTTCTTCATATAATGCTAGAGGGAAGAATTCTTAGTAACTTCTTTGTGTTGTGTGTATTCAACTGACAGAGTTGAACCTTCCTTTAGACAGAGCAGATTTGAAAGTCTCTTTTTGTGGAATTTGCAAGTGGAGATTTCAAGCGCTTTGAGGCCAAAAGCAGAAAAGGAAATATTTTCCTATAAAAACTCGACAGAATCTTTCTCAGAAACTGCTCTGGGATGTGTGCGTTCAACTCACAGAGTTTAACTTTTCTTTTCATTCAGCAGTTTGGAAACACTCTGTTTGGAAAGTCTGCACGTGGATATTTTGACCTCTTTGAGGCCTTCGTTGGAAACGGGTTTTTTTCATGTAAGGCTAGACAGAAGAAATCTCAGTAACTTCCTTGTGTTGTGTGTATTCAACTGACAGAGTTGAACCTTCCTTTAGACAGAGCAGATTCGAAACACTCTTTTTCTGCAATTTGCAAGTGGAGACTTCAAGCGCTTTGAGGCCAAAGGCAGAAAAGGAAATATCTTCGTATAAAAACCCGACAGAATCTTTCTCAGAAACTGCTCTGTGATGTGTGCGTTCAACTCACAGAGTTTAACTTTTCTTTTCATTCAGCAGTTTGGAAACACTCTCTTTGTAAAGTCTGCAAGGGGATATCTTGGCCTCTTAGAGGCCTTCGTGGGAAACGGGTTTTTTTCATGTAAGGTTAGACAGAGGAATTCCCAGTAACTTCCTTGTGTTGTGTGCATTCAACTCACAGAGTTGAATGATTCTTTACACAGAGCAGATTTGAGACACTCTTTTGGTGGAATTTGTAAGTGGAGAATTCAGCCGCTTTGAGGTCAATGGTAGAAAAGGAAATATCTTCGTATAAAAACTAGACAGAATGATTCTCAGAAACTCTTCTGTGATGTGTGCGTTCAACTCACAGAGTTTAACCTTTCTTTGCAAAGAGCAGTTAGGAAACACTCTGTTTGTAAATTCTGCAAGTGGATATTCAGACCTCTTTGAGGCCTTCGTTGGAAACGGGATTTCTTCATATTATGCTAGACAGATGAATTCTCAGTAACTTCCTTGTGTTGTGTGTATTCAACTCACAGAGTTGAACGATCCTTTACACAGAGCAGATTTGAAACACTCTTTTTCTGGAATTTGCAAGTGGAGATTTCAGCCGCTTTGAGGTCAATGGTAGAAAAGGAAATATCTTCGTATAAAAACTAGACAGAATGATTCTCAGAAACTCCTTTGTGATGTGTGCGTTCAACTCACAGAGTTTAACCTTTCTTTTCACAGAGCAGTTAGGAAACACTCTGTTTGTGAAGCCTGCCAGTGGATATTCGGACCTCTTTGAGGCCTTCGTTGGAAACGGGATTTCTTCATATTATGCTAGACAGAAGATTTCTCAGTAACTTCTTTGTGTTGTGTGTATGCAACTCACAGAGTTCAACCTTCCTTTAGACAGAGCAGATTTGAAACACTCTTTTTGTGGAATTTGCAAGTGGAGATTTCAAGCGCTTCGATGCCAATGGTAGAAAAGGAAATATCTTCGTATAAAAACAAGACAAAATGATTCTCAGAAACTGTTTTGTGATGTGTGCTTTCAACTCACAGAGTTTAACCTTTCTTTTCATAGAGCAGTTACGAAACACTCTGTTTGTGAAATCTGCCAGTGGATATTCGGACCTCTTTGAGGCCTTCGTTGGAAACGGGATTTCTTCATATTATGCTAGACAGAAGAATTCTCTAGTAACTTCTTTGTGTTGTGTGTATTCAACTGACAGAGTTGAACCTTCCTTTAGACAGAGCAGATTTGAAAGTCTCTTTTTGTGGAATTTGCAAGTGGAGATTTCAAGCGCTTTGAGGCCAAAAGCAGAAAAGGAAATATTTTCCTATAAAAACTAGACAGAATCTTTCTCAGAAACTGCTCTGGGATGTGTGCGTTCAACTCACAGAGTTTAACTTTTCTTTTCATTCAGCAGTTTGGAAACACTCTGTTTGGAAAGTCTGCACGTGGATATTTTGACCTCTTTGAGGCCTTCGTTGGAAACGGGTTTTTTTCATGTAAGGCTAGACAGAAGAAATCTCAGTAACTTCCTTGTGTTGTGTGTATTCAACTGACAGAGTTGAACCTTCCTTTAGACAGAGCAGATTCGAAACACTCTTTTTCTGCAATTTGCAAGTGGAGACTTCAAGCGCTTTGAGGCCAAAGGCAGAAAAGGAAATATCTTCGTATAAAAACCCGACAGAATCATTCTCAGAAACTGCTCTGTGATGTGTGCGTTCAACTCACAGAGTTTAACTTTTCTTTTCATTCAGCAGTTTGGAAACACTCTGTTTGTAAAGTCTGCAAG
Organism: Homo sapiens; assembly: GCF_000001405.40. Lineage (NCBI taxonomy): Eukaryota > Metazoa > Chordata > Mammalia > Primates > Hominidae > Homo > Homo sapiens. The sequence goes on from NC_000016.10 coordinate 37,612,392, forward strand.
TGGATATCTTGGCCTCTTAGAGGCCTTCGTTGGAAACGGGTTTTTTCATGTAAGGTTAGACAGAGGAATTCCCAGTAACTTCCTTGTGTTGTGTGCATTCAACTCACAGAGTTGAATGATTCTTTACACAGAGCAGATTTGAGACACTCTTTGGGTGGAATTTGTAAGTGGAGAATTCAGCCGCTTTGAGGTCAACGGTAGAAAAGGAAATATCTTCGTATAAAAACTAGACAGAATGATTCTCAGAAACTGTTTTTTGATGTGTGCGTTCAACTCACAGAGTTTAACCTTTCTTTTCAAAGAGCAGTTAGGAAACACTCTGTTTGTAAAGTCTGCAAGTGGATATTCAGACCTCTTTGAGGCCTTCGTTGGAAACGGGATTTCTTCATATTATGCTAGACAGATGAATTCTCAGTAACTTCCTTGTGTTGTGTGTATTCAACTCACAGAGTTGAACGATCCTTTACACAGAGCAGATTTGAAACACTGTTTTTCTGGAATTTGCAAGTGGAGATGTCAGCCGCTTTGAGGTCAATGGTAGAAAAGGAAATATCTTCGTATAAAAACTAGACAGAATGATTCTCAGAAACTCCTTTGTGATGTGTGCGTTCAACTCACAGAGTTTAACCTTTCTTTTCACAGAGCAGTTAGGAAACACTCTGTTTGTGAAGCCTGCCAGTGGATAATCGGACCTCTTTGAGGCCTTCGTTGGAAACGGGATTTCTTCATATTATGCTAGACAGAAGATTTCTCAGTAACTTCTTTGTGTTGTGTGTATGCAACTCACAGAGTTCAACCTTCCTTTAGACAGAGCAGATTTGAAACACTCTTTTTGTGGAATTTGCAAGTGGAGATTTCAAGCGCTTCGATGCCAATGGTAGAAAAGGAAATATCTTCGTATAAAAACAAGACAAACTCGTTCCCAGACACTGCGTAGTGATGTGTGTGTTTAACTCACAGAGTTTCACCTTTCTTTTCATACAGCATTCTGGAAACCCTCTGTTTGTAAAGTCTGCAAGTGGATATTTGGACCTCTTAGATGCCTTCGTTGGAAACGGGATTTCTTCATATAATGCTAGAGGGAAGAATTCTTAGTAACTTCTTTGTGTTGTGTGTATTCAACTGACAGAGTTGAACCTTCCTTTAGACAGAGCAGATTTGAAAGTCTCTTTTTGTGGAATTTGCAAGTGGAGATTTCAAGCGCTTTGAGGCCAAAAGCAGAAAAGGAAATATTTTCCTATAAAAACTAGACAGAATCTTTCTCAGAAACTGCTCTGGGATGTGTGCGTTCAACTCACAGAGTTTAACTTTTCTTTTCATTCAGCAGTTTGGAAACACTCTGTTTGGAAAGTCTGCACGTGGATATTTTGACCTCTTTGAGGCCTTCGTTGGAAACGGGTTTTTTTCATGTAAGGCTAGACAGAAGAAATCTCAGTAACTTCCTTGTGTTGTGTGTATTCAACTGACAGAGTTGAACCTTCCTTTAGACAGAGCAGATTCGAAACACTCTTTTTCTGCAATTTGCAAGTGGAGACTTCAAGCGCTTTGAGGCCAAAGGCAGAAAAGGAAATATCTTCGTATAAAAACCCGACAGAATCATTCTCAGAAACTGCTCTGTGATGTGTGCGTTCAACTCACAGAGTTTAACTTTTCTTTTCATTCAGCAGTTTGGAAACACTCTGTTTGTAAAGTCTGCAAGTGGATATCTTGGCCTCTTAGAGGCCTTCGTTGGAAACGGGTTTTTTCATGTAAGGTTAGACAGAGGAATTCCCAGTAACTTCCTTGTGTTGTGTGCATTCAACTCACAGAGTTGAATGATTCTTTACACAGAGCAGATTTGAGACACTCTTTTGGTGGAATTTGTTAGTGGAGAATTCAGCCGCTTTGAGGTCAACGGTAGAAAAGGAAATATCTTCGTATAAAAACTAGACAGAATGATTCTCAGAAACTGTTTTGTGATGTGTGCGTTCAACTCACAGAGTTTAACCTTTCTTTTCAAAGAGCAGTTAGGAAACACTCTGTTTGTAAAGTCTGCAAGTGGATATTCAGACCTCTTTGAGGCCTTCGTTGGAAACGGGATTTCTTCATATTATGCTAGACAGATGAATTCTCAGTAACTTCCTTGTGTTGTGTGTATTCAACTCACAGAGTTGAACGATCCTTTACACAGAGCAGATTTGAAACACTGTTTTTCTGGAATTTGCAAGTGGAGATTTCAGCCGCTTTGAGGTCAATGGTAGAAAAGGAAATATCTTCGTATAAAAACTAGACAGAATGATTCTCAGAAACTCCTTTGTGATGTGTGCGTTCAACTCACAGAGTTTAACCTTTCTTTTCACAGAGCAGTTAGGAAACACTCTGTGAAGCCTGCCAGTGGATATTCGGACCTCTTTGAGGCCTTCGTTGGAAACGGGATTTCTTCGTATTATGCTAGACAGAAGATTTCTCAGTAACTTCTTTGTGTTGTGTGTATGCAACTCACAGAGTTCAACCTTCCTTTAGACAGAGCAGATTTGAAACACTCTTTTTGTGGAATTTGCAAGTGGAGATTTCAAGCGCTTCGATGCCAATGGTAGAAAAGGAAATATCTTCGTATAAAAACAAGACAAACTCGTTCCCAGACACTGCGTAGTGATGTGTGTGTTTAACTCACAGAGTTTAACCTTTCTTTTCATACAGCATTCTGGAAACCCTCTGTTTGTAAAGTCTGCAAGTGGATATTTGGACCTCTTAGATGCCTTCGTTGGAAACGGGATTTCTTCATATAATGCTAGAGGGAAGAATTCTTAGTAACTTCTTTGTGTTGTGTGTATTCAACTGACAGAGTTGAACCTTCCTTTAGACAGAGCAGATTTGAAAGTCTCTTTTTGTGGAATTTGCAAGTGGAGATTTCAAGCGCTTTGAGGCCAAAAGCAGAAAAGGAAATATTTTCCTATAAAAACTCGACAGAATCTTTCTCAGAAACTGCTCTGGGATGTGTGCGTTCAACTCACAGAGTTTAACATTTCTTTCCATTCAGCAGTTTGGAAACACTCTGTTTGGAAAGTCTGCACGTGGATATTTTGACCTCTTTGAGGCCTTCGTTGGAAACGGGTTTTTTTCTTGTAAGGCTAGACAGAAGAAATCTCAGTAACTTCCTTGTGTTGTGTGTATTCAACTGACAGAGTTGAACCTTCCTTTAGACAGAGCAGATTCGAAACACTCTTTTTCTGCAATTTGCAAGTGGAGACTTCAAGCGCTTTGAGGCCAAAGGCAGAAAAGGAAATATCTTCGTATAAAAACCCGACAGAATCATTCTCAGAAACTGCTCTGTGATGTGTGCGTTCAACTCACAGAGTTTAACTTTTCTTTTCATTCAGCAGTTTGGAAACACTCTGTTTGTAAAGTCTGCAAGTGGATATCTTGGCCTCTTAGAGGCCTTCGTTGGAAACGGGTTTTTTCATGTAAGGTTAGACAGAGGAATTCCCACTAACTTCCTTGTGTTGTGTGCATTCAACTCACAGAGTTGAATGATTCTTTACACAGAGCAGATTTGAGACACTCTTTTGGTGGAATTTGTAAGTGGAGAATTCAGCCGCTTTGATGTCAACGGTAGAAAAGGAAATATCTTCGTATAAAAACTAGACAGAATGATTCTCAGAAACTGTTTTGTGATGTGTGCGTTCAACTCACAGAGTTTAACCTTTCTTTTCAAAGAGCAGTTAGGAAACACTCTGTTTGTAAAGTCTGCAAGTGGATATTCAGACCTCTTTGAGGCCTTCGTTGGAAACGGGATTTCTTCATATTATGCTAGACAGATGAATTCTCAGTAACTTCCTTGTGTTGTGTGTATTCAACTCACAGAGTTGAACGATCCTTTACACAGAGCAGATTTGAAACACTGTTTTTCTGGAATTTGCAAGTGGAGATTTCAGCCGCTTTGAGGTCAATGGTAGAAAAGGAAATATCTTCGTATAAAAACTAGACAGAATGATTCTCAGAAACTCCTTTGTGATGTGTGCGTTCAACTCACAGAGTTTAACCTTTCTTTTCACAGAGCAGTTAGGAAACACTCTGTTTGTGAAGCCTGCCAGTGGATATTCGGACCTCTTTGAGGCCTTCGTTGGAAACGGGATTTCTTCATATTATGCTAGACAGAAGATTTCTCAGTAACTTCTTTGTGTTGTGTGTATGCAACTTACAGAGTTCAACCTTCCTTTAGAGAGAGCATATTTGAAACACTCTTTTTGTGGAATTTGCAAGTGGAGATTTCAAGCGCTTCGATGCCAATGGTAGAAAAGGAAATATCTTCGTAGAAAAACAAGACAAACTCGTTCCCAGACACTGCGTAGTGATGTGTGTGTTTAACTCACAGAGTTTAACCTTTCTTTTCATACAGCATTCTGGAAACCCTGTGTTTGTAAAGTCTGCAAGTGGATATTTGGACCTCTTAGATGCCTTCGTTGGAAACGGGATTTCTTCATATAATGCTAGAGGGAAGAATTCTTAGTAACTTCTTTGTGTTGTGTGTATTCAACTGACAGAGTTGAACCTTCCTTTAGACAGAGCAGATTTGAAAGTCTCTTTTTGTGGAATTTGCAAGTGGAGATTTCAAGCGCTTTGAGGCCAAAAGCAGAAAAGGAAATATTTTCCTATAAAAACTCGACAGAATCTTTCTCAGAAACTGCTCTGGGATGTGTGCGTTCAACTCACAGAGTTTAACTTTTCTTTTCATTCAGCAGTTTGGAAACACTCTGTTTGGAAAGTCTGCACGTGGATATTTTGACCTCTTTGAGGCCTTCGTTGGAAACGGGTTTTTTTCATGTAAGGCTAGACAGAAGAAATCTCAGTAACTTCCTTGTGTTGTGTGTATTCAACTGACAGAGTTGAACCTTCCTTTAGACAGAGCAGATTCGAAACACTCTTTTTCTGCAATTTGCAAGTGGAGACTTCAAGCGCTTTGAGGCCAAAGGCAGAAAAGGAAATATCTTCGTATAAAAACCCGACAGAATCATTCTCAGAAACTGCTCTGTGATGTGTGCATTCAACTCACAGAGTTTAACTTTTCTTTTCATTCAGCAGTTTGGAAACACTCTGTTTGTAAAGTCTGCAAGTGGATATCTTGGCCTCTTAGAGGCCTTCGTTGGAAACGGGTTTTTTCATGTAAGGATAGACAGAGGAATTCCCAGTAACTTCCTTGTGTTGTGTGCATTCAACTCACAGAGTTGAATGATTGTTTACACAGAGCAGATTTGAGACACTCTTTTGGTGGAATTTGTAAGTGGAGAATTCAGCCGCTTTGAGGTCAACGGTAGAAAAGGAAATATCTTCGTATAAAAACTAGACAGAATGATTCTCAGAAACTGTTTTGTGATGTGTGCGTTCAACTCACAGAGTTTAACCTTTCTTTTCAAAGAGCAGTTAGGAAACACTCTGTTTGTAATGTCTGCAAGTGGATATTCAGACCTCTTTGAGGCCTTCGTTGGAAACGGGATTTCTTCATATTATGCTAGACAGATGAATTCTCAGTAACTTCCCTTGTGTTGTGTGTATTCAACTCACAGAGTTGAACGATCCTTTACACAGAGCAGATTTGAAACACTGTTTTTCTGGAATTTGCAAGTGGAGATTTCAGCCGCTTTGAGGTCAATGGTAGAAAAGGAAATATCTTCGTATAAAAACTAGACAGAATGATTCTCAGAAACTCCTTTGTGATGTGTGCGTTCAACTCACAGAGTTTAACCTTTCTTTTCACAGAGCAGTTAGGAAACACTCTGTTTGTGAAGCCTGCCAGTGGATATTCGGACCTCTTTGAGGCCTTCGTTGGAAACGGGATTTCTTCATATTATGCTAGACAGAAGATTTCTCAGTAACTTCTTTGGGTTGTGTGTATGCAACTCACAGAGTTCAACCTTCCTTTAGACAGAGCAGATTTGAAACACTCTTTTTGTGGAATTTGCAAGTGGAGATTTCAAACGCTTCGATGCCAATGGTAGAAAAGGAAATATCTTCGTATAAAAACAAGACAAACTCATTCCCAGACACTGCGTAGTGATGTGTGTGTTTAACTCACAGAGTTTAACCTTTCTTTTCATACAGCATTCTGGAAACCCTGTGTTTGTAAAGTCTGCAAGTGGATATTTGGACCTCTTAGATGCCTTCGTTGGAAACGGGATTTCTTCATATAATGCTAGAGGGAAGAATTCTTAGTAACTTCTTTGTGTTGTGTGTATTCAACTGACAGAGTTGAACCTTCCTTTAGACAGAGCAGATTTGAAAGTCTCTTTTTGTGGAATTTGCAAGTGGAGATTTCAAGCGCTTTGAGGCCAAAAGCAGAAAAGGAAATATTTTCCTATAAAAACTCGACAGAATCTTTCTCAGAAACTGCTCTGGGATGTGTGCGTTCAACTCACAGAGTTTAACTTTTCTTTTCATTCAGCAGTTTGGAAACACTCTGTTTGGAAAGTCTGCACGTGGATATTTTGACCTCTTTGAGGCCTTCGTTGGAAACGGGTTTTTTTCATGTAAGGCTAGACAGAAGAAATCTCAGTAACTTCCTTGTGTTGTGTGTATTCAACTGACAGAGTTGAACCTTCCTTTAGACAGAGCAGATTCGAAACACTCTTTTTCTGCAATTTGCAAGTGGAGACTTCAAGCGCTTTGAGGCCAAAGGCAGAAAAGGAAATATCTTCGTATAAAAACCCGACAGAATCATTCTCAGAAACTGCTCTGTGATGTGTGCGTTCAACTCACAGAGTTTAACTTTTCTTTTCATTCAGCAGTTTGGAAACACTCTGTTTGTAAAGTCTGCAAGTGGATATCTTGGCCTAATTAGAGGCCTTCGTTGGAAACGGGTTTTTTCATGTAAGGTTAGACAGAGGAATTCCCAGTAACTTCCTTGTGTTGTGTGCATTCAACTCACAGAGTTGAATGATTCTTTACACAGAGCAGTTTTGAGACACTCTTTTGGTGGAATTTGTAAGTGGAGAATTCAGCCGCTTTGAGGTCAACGGTAGAAAAGGAAATATCTCCGTATAAAAACTAGACAGAATGATTCTCAGAAACTGTTTTGTGATGTGTGCGTTCAACTCACAGAGTTTAACCTTTCTTTTCAAAGAGCAGTTAGGAAACACTCTGTTTGTAAAGTCTGCAAGTGGATATTCAGACCTCTTTGAGGCCTTCGTTGGAAACGGGATTTCTTCATATTATGCTAGACAGATGAATTCTCAGTAACTTCCTTGTGTTGTGTGTATTCAACTCACAGAGTTGAACGATCCTTTACACAGAGCAGATTTGAAACACTGTTTTTCTGGAATTTGCAAGTGGAGATTTCAGCCGCTTTGAGGTCAATGGTAGAAAAGGAAATATCTTCGTATAAAAACTAGACAGAGTGATTCTCAGAAACTCCTTTGTGATGTGTGCGTTCAACTCACAGAGTTTAACCTTTCTTTTCATAGAGTAGTTAGGAAACACTCTGTTTGTGAAGTCTGCCAGTGGATATTCAGACCTCTTTGAGGCCTTCGTTGGAAATGGGGTTTCTTCATATTATGCTAGACAGAAGATTTCTCAGTAACTTCTTTGTGTTGTGTGTATGCAACTCACAGAGTTCAACCTTCCTTTAGACAGAGCAGATTTGAAACACTCTTTTTGTGGAATTTGCAAGTGGAGATTTCAAGCGCTTCGATGCCAATGGTAGAAAAGGAAATATCTTCGTATAAAAACAAGACAAACTCGTTCCCAGACACTGCATAGTGATGTGTGTGTTTAACTCACAGAGTTTAACCTTTCTTTTCATACAGCATTCTGGAAACCCTGTGTTTGTAAAGTCTGCAAGTGGATATTTGGACCTCTTAGATGCCTTCGTTGGAAACGGGATTTCTTCATATAATGCTAGAGGGAAGAATTCTTAGTAACTTCTTTGTGTTGTGTGTATTCAACTGACAGAGTTGAACCTTCCTTTAGACAGAGCAGATTTGAAAGTCTCTTTTTGTGGAATTTGCAAGTGGAGATTTCAAGCGCTTTGAGGCCAAAAGCAGAAAAGGAAATATTTTCCTATAAAAACTAGACAGAATCTTTCTCAGAAACTGCTCTGGGATGTGTGCGTTCAACTCACAGAGTTTAACTTTTCTTTTCATTCAGCAGTTTGGAAACACTCTGTTTGGAAAGTCTGCACGTGGATATTTTGACCTCTTTGAGGCCTTCGTTGGAAACGGGTTTTTTTCATGTAACGCTAGACAGAAGAAATCTCAGTAACTTCCTTGTGTTGTGTGTATTCAACTGACAGAGTTGAACCTTCCTTTAGACAGAGCAGATTCGAAACACTCTTTTTCTGCAATTTGCAAGTGGAGACTTCAAGCGCTTTGAGGCCAAAGGCAGAAAAGGAAATATCTTCGTATAAAAACCCGACAGAATCATTCTCAGAAACTGCTCTGTGATGTGTGCGTTCAACTCACAGAGTTTAACTTTTCTTTTCATTCAGCAGTTTGGAAACACTCTGTCTGTAAAGTCTGCAAGTGGATATCTTGGCCTCTTAGAGGCCTTCGTTGGAAACGGGTTTTTTCATGTAAGGTTAGACAGAGGAATTCCCAGTAACTTCCCTTGTGTTGTGTGCATTCAACTCACAGAGTTGAATGATTCTTTACACAGAGCAGATTTGAGACACTCTTTTGGTGGAATTTGTAAGTGGAGAATTCAGCCGCTTTGAGGTCAACGGTAGAAAAGGAAATATCTTCGTATAAAAACTAGACAGAATGATTCTCAGAAACTGTTTTGTGATGTGTGCGTTCAACTCACAGAGTTTAACCTTTCTTTTCAAAGAGCAGTTAGGAAACACTCTGTTTGTAAAGTCTGCAAGTGGATATTCAGACCTCTTTGAGGCCTTCGTTGGAAACGGGATTTCTTCATATTATGCTAGACAGATGAATTCTCAGTAACTTCCTTGTGTTGTGTGTATTCAACTCACAGAGTTGAACGATCCTTTACACAGAGCAGATTTGAAACACTGTTTTTCTGGAATTTGCAAGTGGAGATTTCAGCCGCTTTGAGGTCAATGGTAGAAAAGGAAATATCTTCGTATAAAAACTAGACAGAATGATTCTCAGAAACTCCTTTGTGATGTGTGCGTTCAACTCACAGAGTTTAACCTTTCTTTTCACAGAGCAGTTAGGAAACACTCTGTTTGTGAAGCCTGCCAGTGGATATTCAGACCTCTTTCAGGCCTTCGTTGGAAACGGGATTTCTTCATATTATGCTAGACAGAAGATTTCTCAGTAACTTCTTTGTGTTGTGTGTATGCAACTCACAGAGTTCAACCTTCCTTTAGACAGAGCAGATTTGAAACACTCTTTTTGTGGAATTTGCAAGTGGAGATTTCAAGCGCTTCGATGCCAATGGTAGAAAAGGAAATATCTTCGTATAAAAACAAGACAAACTCGTTCCCAGACACTGCGTAGTGATGTGTGTGTTTAACTCACAGAGTTTCACCTTTCTTTTCATACAGCATTCTGGAAACCCTCTGTTTGTAAAGTCTGCAAGTGGATATTTGGACCTCTTAGATGCCTTCGTTGGAAACGGGATTTCTTCATATAATGCTAGAGGGAAGAATTCTTAGTAACTTCTTTGTGTTGTGTGTATTCAACTGACAGAGTTGAACCTTCCTTTAGACAGAGCAGATTTGAAAGTCTCTTTTTGTGGAATTTGCAAGTGGAGATTTCAAGCGCTTTGAGGCCAAAAGCAGAAAAGGAAATGTTTTCCTATAAAAACTAGACAGAATCATTCTCAGAAACTGCTCTGTGATGTGTGCGTTCAACTCACAGAGTTTAACTTTTCTTTTCATTCAGCAGTTTGGAAACACTGTTTGGAAAGTCTGCACGTGGATATTTTGACCTCTTTGAGGCCTTCGTTGGAAACGGGTTTTTTTCATGTAAGGCTAGACAGAAGAAATCTCAGTAACTTCCTTGTGTTGTGTGTATTCAACTGACAGAGTTGAACCTTCCTTTAGACAGAGCAGATTCGAAACACTCTTTTTCTGCAATTTGCAAGTGGAGACTTCAAGCGCTTTGAGGCCAAAGGCAGAAAAGGAAATATCTTCGTATAAAAACCCGACAGAATCATTCTCAGAAACTGCTCTGTGATGTGTGCGTTCAACTCACAGAGTTTAACTTTTCTTTTCATTCAGCAGTTTGGAAACACTCTGTTTGTAAAGTCTGCAAGTGGATATCTTGGCCTCTTAGAGGCCTTCGTTGGAAACGGGTTTTTTCATGTAAGGTTAGACAGAGGAATTCCCAGTAACTTCCTTGTGTTGTGTGCATTCAACTCACAGAGTTGAATGATTCTTTACACAGAGCAGATTTGAGACACTCTTTTGGTGGAATTTGTAAGTGGAGAATTCAGCCGCTTTGAGGTCAACGGTAGAAAAGGAAATATCTTCGTATAAAAACTAGACAGAATGATTCTCAGAAACTGTTTTGTGATGTGTGCGTTCAACTCACAGAGTTTAACCTTTCTTTTCAAAGAGCAGTTAGGAAACACTCTGTTTGTAAAGTCTGCAAGTGGATATTCAGACCTCTTTGAGGCCTTCGTTGGAAACGGGATTTCTTCATATTATGCTAGACAGATGAATTCTCAGTAACTTCCTTGTGTTGTGTGTATTCAACTCACAGTAGTTGAACGATCCTTTACACAGAGCAGATTTGAAACACTGTTTTTCTGGAATTTGCAAGTGGAGATTTCAGCCGCTTTGAGGTCAATGGTAGAAAAAGAAATATCTTCGTATAAAAACTAGACAGAATGATTCTCAGAAACTCCTTTGTGATGTGTGCGTTCAACTCACAGAGTTTAACCTTTCTTTTCACAGAGCAGTTAGGAAACACTCTGTTTGTGAAGCCTGCCAGTGGATATTCGGACCTCTTTGAGGCCTTCGTTGGAAACGGGATTTCTTCATATTATGCTAGACAGAAGATTTCTCAGTAACTTCTTTGTGTTGTGTGTATGCAACTCACAGAGTTCAACCTTCCTTTAGAAAGAGCAGATTTGAAACACTCTTTTTGTGGAATTTGCAAGTGGAGATTTCAAGCGCTTCGATGCCAATGGTAGAAAAGGAAATATACTTCGTATAAAAACAAGACAAATTCGTTCCCAGACACTGCGTAGTGATGTGTGTGTTTAACTCACAGAGTTTAACCTTTCTTTTCATACAGCATTCTGGAAACCCTCTGTTTGTAAAGTCTGCAAGTGGATATTTGGACCTCTTAGATGCCTTCGTTGGAAACGGGATTTCTTCATATAATGCTAGAGGGAAGAATTCTTAGTAACTTCTTTGTGTTGTGTGTATTCAACTGACAGAGTTGAACCTTCCTTTAGACAGAGCAGATTTGAAAGTCTCTTTTTGTGGAATTTGCAAGTGGAGATTTCAAGCGCTTTGAGGCCAAAAGCAGAAAAGGAAATATTTTCCTATAAAAACTAGACAGAATCTTTCTCAGAAACTGCTCTGGGATGTGTGCGTTCAACTCACAGAGTTTAACTTTTCTTTTCATTCAGCAGTTTGGAAACACTCTGTTTGGAAAGTCTGCACGTGGATATTTTGACCTCTTTGAGGCCTTCGTTGGAAACGGGATTTTTTCATGTAACGCTAGACAGAAGAAATCTCAGTAACTTCCTTGTGTTATGTGTATTCAACTGACAGAGTTGAACCTTCCTTTAGACAGAGCAGATTCGAAACACTCTTTTTCTGCAATTTGCAAGTGGAGACTTCAAGCGCTTTGAGGCCAAAGGCAGAAAAGGAAATATCTTCGTATAAAAACCCGACAGAATCATTCTCAGAAACTGCTCTGTGATGTGTGCGTTCAACTCACAGAGTTTAACTTTTCTTTTCATTCAGCAGTTTGGAAACACTCTGTTTGTAAAGTCTGCAAGTGGATATCTTGGCCTCTTAGAGGCCTTCGTTGGAAACGGGTTTTTTCATGTAAGGTTAGACAGAGGAATTCCCAGTAACTTCCTTGTGTTGTGTGCATTCAACTCACAGAGTTGAATGATTCTTTACACAGAGCAGATTTGAGACACTCTTTTGGTGGAATTTGTTAGTGGAGAATTCAGCCGCTTTGAGGTCAACGGTAGAAAAGGAAATATCTTCGTATAAAAACTAGACAGAATGATTCTCAGAAACTGTTTTGTGATGTGTGCGTTCAACTCACAGAGTTTAACCTTTCTTTTCAAAGAGCAGTTAGGAAACACTCTGTTTGTAAAGTCTGCAAGTGGATATTCAGACCTCTTTGAGGCCTTCGTTGGAAACGGGATTTCTTCATATTATGCTAGACAGATGAATTCTCAGTAACTTCCTTGTGTTGTGTGTATTCAACTCACAGAGTTGAACGATCCTTTACACAGAGCAGATTTGAAACACTGTTTTTCTGGAATTTGCAAGTGGAGATTTCAGCCGCTTTGAGGTCAATGGTAGAAAAGGAAATATCTTCGTATAAAAACTAGACAGAATGATTCTCAGAAACTCCTTTGTGATGTGTGCGTTCAACTCACAGAGTTTAACCTTTCTTTTCACAGAGCAGTTAGGAAACACTCTGTTTGTGAAGCCTGCCAGTGGATATTCGGACCTCTTTGAGGCCTTCGTTGGAAACGGGATTTCTTCATATTATGCTAGACAGAAGATTTCTCAGTAACTTCTTTGTGTTGTGTGTATGCAACTCACAGAGTTCAACCTTCCTTTAGACAGAGCAGATTTGAAACACTCTTTTTGTGGAATTTGCAAGTGGAGATTTCAAGCGCTTCGTTGCCAATGGTAGAAAAGGAAATATCTTCGTATAAAAACAAGACAAACTCGTTCCCAGACACTGCGTAGTGATGTGTGTGTTTAACTCACAGAGTTTCACCTTTCTTTTCATACAGCATTCTGGAAACCCTCTGTTTGTAAAGTCTGCAAGTGGATATTTGGACCTCTTAGATGCCTTCGTTGGAAACGGGATTTCTTCATATAATGCTAGAGGGAAGAATTCTTAGTAACTTCTTTGTGTTGTGTGTATTCAACTGACAGAGTTGAACCTTCCTTTAGACAGAGCAGATTTGAAAGTCTCTTTCTGTGGAATTTGCAAGTGGAGATTTCAAGCGCTTTGAGGCCAAAAGCAGAAAAGGAAATATTTTCCTATAAAAACTAGACAGAATCTTTCTCAGAAACTGCTCTGGGATGTGTGCGTTCAACTCACAGAGTTTAACTTTTCTTTTCATTCAGCAGTTTGGAAACACTCTGTTTGGAAAGTCTGCACGTGGATATTTTGACCTCTTTGAGGCCTTCGTTGGAAACGGGTTTTTTTCATGTAAGGCTAGACAGAAGAAATCTCAGTAACTTCCTTGTGTTGTGTGTATTCAACTGACAGAGTTGAACCTTCCTTTAGACAGAGCAGATTGGAAACACTCTTTTTCTGCAATTTGCAAGTGGAGACTTCAAGCGCTTTGAGGCCAAAGGCAGAAAAGGAAATATCTTCGTATAAAAACCCGACAGAATCATTCTCAGAAACTGCTCTGTGATGTGTGCGTTCAACTCACAGAGTTTAACTTTTCTTTTCATTCAGCAGTTTGGAAACACTCTGTTTGTATAGTCTGCAAGTGGATATCTTGGCCTCTTAGAGGCCTTCGTTGGAAACGGGTTTTTTCATGTAAGGTTAGACAGAGGAATTCCCAGTAACTTCCTTGTGTTGTGTGCATTCAACTCACAGAGTTGAATGATTCTTTACACAGAGCAGATTTGAGACACTCTTTTGGTGGAATTTGTAAGTGGAGAATTCAGCCGCTTTGAGGTCAACGGTAGAAAAGGAAATATCTTCGTATAAAAACTAGACAGAATGATTCTCAGAAACTGTTTTGTGATGTGTGCGTTCAACTCACAGAGTTTAACCTTTCTTTTCAAAGAGCAGTTAGGAAACACTCTGTTTGTAAAGTCTGCAAGTGGATATTCAGACCTCTTTGAGGCCTTCGTTGGAAACGGGATTTCTTCATATTATGCTAGACAGATGAATTCTCAGTAACTTCCTTGTGTTGTGTGTATTCAACTCACAGAGTTGAACGATCCTTTACACAGAGCAGATTTGAAACACTGTTTTTCTGGAATTTGCAAGTGGAGATTTCAGCCGCTTTGAGGTCAATGGTAGAAAAAGGAATATCTTCGTATAAAAACTAGACAGAATGATTCTCAGAAACTCCTTTGTGATGTGTGCGTTCAACTCACAGAGTTTAACCTTTCTTTTCACAGAGCAGTTAGGAAACACTCTGTTTGTGAAGCCTGCCAGTGGATATTCGGACCTCTTTGAGGCCTTCGTTGGAAACGGGATTTCTTCATATTATGCTAGACAGAAGATTTCTCAGTAACTTCTTTGTGTTGTGTGTATGCAACTCACAGAGTTCAACCTTCCTTTAGACAGAGCAGATTTGAAACACTCTTTTTGTGGAATTTGCAAGTGGAGATTTCAAGCGCTTCGATGCCAATGGTAGAAAAGGAAATATCTTCGTATAAAAACAAGACAAACTCGTTCCCAGACACTGCGTAGTGATGTGTGTGTTTAACTCACAGAGTTTAACCTTTCTTTTCATACAGCATTCTGGAAACCCTGTGTTTGTAAAGTCTGCAAGTGGATATTTGGACCTCTTAGATGCCTTCGTTGGAAACGGGATTTCTTCATATAATGCTAGAGGGAAGAATTCTTAGTAACTTCTTTGTGTTGTGTGTATTCAACTGACAGAGTTGAACCTTCCTTTAGACAGAGCAGATTTGAAAGTCTCTTTTTGTGGAATTTGCAAGTGGAGATTTCAAGCGCTTTGAGGCCAAAAGCAGAAAAGGAAGTATTTTCCTATAAAAACTCGACAGAATCTTTCTCAGAAACTGCTCTGGGATGTGTGCGTTCAACTCACAGAGTTTAACTTTTCTTTTCATTCAGCAGTTTGGAAACACTCTGTTTGGAAAGTCTGCACGTGGATATTTTGACCTCTTTGAGGCCTTCGTTGGAAACGGGTTTTTTTCATGTAAGGCTAGACAGAAGAAATCTCAGTAAATTCCCTTGTGTTGTGTGTATTCAACTGACAGAGTTGAACCTTCCTTTAGACAGAGCAGATTCGAAACACTCTTTTTCTGCAATTTGCAAGTGGAGACTTCAAGCGCTTTGAGGCCAAAGGCAGAAAAGGAAATATCTTCGTATAAAAACCCGACAGAATCATTCTCAGAAACTGCTCTGTGATGTGTGCGTTCAACTCACAGAGTTTAACTTTTCTTTTCATTCAGCAGTTTGGAAACACTCTGTTTGTAAAGTCTGCAAGTGGATATCTTGGCCTCTTAGAGGCCTTCGTTGGAAACGGGTTTTTTCATGTAAGGTTAGACAGAGGAATTCCCAGTAACTTTCCTTGTGTTGTGTGCATTCAACTCACAGAGTTGAATGATTCTTTACACAGAGCAGTTTTGAGACACTCTTTTGGTGGAATTTGTAAGTGGAGAATTCAGCCGCTTTGAGGTCAACGGTAGAAAAGGAAATATCTTCGTATAAAAACTAGACAGAATGATTCTCAGAAACTGTTTTGTGATGTGTGCGTTCAACTCACAGAGTTTAACCTTTCTTTTCAAAGAGCAGTTAGGAAACACTCTGTTTGTAAAGTCTGCAAGTGGATATTCAGACCTCTTTGAGGCCTTCGTTGGAAACGGGATTTCTTCATATTATGCTAGACAGATGAATTCTCAGTAACTTCCTTGTGTTGTGTGTATTCAACTCACAGAGTTGAACGATCCTTTACACAGAGCAGATTTGAAACACTGTTTTTCTGGAATTTGCAAGTGGAGATTTCAGCCGCTTTGAGGTCAATGGTAGAAAAGGAAATATCTTCTGTATAAAAACTAGACAGAATGATTCTCAGAAACTCCTTTGTGATGTGTGCGTTCAACTCACAGAGTTTAACCTTTCTTTTCACAGAGCAGTTAGGAAACACTCTGTTTGTGAAGCCTGCCAGTGGATATTCGGACCTCTTTGAGGCCTTCGTTGGAAACGGGATTTCTTCATATTATGCTAGACAGAAGATTTCTCAGTAACTTCTTTGTGTTGTGTGTATGCAACTCACAGAGTTCAACCTTCCTTTAGACAGAGCAGATTTGAAACACTCTTTTTGTGGAATTTCAAGTGGAGATTTCAAGCGCTTTGAGGCCAAAAGCAGAAAAGGAAATATTTTCCTATAAAAACTAGACAGAATCATTCTCAGAAACTGCTCTGTGATGTGTGCGTTCAACTCACAGAGTTTAACTTTTCTTTTCATTCAGCAGTTTGGAAACACTCTGTTTGTAAAGTCTGCAAGTGGATATCTTGGCCTCTTAGAGGCCTTCGTTGGAAACGGGTTTTTTCATCTAAGGTTAGACAGAGGAATTCCCAGTAACTTCCTTGTGTTGTGTGCATTCAACACACAGAGTTGAATGATTCTTTACACAGAGCAGATTTGAGACACTCTTTTGGTGGAATTTGTTAGTGGAGAATTCAGCCGCTTTGAGGTCAACGGTAGAAAAGGAAATATCTTCGTATAAAAACTAGACAGAATGATTCTCAGAAACTGTTTTGTGATGTGTGCGTTCAACTCACAGAGTTTAACCTTTCTTTTCAAAGAGCAGTTAGGAAACACTCTGTTTGTAAAGTCTGCAAGTGGATATTCAGACCTCTTTGAGGCCTTCGTTGGAAACGGGATTTCTTCATATTATGCTAGACAGATGAATTCTCAGTAACTTCCTTGTGTTGTGTGTATTCAACTCACAGAGTTGAACGATCCTTTACACAGAGCAGATTTGAAACACTGTTTTTCTGGAATTTGCAAGTGGAGATTTCAGCCGCTTTGAGGTCAATGGTAGAAAAGGAAATATCTTCGTATAAAAACTAGACAGAATGATTCTCAGAAACTCCTTTGTGATGTGTGCGTTCAACTCACAGGGTTTAACCTTTCTTTTCACAGAGCAGTTAGGAAACACTCTGTTTGTGAAGCCTGCCAGTGGATATTCGGACCTCTTTGAGGCCTTCGTTGGAAACGGGATTTCTTCATATTATGCTAGACAGAAGATTTCTCAGTAACTTCTTTGTGTTGTGTGTATGCAACTCACAGAGTTCAACCTTCCTTTAGACAGAGCAGATTTGAAACACTCTTTTTGTGGAATTTGCAAGTGGAGATTTCAAGCGCTTCGATGCCAATGGTAGAAAAGGAAATATCTTCGTATAAAAACAAGACAAACTCGTTCCCAGACACTGCGTAGTGATGTGTGTGTTTAACTCACAGAGTTTCACCTTTCTTTTCATACAGCATTCTGGAAACCCTGTGTTTGTAAAGTCTGCAAGTGGATATTTGGACCTCTTAGATGCCTTCGTTGGAAACGGGATTTCTTCATATAATGCTAGAGGGAAGAATTCTTAGTAACTTCTTTGTGTTGTGTGTATTCAACTGACAGAGTTGAACCTTCCTTTAGACAGAGCAGATTTGAAAGTCTCTTTTTGTGGAATTTGCAAGTGGAGATTTCAAGCGCTTTGAGGCCAAAAGCAGAAAAGGAAATATTTTCCTATAAAAACTCGACAGAATCTTTCTCAGAAACTGCTCTGGGATGTGTGCGTTCAACTCACAGAGTTTAACTTTTCTTTTCATTCAGCAGTTTGGAAACACTCTGTTTGGAAAGTCTGCACGTGGATATTTTGACCTCTTTGAGGCCTTCGTTGGAAACGGGTTTTTTTCATGTAAGGCTAGACAGAAGAAATCTCAGTAACTTCCTTGTGTTGTGTGTATTCAACTGACAGAGTTGAACCTTCCTTTAGACAGAGCAGATTCGAAACACTCTTTTTCTGCAATTTGCAAGTGGAGACTTCAAGCGCTTTGAGGCCAAAGGCAGAAAAGGAAATATCTTCGTATAAAAACCCGACAGAATCATTCTCAGAAACTGCTCTGTGATGTGTGCGTTCAACTCACAGAGTTTAACTTTTCTTTTCATTCAGCAGTTTGGAAACACTCTGTTTGTAAAGTCTGCAAGTGGATATCTTGGCCTCTTAGAGGCCTTCGTTGGAAACGGGTTTTTTCATGTAAGGTTAGACAGAGGAATTCCCAGTAACTTCCTTGTGTTGTGTGCATTCAACTCACAGAGTTGAATGATTCTTTACACAGAGCAGATTTGAGACACTCTTTTGGTGGAATTTGTAAGTGGAGAATTCAGCCGCTTTGAGGTCAACGGTAGAAAAGGAAATATCTTCGTATAAAAACTAGACAGAATGATTCTCAGAAACTGTTTTGTGATGTGTGCGTTCAACTCACAGAGTTTAACCTTTCTTTTCAAAGAGCAGTTAGGAAACACTCTGTTTGTAAAGTCTGCAAGTGGATATTCAGACCTCTTTGAGGCCTTCGTTGGAAACGGGATTTCTTCATATTATGCTAGACAGATGAATTCTCAGTAACTTCCTTGTGTTGTGTGTATTCAACTCACAGAGTTGAACGATCCTTTACACAGAGCAGATTTGAAACACTGTTTTTCTGGAATTTGCAAGTGGAGATTTCAGCCGCTTTGAGGTCAATGGTAGAAAAGGAAATATCTTCGTATAAAAACTAGACAGAATGATTCTCAGAAACTCCTTTGTGATGTGTGCGTTCAACTCACAGGGTTTAACCTTTCTTTTCACAGAGCAGTTAGGAAACACTCTGTTTGTGAAGCCTGCCAGTGGATATTCGGACCTCTTTGAGGCCTTCGTTGGAAACGGGATTTCTTCATATTATGCTAGACAGAAGATTTCTCAGTAACTTCTTTGTGTTGTGTGTATGCAACTCACAGAGTTCAACCTTCCTTTAGACAGAGCAGATTTGAAACACTCTTTTTGTGGAATTTGCAAGTGGAGATTTCAAGCGCTTCGATGCCAATGGTAGAAAAGGAAATATCTTCGTATAAAAACAAGACAAACTCGTTCCCAGACACTGCGTAGTGATGTGTGTGTTTAACTCACAGAGTTTCACCTTTCTTTTCATACAGCATTCTGGAAACCCTGTGTTTGTAAAGTCTGCAAGTGGATATTTGGACCTCTTAGATGCCTTCGTTGGAAACGGGATTTCCTCATATAATGCTAGAGGGAAGAATTCTTAGTAACTTCTTTGTGTTGTGTGTATTCAACTGACAGAGTTGAACCTTCCTTTAGACAGAGCAGATTTGAAAGTCTCTTTTTGTGGAATTTGCAAGTGGAGATTTCAAGCGCTTTGAGGCCAAAAGCAGAAAAGGAAATATTTTCCTATAAAAATTAGACAGAATCATTCTCAGAAACTGCTCTGTGATGTGTGCGTTCAACTCACAGAGTTTAACTTTTCTTTTCATTCAGCAGTTTGGAAACACTCTGTTTGGAAAGTCTGCACGTGGATATTTTGACCTCTTTGAGGCCTTCGTTGGAAACGGGTTTTTTTCATGTAAGGCTAGACAGAAGAAATCTCAGTAACTTCCTTGTGTTGTGTGTATTCAACTGACAGAGTTGAACCTTCCTTTAGACAGAGCAGATTCGAAACACTCTTTTTCTGCAATTTGCAAGTGGAGACTTCAAGCGCTTTGAGGCCAAAGGCAGAAAAGGAAATATCTTCGTATAAAAACCCGACAGAATCATTCTCAGAAACTGCTCTGTGATGTGTGCGTTCAACTCACAGAGTTTAACTTTTCTTTTCATTCAGCAGTTTGGAAACACTCTGTTTGTAAAGTCTGCAAGTGGATATCTTGGCCTCTTAGAGGCCTTCGTTGGAAACGGGTTTTTTCATGTAAGGTTAGACAGAGGAATTCCCAGTAACTTCCTTGTGTTGTGTGCATTCAACTCACAGAGTTGAATGATTCTTTACACAGAGCAGATTTGAGACACTCTTTTGGTGGAATTTGTAAGTGGAGAATTCAGCCGCTTTGAGGTCAACGGTAGAAAAGGAAATATCTTCGTATAAAAACTAGACAGAATGATTCTCAGAAACTGTTTTGTGATGTGTGCGTTCAACTCACAGAGTTTAACCTTTCTTTTCAAAGAGCAGTTAGGAAACACTCTGTTTGTAAAGTCTGCAAGTGGATATTCAGACCTCTTTGAGGCCTTCGTTGGAAACGGGATTTCTTCATATTATGCTAGACAGATGAATTCTCAGTAACTTCCTTGTGTTGTGTGTATTCAACTCACAGAGTTGAACGATCCTTTACACAGAGCAGATTTGAAACACTGTTTTTCTGGAATTTGCAAGTGGAGATTTCAGCCGCTTTGAGGTCAATGGTAGAAAAGGAAATATCTTCGTATAAAAACTAGACAGAATGATTCTCAGAAACTCCTTTGTGATGTGTGCGTTCAACTCACAGAGTTTAACCTTTCTTTTCACAGAGCAGTTAGGAAACACTCTGTTTGTGAAGCCTGCCAGTGGATATTCGGACCTCTTTGAGGCCTTCGTTGGAAACGGGATTTCTTCATATTATGCTAGACAGAAGATTTCTCAGTAACTTCTTTGTGTTGTGTGTATGCAACTCACAGAGTTCAACCTTCCTTTAGAGAGAGCATATTTGAAACACTCTTTTTGTGGAATTTGCAAGTGGAGATTTCAAGCGCTTCGATGCAAATGGTAGAAAAGGAAATATCTTCGTAGAAAAACAAGACAAACTCGTTCCCAGACACTGCGTAGTGATGTGTGTGTTTAACTCACAGAGTTTAACCTTTCTTTTCATACAGCATTCTGGAAACCCTGTGTTTGTAAAGTCTGCAAGTGGATATTTGGACCTTTTAGATGCCTTCGTTGGAAACGGGATTTCTTCATATAATGCTAGAGGGAAGAATTCTTAGTAACTTCTTTGTGTTGTGTGTATTCAACTGACAGAGTTGAACCTTCCTTTAGACAGAGCAGATTTGAAAGTCTCTTTTTGTGGAATTTGCAAGTGGAGATTTCAAGCGCTTTGAGGCCAAAAGCAGAAAAGGAAATATTTTCCTATAAAAACTCGACAGAATCATTCTCAGAAACTGCTCTGTGATGTGTGCGTTCAACTCACAGAGTTTAACTTTTCTTTTCATTCAGCAGTTTGGAAACACTGTTTGGAAAGTCTGCACGTGGATATTTTGACCTCTTTGAGGCCTTCGTTGGAAACGGGTTTTTTTCATGTAAGGCTAGACAGAAGAAATCTCAGTAACTTCCTTGTGTTGTGTGTATTCAACTGACAGAGTTGAACCTTCCTTTAGACAGAGCAGATTCGAAACACTCTTTTTCTGCAATTTGCAAGTGGAGACTTCAAGCGCTTTGAGGCCAAAGGCAGAAAAGGAAATATCTTCGTATAAAAACCCGACAGAATCATTCTCAGAAACTGCTCTGTGATGTGTGCGTTCAACTCACAGAGTTTAACTTTTCTTTTCATTCAGCAGTTTGGAAACACTCTGTTTGTAAAGTCTGCAAGTGGATATCTTGGCCTCTTAGAGGCCTTCGTTGGAAACGGGTTTTTTCATGTAAGGATAGACAGAGGAATTCCCAGTAACTTCCTTCTGTTGTGTGCATTCAACTCACAGAGTTGAACGATTCTTTACACAGAGCAGATTTGAGACACTCTTTTGGTGGAATTTGTAAGTGGAGAATTCAGCCGCTTTGAGGTCAACGGTAGAAAAGGAAATATCTTCGTATAAAAACTAGACAGAATGATTCTCAGAAACTGTTTTGTGATGTGTGCGTTCAACTCACAGAGTTTAACCTTTCTTTTCAGAGAGCAGTTAGGAAACACTCTGTAAAGTCTGCAAGTGGATATTCAGACCTCTTTGAGGCCTTCGTTGGAAACGGGATTTCTTCATATTATGCTAGACAGATGAATTCTCAGTAACTTCCTTGTGTTGTGTGTATTCAACTCACAGAGTTGAACGATCCTTTACACAGAGCAGATTTGAAACACTGTTTTTCTGGAATTTGCAAGTGGAGATTTCAGCCGCTTTGAGGTCAATGGTAGAAAAGGAAATATCTTCGTATAAAAACTAGACAGAATGATTCTCAGAAACTCCTTTGTGATGTGTGCGTTCAACTCACAGAGTTTAACCTTTCTTTTCACAGAGCAGTTAGGAAACACTCTGTTTGTGAAGCCTGCCAGTGGATATTCAGACCTCTTTCAGGCCTTCGTTGGAAACGGGATTTCTTCATATTATGCTAGACAGAAGATTTCTCAGTAACTTCTTTGTGTTGTGTGTATGCAACTCACAGAGTTCAACCTTCCTTTAGACAGAGCAGATTTGAAACACTCTTTTTGTGGAATTTGCAAGTGGAGATTTCAAGCGCTTCGATGCCAATGGTAGAAAAGGAAATATCTTCGTATAAAAACAAGACAAACTCGTTCCCAGACACTGCGTAGTGATGTGTGTGTTTAACTCACAGAGTTTCACCTTTCTTTTCATACAGCATTCTGGAAACCCTCTGTTTGTAAAGTCTGCAAGTGGATATTTGGATCTCTTAGATGCCTTCGTTGGAAACGGGATTTCTTCATATAATGCTAGAGGGAAGAATTCTTAGTAACTTCTTTGTGTTGTGTTTATTCAACTGACAGAGTTGAACCTTCCTTTAGACAGAGCAGATTTGAAAGTCTCTTTTTGTGGAATTTGCAAGTGGAGATTTCAAGCGCTTTGAGGCCAAAAGCAGAAAAGGAAATATTTTCCTATAAAAACTCGACAGAATCTTTCTCAGAAACTGCTCTGGGATGTGTGCGTTCAACTCACAGAGTTTAACTTTTCTTTTCATTCAGCAGTTTGGAAACACTCTGTTTGGAAAGTCTGCACGTGGATATTTTGACCTCTTTGAGGCCTTCGTTGGAAACGGGTTTTTTTCATGTAAGGCTAGACAGAAGAAATCTCAGTAACTTCCTTGTGTTGTGTGTATTCAACTGACAGAGTTGAACCTTCCTTTAGACAGAGCAGATTCGAAACACTCTTTTTCTGCAATTTGCAAGTGGAGACTTCAAGCGCTTTGAGGCCAAAGGCAGAAAAGGAAATATCTTCGTATAAAAACCCGACAGAATCATTCTCAGAAACTGCTACTGTGATGTGTGCGTTCAACTCACAGAGTTTAACTTTTCTTTTCATTCAGCAGTTTGGAAACACTCTGTTTGTAAAGTCTGCAAGTGGATATCTTGGCCTCTTAGAGGCCTTCGTTGGAAACGGGTTTTTTCATGTAAGGATAGACAGAGGAATTCCCAGTAACTTCCTTGTGTTGTGTGCATTCAACTCACAGAGTTGAATGATTCTTTACACAGAGCAGATTTGAGACACTCTTTTGGTGGAATTTGTAAGTGGAGAATTCAGCCGCTTTGAGGTCAACGGTAGAAAAGGAAATATCTTCGTATAAAAACTAGACAGAATGATTCTCAGAAACTGTTTTGTGATGTGTGCGTTCAACTCACAGAGTTTAACCTTTCTTTTCAAAGAGCAGTTAGGAAACACTCTGTTTGTAAAGTCTGCAAGTGGATATTCAGACCTCTTTGAGGCCTTCGTTGGAAACGGGATTTCTTCATATTATGCTAGACAGATGAATTCTCAGTAACTTCCTTGTGTTGTGTGTATTCAACTCACAGAGTTGAACGATCCTTTACACAGAGCAGATTTGAAACACTGTTTTTCTGGAATTTGCAAGTGGAGATTTCAGCCGCTTTGAGGTCAATGGTAGAAAAGGAAATATCTTCGTATAAAAACTAGACAGAATGATTCTCAGAAACTCCTTTGTGATGTGTGCGTTCAACTCACAGGGTTTAACCTTTCTTTTCACAGAGCAGTTAGGAAACACTCTGTTTGTGAAGCCTGCCAGTGGATATTCGGACCTCTTTGAGGCCTTCGTTGGAAACGGGATTTCTTCATATTATGCTAGACAGAAGATTTCTCAGTAACTTCTTTGTGTTGTGTGTATGCAACTCACAGAGTTCAACCTTCCTTTAGACAGAGCAGATTTGAAACACTCTTTTTGTGGAATTTGCAAGTGGAGATTTCAAGCGCTTCGATGCCAATGGTAGAAAAGGAAATATCTTCGTATAAAAACAAGACAAACTCGTTCCCAGACACTGCGTAGTGATGTGTGTGTTTAACTCACAGAGTTTAACCTTTCTTTTCATACAGCATTCTGGAAACCCTGTGTTTGTAAAGTCTGCAAGTGGATATTTGGACCTCTTAGATGCCTTCGTTGGAAACGGGATTTCTTCATATAATGCTAGAGGGAAGAATTCTTAGTAACTTCTTTGTGTTGTGTGTATTCAACTGACAGAGTTGAACCTTCCTTTAGACAGAGCAGATTTGAAAGTCTCTTTTTGTGGAATTTGCAAGTGGAGATTTCAAGCGCTTTGAGGCCAAAAGCAGAAAAGGAAATATTTTCCTATAAAAACTCGACAGAATCTTTCTCAGAAACTGCTCTGGGATGTGTGCGTTCAACTCACAGAGTTTAACTTTTCTTTTCATTCAGCAGTTTGGAAACACTCTGTTTGGAAAGTCTGCACGTGGATATTTTGACCTCTTTGAGGCCTTCGTTGGAAACGGGTTTTTTTCATGTAACGCTAGACAGAAGAAATCTCAGTAACTTCCTTGTGTTATGTGTATTCAACTGACAGAGTTGAACCTTCCTTTAGACAGAGCAGATTCGAAGCACTCTTTTTCTGCAATTTGCAAGTGGAGACTTCAAGCGCTTTGAGGCCAAAGGCAGAAAAGGAAATATCTTCGTATAAAAACCCGACAGAATCATTCTCAGAAACTGCTCTGTGATGTGTGCGTTCAACTCACAGAGTTTAACTTTTCTTTTCATTCAGCAGTTTGGAAACACTCTGTTTGTAAAGTCTGCAAGTGGATATCTTGGCCTCTTAGAGGCCTTCGTTGGAAACGGGTTTTTTCATGTAAGGTTAGACAGAGGAATTCCCAGTAACTTCCTTGTGTTGTGTGCATTCAACTCACAGAGTTGAATGATTCTTTACACAGAGCTGATTTGAGACACACTTTTGGTGGAATTTGTAAGTGGAGAATTCAGACGCTTTGAGGTCAACGGTAGAAAAGGAAATATCTTCGTATAAAAACTAGAAAGAATGATTCTCAGAAACTGTTTTGTGATGTGTGCGTTCAACTCACAGAGTTTAACCTTTCTTTTCAAAGAGCAGTTAGGAAACACTCTGTTTGTAAAGTCTGCAAGTGGATATTCAGACCTCTTTGAGGCCTTCGTTGGAAACGGGATTTCTTCATATTATGCTAGACAGATGAATTCTCAGTAACTTCCTTGTGTTGTGTGTATTCAACTCACAGAGTTGAACGATCCTTTACACAGAGCAGATTTGAAACACTGTTTTTCTGGAATTTGCAAGTGGAGATTTCAGCCGCTTTGAGGTCAATGGTAGAAAAGGAAATATCTTCGTATAAAAACTAGACAGAATGATTCTCAGAAACTCCTTTGTGATGTGTGCGTTCAACTCACAGAGTTTAACCTTTCTTTTCACAGAGCAGTTAGGAAACACTCTGTTTGTGAAGCCTGCCAGTGGATATTCGGACCTCTTTGAGGCCTTCGTTGGAAACGGGATTTCTTCATATTATGCTAGACAGAAGATTTCTCAGTAACTTCTTTGTGTTGTGTGTATGCAACTCACAGAGTTCAACCTTCCTTTAGACAGAGCAGATTTGAAACACTCTTTTTGTGGAATTTGCAAGTGGAGATTTCAAGCGCTTCGATGCCAATGGTAGAAAAGGAAATATCTTCGTATAAAAACAAGACAAACTCGTTCCCAGACACTGCGTAGTGATGTGTGTGTTTAACTCACAGAGTTTAACCTTTCTTTTCATACAGCATTCTGGAAACCCTGTGTTTGTAAAGTCTGCAAGTGGATATTTGGACCTCTTAGATGCCTTCGTTGGAAACGGGATTTCTTCATATAATGCTAGAGGGAAGAATTCTTAGTAACTTCTTTGTGTTGTGTGTATTCAACTGACAGAGTTGAACCTTCCTTTAGACAGAGCAGATTTGAAAGTCTCTTTTTGTGGAATTTGCACGTGGAGATTTCAAGCGCTTTGAGGCCAAAAGCAGAAAAGGAAATATTTTCCTATAAAAACTCGACAGAATCTTTCTCAGAAACTGCTCTGGGATGTGTGCGTTCAACTCACAGAGTTTAACTTTTCTTTTCATTCAGCAGTTTGGAAACACTCTGTTTGGAAAGTCTGCACGTGGATATTTTGACCTCTTTGAGGCCTTCGTTGGAAACGGGTTTTTTTCATGTAAGGCTAGACAGAAGAAATCTCAGTAACTTCCTTGTGTTGTGTGTATTCAACTGACAGAGTTGAACCTTCCTTTAGACAGAGCAGATTCGAAACACTCTTTTTCTGCAATTTGCAAGTGGAGACTTCAAGCGCTTTGAGGCCAAAGGCAGAAAAGGAAATATCTTCGTATAAAAACCTGACAGAATCATTCTCAGAAACTGCTCTGTGATGTGTGCGTTCAACTCACAGAGTTTAACTTTTCTTTTCATTCAGCAGTTTGGAAACACTCTGTTTGTAAAGTCTGCAAGTGGATATCTTGGCCTCTTAGAGGCCTTCGTTGGAAACGGGTTTTTTCATGTAAGGTTAGACAGAGGAATTCCCAGTAACTTCCTTGTGTTGTGTGCATTCAACTCACAGAGTTGAATGATTCTTTACACAGAGCAGATTTGAGACACTCTTTTGGTGGAATTTGTAAGTGGAGAATTCAGCCGCTTTGAGGTCAACGGTAGAAAAGGAAATATCTTCGTATAAAAACTAGAC
Source organism: Homo sapiens (assembly GCF_000001405.40). Lineage (NCBI taxonomy): Eukaryota > Metazoa > Chordata > Mammalia > Primates > Hominidae > Homo > Homo sapiens. Next base: position 37,639,124 of record NC_000016.10, read on the forward strand.
AGAATGATTCTCAGAAACTGTTTTGTGATGTGTGCGTTCAACTCACAGAGTTTAACCTTTCTTTTCAAAGAGCAGTTAGGAAACACTCTGTTTGTAAAGTCTGCAAGTGGATATTCAGACCTCTTTGAGGCCTTCGTTGGAAACGGGATTTCTTCATATTATGCTAGACAGATGAATTCTCAGTAACTTCCTTGTGTTGTGTGTATTCAACTCACAGAGTTGAACGATCCTTTACACAGAGCAGATTTGAAACACTGTTTTTCTGGAATTTGCAAGTGGAGATTTCAGCCGCTTTGAGGTCAATGGTAGAAAAGGAAATATCTTCGTATAAAAACTAGACAGAATGATTCTCAGAAACTCCTTTGTGATGTGTGCGTTCAACTCACAGAGTTTAACCTTTCTTTTCACAGAGCAGTTAGGAAACACTCTGTTTGTGAAGCCTGCCAGTGGATATTCGGACCTCTTTGAGGCCTTCGTTGGAAACGGGATTTCTTCATATTATGCTAGACAGAAGATTTCTCAGTAACTTCTTTGGGTTGTGTGTATGCAACTCACAGAGTTCAACCTTCCTTTAGACAGAGCAGATTTGAAACACTCTTTTTGTGGAATTTGCAAGTGGAGATTTCAAACGCTTCGATGCCAATGGTAGAAAAGGAAATATCTTCGTATAAAAACAAGACAAACTCATTCCCAGACACTGCGTAGTGATGTGTGTGTTTAACTCACAGAGTTTAACCTTTCTTTTCATACAGCATTCTGGAAACCCTGTGTTTGTAAAGTCTGCAAGTGGATATTTGGACCTCTTAGATGCCTTCGTTGGAAACGGGATTTCTTCATATAATGCTAGAGGGAAGAATTCTTAGTAACTTCTTTGTGTTGTGTGTATTCAACTGACAGAGTTGAACCTTCCTTTAGACAGAGCAGATTTGAAAGTCTCTTTTTGTGGAATTTGCAAGTGGAGATTTCAAGCGCTTTGAGGCCAAAAGCAGAAAAGGAAATATTTTCCTATAAAAACTAGAGAGAATCATTCTCAGAAACTGCTCTGTGATGTGTGTGTTCAACTCACAGAGTTTAACTTTCTTTTCATTCAGCAGTTTGGAAACACTCTGTTTGGAAAGTCTGCACGTGGATATTTTGACCTCTTTGAGGCCTTCGTTGGAAACGGGTTTTTTTCATGTAAGGCTAGACAGAAGAAATCTCAGTAACTTCCTTGTGTTGTGTGTATTCAACTGACAGAGTTGAACCTTCCTTTAGACAGAGCAGATTCGAAACACTCTTTTTCTGCAATTTGCAAGTGGAGACTTCAAGCGCTTTGAGGCCAAAGGCAGAAAAGGAAATATCTTCGTATAAAAACCCGACAGAATCATTCTCAGAAACTGCTCTGTGATGTGTGCGTTCAACTCACAGAGTTTAACTTTTCTTTTCATTCAGCAGTTTGGAAACACTCTGTTTGTAAAGTCTGCAAGTGGATATCTTGGCCTCTTAGAGGCCTTCGTTGGAAACGGGTTTTTTCATGTAAGGTTAGACAGAGGAATTCCCAGTAACTTCCTTGTGTTGTGTGCATTCAACTCACAGAGTTGAATGATTCTTTACACAGAGCAGATTTGAGACACTCTTTTGGTGGAATTTGTAAGTGGAGAATTCAGCCGCTTTGAGGTCAACGGTAGAAAAGGAAATATCTTCGTATAAAAACTAGACAGAATGATTCTCAGAAACTGTTTTGTGATGTGTGCTTTCAACTCACAGAGTTTAACCTTTCTTTTCAAAGAGCAGTTAGGAAACACTCTGTTTGTAAAGTCTGCAAGTGGATATTCAGACCTCTTTGAGGCCTTCGTTGGAAACGGGATTTCTTCATATTATGCTAGACAGATGAATTCTCAGTAACTTCCTTGTGTTGTGTGTATTCAACTCACAGAGTTGAACGATCCTTTACACAGAGCAGATTTGAAACACTGTTTTTCTGGAATTTGCAAGTGGAGATGTCAGCCGCTTTGAGGTCAATGGTAGAAAAGGAAATATCTTCGTATAAAAACTAGACAGAATGATTCTCAGAAACTCCTTTGTGATGTGTGCGTTCAACTCACAGGGTTTAACCTTTCTTTTCACAGAGCAGTTAGGAAACACTCTGTTTGTGAAGCCTGCCAGTGGATATTCGGACCTCTTTGAGGCCTTCGTTGGAAACGGGATTTCTTCATATTATGCTAGACAGAAGATTTCTCAGTAACTTCTTTGTGTTGTGTGTATGCAACTCACAGAGTTCAACCTTCCTTTAGACAGAGCAGATTTGAAACACTCTTTTTGTGGAATTTGCAAGTGGAGATTTCAAGCGCTTCGATGCCAATGGTAGAAAAGGAAATATCTTCGTATAAAAACAAGACAAACTCGTTCCCAGACACTGCGTAGTGATGTGTGTGTTTAACTCACAGAGTTTCACCTTTCTTTTCATACAGCATTCTGGAAACCCTCTGTTTGTAAAGTCTGCAAGTGGATATTTGGACCTCTTAGATGCCTTCGTTGGAAACGGGATTTCTTCATATAATGCTAGAGGGAAGAATTCTTAGTAACTTCTTTGTGTTGTGTGTATTCAACTGACAGAGTTGAACCTTCCTTTAGACAGAGCAGATTTGAAAGTCTCTTTTTGTGGAATTTGCAAGTGGAGATTTCAAGCGCTTTGAGGCCAAAAGCAGAAAAGGAAATATTTTCCTATAAAAACTAGACAGAATCATTCTCAGAAACTGCTCTGTGATGTGTGTGTTCAACTCACAGAGTTTAACTTTCTTTTCATTCAGCAGTTTGGAAACACTCTGTTTGGAAAGTCTGCACGTGGATATTTTGACTTCTTTGAGGCCTTCGTTGGAAACGGGTTTTTTTCATGTAAGGCTAGACAGAAGAAATCTCAGTAACTTCCTTGTGTTGTGTGTATTCAACTGACAGAGTTGAACCTTCCTTTAGACAGAGCAGATTCGAAACACTCTTTTTCTGCAATTTGCAAGTGGAGACTTCAAGCGCTTTGAGGCCAAAGGCAGAAAAGGAAATATCTTCGTATAAAAACCCGACAGAATCATTCTCAGAAACTGCTCTGTGATGTGTGCGTTCAACTCACAGAGTTTAACTTTTCTTTTCATTCAGCAGTTTGGAAACACTCTGTTTGTAAAGTCTGCAAGTGGATATCTTGGCCTCTTAGAGGCCTTCGTTGGAAACGGGTTTTTTCATGTAAGGTTAGACAGAGGAATTCCCAGTAACTTCCTTGTGTTGTGTGCATTCAACTCACAGAGTTGAATGATTCTTTACACAGAGCAGATTTGAGACACTCTTTTGGTGGAATTTGTAAGTGGAGAATTCAGCCGCTTTGAGGTCAACGGTAGAAAAGGAAATATCTTCGTATAAAAACTAGACAGAATGATTCTCAGAAACTGTTTTGTGATGTGTGCGTTCAACTCACAGAGTTTAACCTTTCTTTTCAAAGAGCAGTTAGGAAACACTCTGTTTGTAAAGTCTGCAAGTGGATATTCAGACCTCTTTGAGGCCTTCGTTGGAAACGGGATTTCTTCATATTATGCTAGACAGATGAATTCTCAGTAACTTCCTTGTGTTGTGTGTATTCAACTCACAGAGTTGAACGATCCTTTACACAGAGCAGATTTGAAACACTGTTTTTCTGGAATTTGCAAGTGGAGATTTCAGCCGCTTTGAGGTCAATGGTAGAAAAGGAAATATCTTCGTATAAAAACTAGACAGAATGATTCTCAGAAACTCCTTTGTGATGTGTGCGTTCAACTCACAGAGTTTAACCTTTCTTTTCACAGAGCAGTTAGGAAACACTCTGTTTGTGAAGCCTGCCAGTGGATATTCGGACCTCTTTGAGGCCTTCGTTGGAAACGGGATTTCTTCATATTATGCTAGACAGAAGATTTCTCAGTAACTTCTTTGTGTTGTGTGTATGCAACTCACAGAGTTCAACCTTCCTTTAGACAGAGCAGATTTGAAACACTCTTTTTGTGGAATTTGCAAGTGGAGATTTCAAGCGCTTCGATGCCAATGGTAGAAAAGGAAATATCTTCGTATAAAAACAAGACAAACTCGTTCCCAGACACTGCGTAGTGATGTGTGTGTTTAACTCACAGAGTTTCACCTTTCTTTTCATACAGCATTCTGGAAACCCTCTGTTTGTAAAGTCTGCAAGTGGATATTTGGACCTCTTAGATGCCTTCGTTGGAAACGGGATTTCTTCATATAATGCTAGAGGGAAGAATTCTTAGTAACTTCTTTGTGTTGTGTGTATTCAACTGACAGAGTTGAACCTTCCTTTAGACAGAGCAGATTTGAAAGTCTCTTTTTGTGGAATTTGCAAGTGGAGATTTCAAGCGCTTTGAGGCCAAAAGCAGAAAAGGAAATATTTTCCTATAAAAACTCGACAGAATCTTTCTCAGAAACTGCTCTGGGATGTGTGCGTTCAACTCACAGAGTTTAACTTTTCTTTTCATTCAGCAGTTTGGAAACACTCTGTTTGGAAAGTCTGCACGTGGATATTTTGACCTCTTTGAGGCCTTCGTTGGAAACGGGTTTTTTTCATGTAAGGCTAGACAGAAGAAATCTCAGTAACTTCCTTGTGTTGTGTGTATTCAACTGACAGAGTTGAACCTTCCTTTAGACAGAGCAGATTCGAAACACTCTTTTTCTGCAATTTGCAAGTGGAGACTTCAAGCGCTTTGAGGCCAAAGGCAGAAAAGGAAATATCTTCGTATAAAAACCCGACAGAATCATTCTCAGAAACTGCTCTGTGATGTGTGCGTTCAACTCACAGAGTTTAACTTTTCTTTTCATTCAGCAGTTTGGAAACACTCTGTTTGTAAAGTCTGCAAGTGGATATCTTGGCCTCTTAGAGGCCTTCGTTGGAAACGGGTTTTTTCATGTAAGGATAGACAGAGGAATTCCCAGTAACTTCCTTGTGTTGTGTGCATTCAACTCACAGAGTTGAACGATTCTTTACACAGAGCAGATTTGAGACACTCTTTTGGTGGAATTTGTAAGTGGAGAATTCAGCCGCTTTGAGGTCAACGGTAGAAAAGGAAATATCTTCGTATAAAAACTAGACAGAATGATTCTCAGAAACTGTTTTGTGATGTGTGCGTTCAACTCACAGAGTTTAACCTTTCTTTTCAGAGAGCAGTTAGGAAACACTCTGTAAAGTCTGCAAGTGGATATTCAGACCTCTTTGAGGCCTTCCTTGGAAACGGGATTTCTTCATATTATGCTAGACAGATGAATTCTCAGTAACTTCCTTGTGTTGTGTGTATTCAACTCACAGAGTTGAACGATCCTTTACACAGAGCAGATTTGAAACACTGTTTTTCTGGAATTTGCAAGTGGAGATTTCAGCCGCTTTGAGGTCAATGGTAGAAAAGGAAATATCTTCGTATAAAAACTAGACAGAATGATTCTCAGAAACTCCTTTGTGATGTGTGCGTTCAACTCACAGAGTTTAACCTTTCTTTTCACAGAGCAGTTAGGAAACACTCTGTTTGTGAAGCCTGCCAGTGGATATTCGGACCTCTTTGAGGCCTTCGTTGGAAACGGGATTTCTTCATATTATGCTAGACAGAAGATTTCTCAGTAACTTCTTTGTGTTGTGTGTATGCAACTTACAGAGTTCAACCTTCCTTTAGAGAGAGCATATTTGAAACACTCTTTTTGTGGAATTTGCAAGTGGAGATTTCAAGCGCTTCGATGCAAATGGTAGAAAAGGAAATATCTTCGTAGAAAAACAAGACAAACTCGTTCCCAGACACTGCGTAGTGATGTGTGTGTTTAACTCACAGAGTTTAACCTTTCTTTTCATACAGCATTCTGGAAACCCTGTGTTTGTAAAGTCTGCAAGTGGATATTTGGACCTCTTAGATGCCTTCGTTGGAAACGGGATTTCTTCATATAATGCTAGAGGGAAGAATTCTTAGTAACTTCTTTGTGTTGTGTGTATTCAACTGACAGAGTTGAACCTTCCTTTAGACAGAGCAGATTTGAAAGTCTCTTTTTGTGGAATTTGCAAGTGGAGATTTCAAGCGCTTTGAGGCCAAAAGCAGAAAAGGAAATATTTTCGTATAAAAACTCGACAGAATCTTTCTCAGAAACTGCTCTGGGATGTGTGCGTTCAACTCACAGAGTTTAACTTTTCTTTTCATTCAGCAGTTTGGAAACACTCTGGAAAGTCTGCACGTGGATATTTTGACCTCTTTGAGGCCTTCGTTGGAAACGGGTTTTTTTCATGTAAGGCTAGACAGAAGAAATCTCAGTAACTTCCTTGTGTTGTGTGTATTCAACTGACAGAGTTGAACCTTCCTTTAGACAGAGCAGATTCGAAACACTCTTTTTCTGCAATTTGCAAGTGGAGACTTCAAGCGCTTTGAGGCCAAAGGCAGAAAAGGAAATATCTTCGTATAAAAACCCGACAGAATCATTCTCAGAAACTGCTCTGTGATGTGTGCGTTCAACTCACAGAGTTTAACTTTTCTTTTCATTCAGCAGTTTGGAAACACTCTGTTTGTAAAGTCTGCAAGTGGATATCTTGGCCTCTTAGAGGCCTTCGTTGGAAACGGGTTTTTTCATGTAAGGTTAGACAGAGGAATTCCCAGTAACTTCCTTGTGTTGTGTGCATTCAACTCACAGAGTTGAATGATTCTTTACACAGAGCAGATTTGAGACACTCTTTTGGTGGGATTTGTAAGTGGAGAATTCAGCCGCTTTGAGGTCAACGGTAGAAAAGGAAATATCTCCGTATAAAAACTAGACAGAATGATTCTCAGAAACTGTTTTGTGATGTGTGCGTTCAACTCACAGAGTTTAACCTTTCTTTTCAAAGAGCAGTTAGGAAACACTCTGTTTGTAAAGTCTGCAAGAGGATATTCAGACCTCTTTGAGGCCTTCGTTGGAAACGGGATTTCTTCATATTATGCTAGACAGATGAATTCTCAGTAACTTCCTTGTGTTGTGTGTATTCAACTCACAGAGTTGAACGATCCTTTACACAGAGCAGATTTGAAACACTGTTTTTCTGGAATTTGCAAGTGGAGATTTCAGCCGCTTTGAGGTCAATGGTAGAAAAGGAAATATCTTCGTATAAAAACTAGACAGAATGATTCTCAGAAACTCCTTTGTGATGTGTGCGTTCAACTCACAGAGTTTAACCTTTCTTTTCACAGAGCAGTTAGGAAACACTCTGTTTGTGAAGCCTGCCAGTGGATATTCGGACCTCTTTGAGGCCTTCGTTGGAAACGGGATTTCTTCATATTATGCTAGACAGAAGATTTCTCAGTAACTTCTTTGTGTTGTGTGTATGCAACTCACAGAGTTCAACCTTCCTTTAGACAGAGCAGATTTGAAACACTCTTTTTGTGGAATTTGCAAGTGGAGATTTCAAGCGCTTCGATGCCAATGGTAGAAAAGGAAATATCTTCGTATAAAAACAAGACAAACTCGTTCCCAGACACTGCGTAGTGATGTGTGTGTTTAACTCACAGAGTTTAACCTTTCTTTTCATACGGCATTCTGGAAACCCTCTGTTTGTAAAGTCTGCAAGTGCATATTTGGACCTCTTAGATGCCTTCGTTGGAAACGGGATTTCTTCATATAATGCTAGAGGGAAGATTTCTCAGTAACTTCTTTGTGTTGTGTGTATGCAACTCACAGAGTTCAACCTTCCTTTAGACAGAGCAGATTTGAAACACTCTTTTTGTGGAATTTGCAAGTGGAGATTTCAAGCGCTTTGAGGCCAAAAGCAGAAAAGGAAATATTTTCCTATAAAAACTAGACAGAATCTTTCTCAGAAACTGCTCTGTGATGTGTGCGTTCAACTCACAGAGTTTAACTTTTCTTTTCATTCAGCAGTTTGGAAACACTCTGTTTGTAAAGTCTGCAAGTGGATATCTTGGCCTCTTAGAGGCCTTCGTTGGAAACGGGTTTTTTCATGTAAGGATAGACAGAGGAATTCCCAGTAACTTCCTTGTGTTGTGTGCATTCAACTCACAGAGTTGAATGATTCTTTACACAGAGCAGATTTGAGACACTCTTTTGGTGGAATTTGTAAGTGGAGAATTCAGCCGCTTTGAGGTCAACGGTAGAAAAGGAAATATCTTCGTATAAAAACTAGACAGAATGATTCTCAGAAACTGTTTTGTGATGTGTGCGTTCAACTCACAGAGTTTAACCTTTCTTTTCAAAGAGCAGTTAGGAAACACTCTGTTTGTAAAGTCTGCAAGTGGATATTCAGACCTCTTTGAGGCCTTCGTTGGAAACGGGATTTCTTCATATTATGCTAGACAGATGAATTCTCAGTAACTTCCTTGTGTTGTGTGTATTCAACTCACAGAGTTGAACGATCCTTTACACAGAGCAGATTTGAAACACTGTTTTTCTGGAATTTGCAAGTGGAGATTTCAGCCGCTTTGAGGTCAATGGTAGAAAAGGAAATATCTTCGTATAAAAACTAGACAGAATGATTCTCAGAAACTCCTTTGTGATGTGTGCGTTCAACTCACAGAGTTTAACCTTTCTTTTCACAGAGCAGTTAGGAAACACTCTGTTTGTGAAGCCTGCCAGTGGATATTCGGACCTCTTTGAGGCCTTCGTTGGAAACGGGATTTCTTCATATTATGCTAGACAGAAGATTTCTCAGTAACTTCTTTGGGTTGTGTGTATGCAACTCACAGAGTTCCACCTTCCTTTAGACAGAGCAGATTTGAAACACTCTTTTTGTGGAATTTGCAAGTGGAGATTTCAAACGCTTCGATGCCAATGGTAGAAAAGGAAATATCTTCGTATAAAAACAAGACAAAACTCGTTCCCAGCACACTGCGTAGTGATGTGTGTGTTTAACTCACAGAGTTTAACCTTTCTTTTCATACAGCATTCTGGAAACCCTGTGTTTGTAAAGTCTGCAAGTGGATATTTGGACCTCTTAGATGCCTTCGTTGGAAACGGGATTTCTTCATATAATGCTAGAGGGAAGAATTCTTAGTAACTTCTTTGTGTTGTGTGTATTCAACTGACAGAGTTGAACCTTCCTTTAGACAGAGCAGATTTGAAAGTCTCTTTTTGTGGAATTTGCAAGTGGAGATTTCAAGCGCTTTGAGGCCAAAAGCAGAAAAGGAAATATTTTCCTATAAAAACTCGACAGAATCTTTCTCAGAAACTGCTCTGGGATGTGTGCGTTCAACTCACAGAGTTTAACTTTTCTTTTCATTCAGCAGTTTGGAAACACTCTGTTTGGAAAGTCTGCACGTGGATATTTTGACCTCTTTGAGGCCTTCGTTGGAAACGGGTTTTTTTCATGTAAGGCTAGACAGAAGAAATCTCAGTAACTTCCTTGTGTTGTGTGTATTCAACTGACAGAGTTGAACCTTCCTTTAGACAGAGCAGATTCGAAACACTCTTTTTCTGCAATTTGCAAGTGGAGACTTCAAGCGCTTTGAGGCCAAAGGCAGAAAAGGAAATATCTTCGTATAAAAACCCGACAGAATCATTCTCAGAAACTGCTCTGTGATGTGTGCGTTCAACTCACAGAGTTTAACTTTTCTTTTCATTCAGCAGTTTGGAAACACTCTGTTTGTAAAGTCTGCAAGTGGATATCTTGGCCTCTTAGAGGCCTTCGTTGGAAACGGGTTTTTTCATGTAAGGATAGACAGAGGAATTCCCAGTAACTTCCTTGTGTTGTGTGCATTCAACTCACAGAGTTGAATGATTCTTTACACAGAGCAGATTTGAGACACTCTTTTGGTGGAATTTGTAAGTGGAGAATTCAGCCGCTTTGAGGTCAACGGTAGAAAAGGAAATATCTTCGTATAAAAACTAGACAGAATGATTCTCAGAAACTGTTTTGTGATGTGTGCATTCAACTCACACAGTTTAACCTTTCTTTTCAGAGAGCAGTTAGGAAACACTCTGTTTGTAAAGTCTGCAAGTGGATATTCAGACCTCTTTGAGGCCTTCGTTGGAAACGGGATTTCTTCATATTATGCTAGACAGATGAATTCTCAGTAACTTCCTTGTGTTGTGTGTATTCAACTCACAGAGTTGAACGATCCTTTACACAGAGCAGATTTGAAACACTGTTTTTCTGGAATTTGCAAGTGGAGATTTCAGCCGATTTGAGGTCAATGGTAGAAAAGGAAATATCTTCGTATAAAAACTAGACAGAATGATTCTCAGAAACTCCTTTGTGATGTGTGCGTTCAACTCACAGAGTTTAACCTTTCTTTTCACAGAGCAGTTAGGAAACACTCTGTTTGTGAAGCCTGCCAGTGGATATTCGGACCTCTTTGAGGCCTTCGTTGGAAACGGGATTTCTTCATATTATGCTAGACAGAAGATTTCTCAGTAACTTCTTTGTGTTGTGTGTATGCAACTCACAGAGTTCAACCTTCCTTTAGACAGAGCAGATTTGAAACACTCTTTTTGTGGAATTTGCAAGTGGAGATTTCAAGCGCTTCGATGCCAATGGTAGAAAAGGAAATATCTTCGTATAAAAACAAGACAAACTCGTTCCCAGACACTGCGTAGTGATGTGTGTGTTTAACTCACAGAGTTTAACCTTTCTTTTCATACAGCATTCTGGAAACCCTGTGTTTGTAAAGTCTGCAAGTGGATATTTGGACCTCTTAGATGCCTTCGTTGGAAACGGGATTTCTTCATATAATGCTAGAGGGAAGAATTCTTAGTAACTTCTTTGTGTTGTGTGTATTCAACTGACAGAGTTGAACCTTCCTTTAGACAGAGCAGATTTGAAAGTCTCTTTTTGTGGAATTTGCAAGTGGAGATTTCAAGCGCTTTGAGGCCAAAAGCAGAAAAGGAAATATTTTCCTATAAAAACTAGACAGAATCATTCTCAGAAACTGCTCTGTGATGTGTGCGTTCAACTCACAGAGTTTAACTTTTCTTTTCATTCAGCAGTTTGGAAACACTGTTTGGAAAGTCTGCACGTGGATATTTTGACCTCTTTGAGGCCTTCGTTGGAAACGGGTTTTTTTCATGTAAGGCTAGACAGAAGAAATCTCAGTAACTTCCTTGTGTTGTGTGTATTCAACTGACAGAGTTGAACCTTACTTTAGACAGAGCAGATTCGAAACGCTCTTTTTCTGCAATTTGCAAGTGGAGACTTCAAGCGCTTTGAGGCCAAAGGCAGAAAAGGAAATATCTTCGTATAAAAACCCGACAGAATCATTCTCAGAAACTGCTCTGTGATGTGTGCGTTCAACTCACAGAGTTTAACTTTTCTTTTCATTCAGCAGTTTGGAAACACTCTGTTTGTAAAGTCTGCAAGTGGATATCTTGGCCTCTTAGAGGCCTTCGTTGGAAACGGGTTTTTTCATGTAAGGATAGACAGAGGAATTCCCAGTAACTTCCTTGTGTTGTGTGCATTCAACTCACAGAGTTGAATGATTCTTTACACAGAGCGGTTTTGAGACACTCTTTTGGTGGAATTTGTAAGTGGAGAATTCAGCCGCTTTGAGGTCAACGGTAGAAAAGGAAATATCTTCGTATAAAAACTAGACAGAATGATTCTCAGAAACTGTTTTGTGATGTGTGCGTTCAACTCACAGAGTTTAACCTTTCTTTTCAAAGAGCAGTTAGGAAACACTCTGTTTGTAAAGTCTGCAAGTGGATATTCAGACCTCTTTGAGGCCTTCGTTGGAAACGGGATTTCTTCATATTATGCTAGACAGATGAATTCTCAGTAACTTCCTTGTGTTGTGTGTATTCAACTCACAGAGTTGAACGATCCTTTACACAAAGCAGATTTGAAACATTGTTTTTCTGGAATTTGCAAGTGGAGATTTCAGCCGCTTTGAGGTCAATGGTAGAAAAGGAAATATCTTCGTATAAAAACTAGACAGAATGATTCTCAGAAACTCCTTTGTGATGTGTGCGTTCAACTCACAGGGTTTAACCTTTCTTTTCACAGAGCAGTTAGGAAACACTCTGTTTGTGAAGCCTGCCAGTGGATATTCGGACCTCTTTGAGGCCTTCGTTGGAAACGGGATTTCTTCATATTATGCTAGACAGAAGATTTCTCAGTAACTTCTTTGTGTTGTGTGTATGCAACTCACAGAGTTCAACCTTCCTTTAGACAGAGCAGATTTGAAACACTCTTTTTGTGGAATTTGCAAGTGGAGATTTCAAGCGCTTCGATGCCAATGGTAGAAAAGGAAATATCTTCGTATAAAAACAAGACAAACTCGTTCCCAGACACTGCGTAGTGATGTGTGTGTTTAACTCACTGAGTTTCACCTTTCTTTTCATACAGCATTCTGGAAACCCTCTGTTTGTAAAGTCTGCAAGTGGATATTTGGACCTCTTAGATGCCTTCGTTGGAAACGGGATTTCTTCATATAATGCTAGAGGGAAGAATTCTTAGTAACTTCTTTGTGTTGTGTGCATTCAACTGACAGAGTTGAACCTTCCTTTAGACAGAGCAGATTTGAAAGTCTCTTTTTGTGGAATTTGCAAGTGGAGATTTCAAGCGCTTTGAGGCCAAAAGCAGAAAAGGAAATATTTTCCTATAAAAACTCGACAGAATCTTTCTCAGAAACTGCTCTGGGATGTGTGCGTTCAACTCACAGAGTTTAACTTTTCTTTTCATTCAGCAGTTTGGAAACACTCTGTTTGGAAAGTCTGCACGTGGATATTTTGACCTCTTTGAGGCCTTCGTTGGAAACGGGTTTTTTTCATGTAAGGCTAGACAGAAGAAATCTCAGTAAATTCCCTTGTGTTGTGTGTATTCAACTGACAGAGTTGAACCTTCCTTTAGACAGAGCAGATTCGAAACACTCTTTTTCTGCAATTTGCAAGTGGAGACTTCAAGCGCTTTGAGGCCAAAGGCAGAAAAGGAAATATCTTCGTATAAAAACCCGACAGAATCATTCTCAGAAACTGCTCTGTGATGTGTGCGTTCAACTCACAGAGTTTAACTTTTCTTTTCATTCAGCAGTTTGGAAACACTCTGTTTGTAAAGTCTGCAAGTGGATATCTTGGCCTCTTAGAGGCCTTCGTTGGAAACGGGTTTTTTCATGTAAGGTTAGACAGAGGAATTCCCAGTAACTTCCTTGTGTTGTGTGCATTCAACTCACAGAGTTGAATGATTCTTTACACAGAGCAGATTTGAGACACTCTTTTGGTGGAATTTGTAAGTGGAGAATTCAGCCGCTTTGAGGTCAACGGTAGAAAAGGAAATATCTTCGTATAAAAACTAGACAGAATGATTCTCAGAAACTGTTTTGTGATGTGTGCGTTCAACTCACAGAGTTTAACCTTTCTTTTCAAAGAGCAGTTAGGAAACACTCTGTTTGTAAAGTCTGCAAGTGGATATTCAGACCTCTTTGAGGCCTTCGTTGGAAACGGGATTTCTTCATATTATGCTAGACAGATGAATTCTCAGTAACTTCCTTGTGTTGTGTGTATTCAACTCACAGAGTTTAACGATCCTTTACACAGAGCAGATTTGAAACACTGTTTTTCTGGAATTTGCAAGTGGAGATTTCAGCCGCTTTGAGGTCAATGGTAGAAAAGGAAATATCTTCGTATAAAAACTAGACAGAATGATTCTCAGAAACTCCTTTGTGATGTGTGCGTTCAACTCACAGAGTTTAACCTTTCTTTTCACAGAGCAGTTAGGAAACACTCTGTTTGTGAAGCCTGCCAGTGGATATTCGGACCTCTTTGAGGCCTTCGTTGGAAACGGGATTTCTTCATATTATGCTAGACAGAAGATTTCTCAGTAACTTCTTTGTGTTGTGTGTATGCAACTCACAGAGTTCAACCTTCCTTTAGACAGAGCAGATTTGAAACACTCTTTTTGTGGAATTTGCAAGTGGAGATTTCAAGCGCTTCGATGCCAATGGTAGAAAAGGAAATATCTTCGTATAAAAACAAGACAAACTCGTTCCCAGACACTGCGTAGTGATGTGTGTGTTTAACTCACAGAGTTTCACCTTTCTTTTCATACAGCATTCTGGAAACCCTGTGTTTGTAAAGTCTGCAAGTGGATATTTGGACCTCTTAGATGCCTTCGTTGGAAACGGGATTTCTTCATATAATGCTAGAGGGAAGAATTCTTAGTAACTTCTTTGTGTTGTGTGTATTCAACTGACAGAGTTGAACCTTCCTTTAGACAGAGCAGATTTGAAAGTCTCTTTTTGTGGAATTTGCAAGTGGAGATTTCAAGCGCTTTGAGGCCAAAAGCAGAAAAGGAAATATTTTCCTATAAAAACTCGACAGAATCTTTCTCAGAAACTGCTCTGGGATGTGTGCGTTCAACTCACAGAGTTTAACTTTTCTTTTCATTCTGCAGTTTGGAAACACTCTGTTTGGAAAGTCTGCACGTGGATATTTTGACCTCTTTGAGGCCTTCGTTGGAAACGGGTTTTTTTCATGTAAGGCTAGACAGAAGAAATCTCAGTAACTTCCTTGTGTTGTGTGTATTCAACTGACAGAGTTGAACCTTCCTTTAGACAGAGCAGATTCGAAACACTCTTTTTCTGCAATTTGCAAGTGGAGACTTCAAGCGCTTTGAGGCCAAAGGCAGAAAAGGAAATATCTTCGTATAAAAACCCGACAGAATCATTCTCAGAAACTGCTCTGTGATGTGTGCGTTCAACTCACAGAGTTTAACTTTTCTTTTCATTCAGCAGTTTGGAAACACTCTGTTTGTAAAGTCTGCAAGTGGATATCTTGGCCTCTTAGAGGCCTTCGTTGGAAACGGGTTTTTTCATGTAAGGATAGACAGAGGAATTCCCAGTAACTTCCTTGTGTTGTGTGCATTCAACTCACAGAGTTGAATGATTCTTTACACAGAGCAGATTTGAGACACTCTTTGGGTGGAATTTGTAAGTGGAGAATTCAGCCGCTTTGAGGTCAACGGTAGAAAAGGAAATATCTTCGTATAAAATCTAGACAGAATGATTCTCAGAAACTGTTTTTTGATGTGTGCGTTCAACTCACAGAGTTTAACCTTTCTTTTCAGAGAGCAGTTAGGAAACACTCTGTTTGTAAAGTCTGCAAGTGGATATTCAGACCTCTTTGAGGCCTTCGTTGGAAACGGGATTTCTTCATATTATGCTAGACAGATGAATTCTCAGTAACTTCCTTCTGTTGTGTGTATTCAACTCACAGAGTTGAACGATCCTTTACACAGAGCAGATTTGAAACACTGTTTTTCTGGAATTTGCAAGTGGAGATTTCAGCCGCTTTGAGGTCAATGGTAGAAAAGGAAATATCTTCGTATAAAAACTAGACAGAATGATTCTCAGAAACTCCTTTGTGATGTGTGCGTTCAACTCACAGAGTTTAACCTTTCTTTTCACAGAGCAGTTAGGAAACACTCTGTTTGTGAAGCCTGCCAGTGGATATTCGGACCTCTTTGAGGCCTTCGTTGGAAACGGGATTTCTTCATATTATGCTAGACAGAAGATTTCTCAGTAACTTCTTTGTGTTGTGTGTATGCAACTTACAGAGTTCAACCTTCCTTTAGAGAGAGCATATTTGAAACACTCTTTTTGTGGAATTTGCAAGTGGAGATTTCAAGCGCTTCGATGCAAATGGTAGAAAAGGAAATATCTTCGTATAAAAACAAGACAAACTCGTTCCCAGACACTGCGTAGTGATGTGTGTGTTTAACTCACAGAGTTTAACCTTTCTTTTCATACAGCATTCTGGAAACCCTGTGTTTGTAAAGTCTGCAAGTGGATATTTGGACCTCTTAGATGCCTTCGTTGGAAACGGGATTTCTTCATATAATGCTAGAGGGAAGAATTCTTAGTAACTTCTTTGTGTTGTGTGTATTCAACTGACAGAGTTGAACCTTCCTTTAGACAGAGCAGATTTGAAAGTCTCTTTTTGTGGAATTTGCAAGTGGAGATTTCAAGCGCTTTGAGGCCAAAAGCAGAAAAGGAAATATTTTCCTATAAAAACTCGACAGAATCTTTCTCAGAAACTGCTCTGGGATGTGTGCGTTCAACTCACAGAGTTTAACTTTTCTTTTCATTCAGCAGTTTGGAAACACTCTGTTTGGAAAGTCTGCACGTGGATATTTTGACCTCTTTGAGGCCTTCGTTGGAAACGGGTTTTTTTCATGTAAGGCTAGACAGAAGAAATCTCAGTAACTTCCTTGTGTTGTGTGTATTCAACTGACAGAGTTGAACCTTCCTTTAGACAGAGCAGATTCGAAACACTCTTTTTCTGCAATTTGCAAGTGGAGACTTCAAGCGCTTTGAGGCCAAAGGCAGAAAAGGAAATATCTTCGTATAAAAACCCGACAGAATCATTCTCAGAAACTGCTCTGTGATGTGTGCGTTCAACTCACAGAGTTTAACTTTTCTTTTCATTCAGCAGTTTGGAAACACTCTGTTTGTAAAGTCTGCAAGTGGATATCTTGGCCTCTTAGAGGCCTTCGTTGGAAACGGGTTTTTTCATGTAAGGTTAGACAGAGGAATTCCCAGTAACTTCCTTGTGTTGTGTGCATTCAACTCACAGAGTTGAATGATTCTTTACACAGAGCAGATTTGAGACACTCTTTTGGTGGAATTTGTAAGTGGAGAATTCAGCCGCTTTGAGGTCAACGGTAGAAAAGGAAATATCTTCGTATAAAAACTAGACAGAATGATTCTCAGAAACTGTTTTGTGATGTGTGCGTTCAACTCACAGAGTTTAACCTTTCTTTTCAAAGAGCAGTTAGGAAACACTCTGTAAAATCTGCAAGTGGATATTCAGACCTCTTTGAGGCCTTCGTTGGAAACGGGATTTCTTCATATAATGCTAGAGGGAAGAATTCTTAGTAACTTCTTTGTGTTGTGTGTATTGAACTGACAGAGTTGAACCTTCCTTTAGACAGAGCAGATTTGAAAGTCTCTTTTTGTGGAATTTGCAAGTGGAGATTTCAAGCGCTTTGAGGCCAAAAGCAGAAAAGGAAATATTTTCTTATAAAAACTAGAGAGAATCATTCTCAGAAACTGCTCTGTGATGTGTGTGTTCAACTCACAGAGTTTACCTTTCTTTTCATTCAGCAGTTTGGAAACACTCTGTTTGGAAAGTCTGCACGTGGATATTTTGACCTCTTTGAGGCCTTCGTTGGAAACGGGTTTTTTTCATGTAAGGCTAGACAGAAGAAATCTCAGTAACTTCCTTGTGTTGTGTGTATTCAACTGACAGAGTTGAACCTTCCTTTAGACAGAGCAGATTCGAAACACTCTTTTTCTGCAATTTGCAAGTGGAGACTTCAAGCGCTTTGAGGCCAAAGGCAGAAAAGGAAATATCTTCGTATAAAAACCCGACAGAATCATTCTCAGAAACTGCTCTGTGATGTGTGCGTTCAACTCACAGAGTTTAACTTTTCTTTTCATTCAGCAGTTTGGAAACACTCTGTTTGTAAAGTCTGCAAGTGGATATCTTGGCCTCTTAGAGGCCTTCGTTGGAAACGGGTTTTTTCATGTAAGGATAGACACAGGAATTCCCAGTAACTTCCTTGTGTTGTGTGCATTCAACTCACAGAGTTGAATGATTCTTTACACAGAGCAGATTTGAGACACTCTTTTGGTGGAATTTGTAAGTGGAGAATTCAGCCGCTTTGAGGTCAACGGTAGAAAAGGAAATATCTTCGTATAAAAACTAGACAGATGATTCTCAGAAACTGTTTTGTGATGTGTGCGTTCAACTCACAGAGTTTAACCTTTCTTTTCAAAGAGCAGTTAGGAAACACTCTGTTTGTAAAGTCTGCAAGTGGATATTCAGACCTCTTTGAGGCCTTCGTTGGAAACGGGATTTCTTCATATTATGCTAGACAGATGAATTCTCAGTAACTTCCTTGTGTTGTGTGTATTCAACTCACAGAGTTGAACGATCCTTTACACAGATCAGATTTGAAACACAGTTTTTCTGGAATTTGCAAGTGGAGATTTCAGCCGCTTTGAGGTCAATGGTAGAAAAAGAAATATCTTCGTATAAAAACTAGACAGAATGATTCTCAGAAACTCCTTTGTGATGTGTGCGTTCAACTCACAGAGTTTAACCTTTCTTTTCACAGAGCAGTTAGGAAACACTCTGTTTGTGAAGCCTGCCAGTGGATATTCGGACCTCTTTGAGGCCTTCGTTGGAAACGGGATTTCTTCATATTATGCTAGACAGAAGATTTCTCAGTAACTTCTTTGTGTTGTGTGTATGCAACTCACAGAGTTCAACCTTCCTTTAGACAGAGCAGATTTGAAACACTCTTTTTGTGGAATTTGCAAGTGGAGATTTCAAGCGCTTCGATGCCAATGGTAGAAAAGGAAATATCTTCGTATAAAAACAAGACAAACTCGTTCCCAGACACTGCGTAGTGATGTGTGTGTTTAACTCACAGAGTTTAACCTTTCTTTTCATACAGCATTCTGGAAACCCTGTGTTTGTAAAGTCTGCAAGTGGATATTTGGACCTCTTAGATGCCTTCGTTGGAAACGGGATTTCTTCATATAATGCTAGAGGGAAGAATTCTTAGTAACTTCTTTGTGTTGTGTGTATTCAACTGACAGAGTTGAACCTTCCTTTAGACAGAGCAGATTTTAAAGTCTCTTTTTGTGGAATTTGCAAGTGGAGATTTCAAGCGCTTTGAGGCCAAAAGCAGAAAAGGAAATATTTTCCTATAAAAACTAGACAGAATCTTTCTCAGAAACTGCTCTGGGATGTGTGCGTTCAACTCACAGAGTTTAACTTTTCTTTTCATTCAGCAGTTTGGAAACACTCTGTTTGGAAAGTCTGCACGTGGATATTTTGACCTCTTTGAGGCCTTCGTTGGAAACGGGTTTTTTTCATGTAAGGCTAGACAGAAGAAATCTCAGTAACTTCCTTGTGTTGTGTGTATTCAACTGACAGAGTTGAACCTTCCTTTAGACAGAGCAGATTCGAAACACTCTTTTTCTGCAATTTGCAAGTGGAGACTTCAAGCGCTTTGAGGCCAAAGGCAGAAAAGGAAATATCTTCGTATAAAAACCCGACAGAATCATTCTCAGAAACTGCTCTGTGATGTGTGCGTTCAACTCACAGAGTTTAACTTTTCTTTTCATTCAGCAGTTTGGAAACACTCTGTTTGTAAAGTCTGCAAGTGGATATCTTGGCCTCTTAGAGGCCTTCGTTGGAAACGGGTTTTTTCATGTAAGGTTAGACAGAGGAATTCCCAGTAACTTCCTTGTGTTGTGTGCATTCAACTCACAGAGTTGAATGATTCTTTACACAGAGCAGATTTGAGACACTCTTTTGGTGGAATTTGTAAGTGGAGAATTCAGCCGCTTTGAGGTCAACGGTAGAAAAGGAAATATCTTCGTATAAAAACTAGACAGAATGATTCTCAGAAACTGTTTTGTGATGTGTGCGTTCAACTCACAGAGTTTAACCTTTCTTTTCAAAGAGCAGTTAGGAAACACTCTGTTTGTAAAGTCTGCAAGTGGATATTCAGACCTCTTTGAGGCCTTCGTTGGAAACGGGATTTCTTCATATTATGCTAGACAGATGAATTCTCAGTAACTTCCTTGTGTTGTGTGTATTCAACTCACAGAGTTGAACGATCCTTTACACAGAGCAGATTTGAAACACTGTTTTTCTGGAATTTGCAAGTGGAGATTTCAGCCGCTTTGAGGTCAATGGTAGAAAAGGAAATATCTTCGTATAAAAACTAGACAGAATGATTCTCAGAAACTCCTTTGTGATGTGTGCGTTCAACTCACAGAGTTTAACCTTTCTTTTCACAGAGCAGTTAGGAAACACTCTGTTTGTGAAGCCTGCCAGTGGATATTCGGACCTCTTTGAGGCCTTCGTTGGAAACGGGATTTCTTCATATTATGCTAGACAGAAGATTTCTCAGTAACTTCTTTGTGTTGTGTGTATGCAACTCACAGAGTTCAACCTTCCTTTAGACAGAGCAGATTTGAAACACTCTTTTTGTGGAATTTGCAAGTGGAGATTTCAAGCGCTTCGATGCCAATGGTAGAAAAGGAAATATCTTCGTATAAAAACAAGACAAACTCGTTCCCAGACACTGCGTAGTGATGTGTGTGTTTAACTCACAGAGTTTCACCTTTCTTTTCATACAGCATTCTGGAAACCCTCTGTTTGTAAAGTCTGCAAGTGGATATTTGGACCTCTTAGATGCCTTCGTTGGAAACGGGATTTCTTCATATAATGCTAGAGGGAAGAATTCTTAGTAACTTCTTTGTGTTGTGTGTATTCAACTGACAGAGTTGAACCTTCCTTTAGACAGAGCAGATTTGAAAGTCTCTTTTTGTGGAATTTGCAAGTGGAGATTTCAAGCGCTTTGAGGCCAAAAGCAGAAAAGGAAATATTTTCCTATAAAAACTAGACAGAATCATTCTCAGAAACTGCTCTGTGATGTGTGTGTTCAACTCACAGAGTTTAACTTTCTTTTCATTCAGCAGTTTGGAAACACTCTGTTTGGAAAGTCTGCACGTGGATATTTTGACCTCTTTGAGGCCTTCTTTGGAAACGGGTTTTTTCATGTAAGGCTAGACAGAAGAAATCTCAGTAACTTCCTTGTGTTGTGTGTATTCAACTGACAGAGTTGAACCTTCCTTTAGACAGAGCAGATTCGAAACACTCTTTTTCTGCAATTTCCAAGTGGAGACTTCAAGCGCTTTGAGGCCAAAGGCAGAAAAGGAAATATCTTCGTATAAAAACCCGACAGAATCATTCTCAGAAACTGCTCTGTGATGTGTGCGTTCAACTCACAGAGTTTAACTTTTCTTTTCATTCAGCAGTTTGGAAACACTCTGTTTGTAAAGTCTGCAAGTGGATATCTTGGCCTCTTAGAGGCCTTCGTTGGAAACGGGTTTTTTCATGTAAGGTTAGACAGAGGAATTCCCAGTAACTTCCTTGTGTTGTGTGCATTCAACTCACAGAGTTGAATGATTCTTTACACAGAGCAGATTTGAGACACTCTTTTGGTGGAATTTGTAAGTGGAGAATTCAGCCGCTTTGAGGTCAACGGTAGAAGAGGAAATATCTTCGTATAAAAACTAGACAGAATGATTCTCAGAAACTGTTTTTTGATGTGTGCGTTCAACTCACAGAGTTTAACCTTTCTTTTCAGAGAGCAGTTAGGAAACACTCTGTTTGTAAAGTCTGCAAGTGGATATTCAGACCTCTTTGAGGCCTTCGTTGGAAACGGGATTTCTTCATATTATGCTAGACAGATGAATTCTCAGTAACTTCCTTCTGTTGTGTGTATTCAACTCACAGAGTTGAACGATCCTTTACACAGAGCAGATTTGAAACACTGTTTTTCTGGAATTTGCAAGTGGAGATTTCAGCCGCTTTGAGGTCAATGGTAGAAAAGGAAATATCTTCGTATAAAAACTAGACAGAATGATTCTCAGAAACTCCTTTGTGATGTGTGCGTTCAACTCACAGAGTTTAACCTTTCTTTTCACAGAGCAGTTAGGAAACACTCTGTTTGTGAAGCCTGCCAGTGGATAATCGGACCTCTTTGAGGCCTTCGTTGGAAACGGGATTTCTTCATATTATGCTAGACAGAAGATTTCTCAGTAACTTCTTTGTGTTGTGTGTATGCAACTCACAGAGTTCAACCTTCCTTTAGACAGAGCAGATTTGAAACACTCTTTTTGTGGAATTTGCAAGTGGAGATTTCAAGCGCTTCGATGCCAATGGTAGAAAAGGAAATATCTTCGTATAAAAACAAGACAAACTCGTTCCCAGACACTGCGTAGTGATGTGTGTGTTTAACTCACAGAGTTTAACCTTTCTTTTCATACAGCATTCTGGAAACCCTCTGTTTGTAAAGTCTGCAAGTGGATATTTGGACCTCTTAGATGCCTTCGTTGGAAACGGGATTTCTTCATATAATGCTAGAGGGAAGAATTCTTAGTAACTTCTTTGTGTTGTGTGTATTCAACTGACAGAGTTGAACCTTCCTTTAGACAGAGCAGATTTGAAAGTCTCTTTTTGTGGAATTTGCAAGTGGAGATTTCAAGCGCTTTGAGGCCAAAAGCAGAAAAGGAAATATTTTCCTATAAAAACTAGACAGAATCATTCTCAGAAACTGCTCTGTGATGTGTGTGTTCAACTCACAGAGTTTAACTTTCTTTTCATTCAGCAGTTTGGAAACACTCTGTTTGGAAAGTCTGCACGTGGATATTTTGACCTCTTTGAGGCCTTCGTTGGAAACGGGTTTTTTCATGTAAGGCTAGACAGAAGAAATCTCAGTAACTTCCTTGTGTTGTGTGTATTCAACTGACAGAGTTGAACCTTCCTTTAGACAGAGCAGATTCGAAACACTCTTTTTCTGCAATTTGCAAGTGGAGACTTCAAGCGCTTTGAGGCCAAAGGCAGAAAAGGAAATATCTTCGTATAAAAACCCGACAGAATCATTCTCAGAAACTGCTCTGTGATGTGTGCGTTCAACTCACAGAGTTTAACTTTTCTTTTCATTCAGCAGTTTGGAAACACTCTGTTTGTAAAGTCTGCAAGTGGATATCTTGGCCTCTTAGAGGCCTTCGTTGGAAACGGGTTTTTTCATGTAAGGTTAGACAGAGGAATTCCCAGTAACTTCCTTGTGTTGTGTGCATTCAACTCACAGAGTTGAATGATTCTTTACACAGAGCAGATTTGAGACACTCTTTTGGTGGAATTTGTAAGTGGAGAATTCAGCCGCTTTGAGGTCAACGGTAGAAAAGGAAATATCTTCGTATAAAAACTAGACAGAATGATTCTCAGAAACTGTTTTGTGATGTGTGCGTTCAACTCACAGAGTTTAACCTTTCTTTTCAAAGAGCAGTTAGGAAACACTCTGTTTGTAAAGTCTGCAAGTGGATATTCAGACCTCTTTGAGGCCTTCGTTGGAAACGGGATTTCTTCATATTATGCTAGACAGATGAATTCTCAGTAACTTCCTTGTGTTGTGTGTATTCAACTCACAGAGTTGAACGATCCTTTACACAGAGCAGATTTGAAACACTGTTTTTCTGGAATTTGCAAGTGGAGATTTCAGCCGCTTTGAGGTCAATGGTAGAAAAAGAAATATCTTCGTATAAAAACTAGACAGAGTGATTCTCAGAAACTCCTTTGTGATGTGTGCGTTCAACTCACAGAGTTTAACCTTTCTTTTCACAGAGCAGTTAGGAAACACTCTGTTTGTGAAGCCTGCCAGTGGATATTCGGACCTCTTTGAGGCCTTCGTTGGAAACGGGATTTCTTCATATTATGCTAGACAGAAGATTTCTCAGTAACTTCTTTGTGTTGTGTGTATGCAACTCACAGAGTTCAACCTTCCTTTAGACAGAGCAGATTTGAAACACTCTTTTTGTGGAATTTGCAAGTGGAGATTTCAAGCGCTTCGATGCCAATGGTAGAAAAGGAAATATCTTCGTATAAAAACAAGACAAACTCGTTCCCAGACACTGCGTAGTGATGTGTGTGTTTAACTCACAGAGTTTAACCTTTCTTTTCATACAGCATTCTGGAAACCCTGTGTTTGTAAAGTCTGCAAGTGGATATTTGGACCTCTTAGATGCCTTCGTTGGAAACGGGATTTCTTCATATAATGCTAGAGGGAAGAATTCTTAGTAACTTCTTTGTGTTGTGTGTATTCAACTGACAGAGTTGAACCTTCCTTTAGACAGAGCAGATTTGAAAGTCTCTTTTTGTGGAATTTGCAAGTGGAGATTTCAAGCGCTTTGAGGCCAAAAGCAGAAAAGGAAATATTTTCCTATAAAAACTCGACAGAATCTTTCTCAGAAACTGCTCTGGGATGTGTGCGTTCAACTCACAGAGTTTAACTTTTCTTTTCATTCAGCAGTTTGGAAACACTCTGTTTGGAAAGTCTGCACGTGGATATTTTGACCTCTTTGAGGCCTTCGTTGGAAACGGGTTTTTTTCATGTAAGGCTAGACAGAAGAAATCTCAGTAACTTCCTTGTGTTGTGTGTATTCAACTGACAGAGTTGAACCTTCCTTTAGACAGAGCAGATTCGAAACACTCTTTTTCTGCAATTTGCAAGTGGAGACTTCAAGCGCTTTGAGGCCAAAGGCAGAAAAGGAAATATCTTCGTATAAAAACCCGACAGAATCATTCTCAGAAACTGCTCTGTGATGTGTGCGTTCAACTCACAGAGTTTAACTTTTCTTTTCATTCAGCAGTTTGGAAACACTCTGTTTGTAAAGTCTGCAAGTGGATATCTTGGCCTCTTAGAGGCCTTCGTTGGAAACGGGTTTTATCATGTAAGGTTAGACAGAGGAATTCCCAGTAACTTCCCTTGTGTTGTGTGCATTCAACTCACAGAGTTGAATGATTCTTTACACAGAGCAGATTTGAGACACTCTTTTGGTGGAATTTGTAAGTGGAGAATTCAGCCGCTTTGAGGTCAACGGTAGAAAAGGAAATATCTTCGTATAAAAACTAGACAGAATGATTCTCAGAAACTGTTTTGTGATGTGTGCGTTCAACTCACAGAGTTTAACCTTTCTTTTCAAAGAGCAGTTAGGAAACACTCTGTTTGTAAAGTCTGCAAGTGGATATTCAGACCTCTTTGAGGCCTTCGTTGGAAACGGGATTTCTTCATATTATGCTAGACAGATGAATTCTCAGTAACTTCCCTTGTGTTGTGTGTATTCAACTCACAGAGTTGAACGATCCTTTACACAGAGCAGATTTGAAACACTGTTTTTCTGGAATTTGCAAGTGGAGATTTCAGCCGCTTTGAGGTCAATGGTAGAAAAAGAAATATCTTCGTATAAAAACTAGACAGAATGATTCTCAGAAACTCCTTTGTGATGTGTGCGTTCAACTCACAGAGTTTAACCTTTCTTTTCACAGAGCAGTTAGGAAACACTCTGTTTGTGAAGCCTGCCAGTGGATATTCGGACCTCTTTGAGGCCTTCGTTGGAAACGGGATTTCTTCATATTATGCTAGACAGAAGATTTCTCAGTAACTTCTTTGTGTTGTGTGTATGCAACTCACAGAGTTCAACCTTCCTTTAGACAGAGCAGATTTGAAACACTCTTTTTGTGGAATTTGCAAGTGGAGATTTCAAGCGCTTCGATGCCAATGGTAGAAAAGGAAATATCTTCGTATAAAAACAAGACAAACTCGTTCCCAGACACTGCGTAGTGATGTGTGTGTTTAACTCACAGAGTTTAACCTTTCTTTTCATACAGCATTCTGGAAACCCTGTGTTTGTAAAGTCTGCAAGTGGATATTTGGACCTCTTAGATGCCTTCGTTGGAAACGGGATTTCTTCATATAATGCTAGAGGGAAGAATTCTTAGTAACTTCTTTGTGTTGTGTGTATTCAACTGACAGAGTTGAACCTTCCTTTAGACAGAGCAGATTTGAAAGTCTCTTTTTGTGGAATTTGCAAGTGGAGATTTCAAGCGCTTTGAGGCCAAAAGCAGAAAAGGAAATATTTTCCTATAAAAACTAGACAGAATCTTTCTCAGAAACTGCTCTGGGATGTGTGCGTTCAACTCACAGAGTTTAACTTTTCTTTTCATTCAGCAGTTTGGAAACACTCTGTTTGGAAAGTCTGCACGTGGATATTTTGACCTCTTTGAGGCCTTCGTTGGAAACGGGTTTTTTTCATGTAAGGCTAGACAGAAGAAATCTCAGTAACTTCCTTGTGTTGTGTGTATTCAACTGACAGAGTTGAACCTTCCTTTAGACAGAGCAGATTTGAAACACTCTTTTTCTGCAATTTGCAAGTGGAGACTTCAAGCGCTTTGAGGCCAAAGGCAGAAAAGGAAATATCTTCGTATAAAAACCCGACAGAATCATTCTCAGAAACTGCTCTGTGATGTGTGCGTTCAACTCACAGAGTTTAACTTTTCTTTTCATTCAGCAGTTTGGAAACACTCTGTTTGTAAAGTCTGCAAGTGGATATCTTGGCCTCTTAGAGGCCTTCGTTGGAAACGGGTTTTTTCATGTAAGGTTAGACAGAGGAATTCCCAGTAACTTCCTTGTGTTGTGTGCATTCAACTCACAGAGTTGAATGATTCTTTACACAGAGCAGATTTGAGACACTCTTTGGGTGGAATTTGTAAGTGGAGAATTCAGCCGCTTTGAGGTCAACGGTAGAAAAGGAAATACCTTCGTATAAAAACTAGACAGAATGATTCTCAGAAACTGTTTTGTGATGTGTGCGTTCAACTCACAGAGTTTAACCTTTCTTTTCAAAGAGCAGTTAGGAAACACTCTGTTTGTAAAGTCTGCAAGTGGATATTCAGACCTCTTTGAGGCCTTCGTTGGAAACGGGATTTCTTCATATTATGCTAGACAGATGAATTCTCAGTAACTTCCTTGTGTTGTGTGTATTCAACTCACAGAGTTGAACGATCCTTTACACAGAGCAGATTTGAAACACTGTTTTTCTGGAATTTGCAAGTGGAGATTTCAGCCGCTTTGAGGTCAATGGTAGAAAAGGAAATATCTTCGTATAAAAACTAGACAGAATGATTCTCAGAAACTCCTTTGTGATGTGTGCGTTCAACTCACAGAGTTTAACCTTTCTTTTCACAGAGCAGTTAGGAAACACTCTGTTTGTGAAGCCTGCCAGTGGATATTCGGACCTCTTTCAGGCCTTCGTTGGAAACGGGATTTCTTCATATTATGCTAGACAAAAGATTTCTCAGTAACTTCTTTGTGTTGTGTATATGCAACTCACAGAGTTCAACCTTCCTTTAGACAGAGCAGATTTGAAACACTCTTTTTGTGGAATTTGCAAGTGGAGATTTCAAGCGCTTCGATGCCAATGGTAGAAAAGGAAATATCTTCGTATAAAAACAAGACAAACTCGTTCCCAGACACTGCGTAGTGATGTGTGTGTTTAACTCACAGAGTTTAACCTTTCTTTTCATACAGCATTCTGGAAACCCTCTGTTTGTAAAGTCTGCAAGTGGATATTTGGACCTCTTAGATGCCTTCGTTGGAAACGGGATTTCTTCATATAATGCTAGAGGGAAGAATTCTTAGTAACTTCTTTGTGTTGTGTGTATTCAACTGACAGAGTTGAACCTTCCTTTAGACAGAGCAGATTTGAAAGTCTCTTTTTGTGGAATTTGCAAGTGGAGATTTCAAGCGCTTTGAGGCCAAAAGCAGAAAAGGAAATATTTTCCTGTAAAAACTAGACAGAATCTTTCTCAGAAACTGCTCTGGGATGTGTGCGTTCAACTCACAGAGTTTAACTTTTCTTTTCATTCAGCAGTTTGTAAACACTCTGTTTGGAAAGTCTGCACGTGGATATTTTGACATCTTTGAGGCCTTCGTTGGAAACGGGTTTTTTTCATGTACGGCTAGACAGAAGAAATCTCGGTAACTTCCTTGTGTTGTGTGTATTCAACTGACAGAGTTGAACCTTCCTTTAGACAGAGCAGATTCGAAACACTCTTTTTCTGCAATTTGCAAGTGGAGACTTCAAGCGCTTTGAGGCCAAAGGCAGAAAAGGAAATATCTTCGTATAAAAACCCGACAGAATCATTCTCAGAAACTGCTCTGTGATGTGTGCGTTCAACACACAGAGTTTAACTTTTCTTTTCATTCAGCAGTTTGGAAACACTCTGTTTGTAAACTCTGCAAGTGGATATATTGGTCTCTTAGAGGCCTTCG
Source organism: Homo sapiens (assembly GCF_000001405.40). Classification (NCBI taxonomy): domain Eukaryota; kingdom Metazoa; phylum Chordata; class Mammalia; order Primates; family Hominidae; genus Homo; species Homo sapiens. The sequence continues at coordinate 37,666,767 of NC_000016.10, forward strand.
TTGGAAACGGGTTTTTTTCATGTAAGGTTAGACAGAGGAATTCCCAGTAACTTCCTTGTGTTGTGTGCATTGAACTCACAGAGTTGAATGATTCTTTACACAGAGCAGATTTGAGACACTCTTTTGGTGGAATTTGTAAGTGGAGAATTCAGCCGCTTTGGGGTCAACGGTAGAAAAGGAAATATCCTTCGTATAAAAACTAGACAGAATGATTCTCAGAAACTGTTTTGTGATGTGTGCGTTCAACTCACAGAGTTTAACCTTTCTTTTCAAAGAGCAGTTAGGAAACACTCTGTAAAGTCTGCAAGTGGATATTCAGACCTCTTTGAGGCCTTCGTTGGAAACGGGATTTCTTCATATAATGCTAGAGGGATGAATTCTCAGTAACTTCCTTGTGTTGTGTGTATTCAACTCACAGAGTTGAACGATCCTTTACACAGAGCAGATTTGAAACACTGTTTTTCTGGAATTTGCAAGTGGAGATTTCAGCCGCTTTGAGGTCAATGGTAGAAAAAGAAATATCTTCGTATAAAAACTAGACAGAATGATTCTCAGAAACTCCTTTGTGATGTGTGCGTTCAACTCACAGAGTTTAACCTTTCTTTTCACAGAGCAGTTAGGAAACACTCTGTTTGTGAAGCCTGCCAGTGGATATTCGGACCTCTTTGAGGCCTTCGTTGGAAACGGGATTTCTTCATATTATGCTATTCAGAAGATTTCTCAGTAACTTCTTTGTGTTGTGTGTATGCAACTCACAGAGTTCAACCTTCCTTTAGACAGAGCAGATTTGAAACACTCTTTTTGTGGAATTTGCAAGTGGAGATTTCAAGCGCTTCGATGCCAATGGTAGAAAAGGAAATATCTTCGTAGAAAAACAAGACAAACTCGTTCCCAGACACTGCGTAGTGATGTGTGTGTTTAACTCACAGAGTTTCACCTTTCTTTTCATACAGCATTCTGGAAACCCTGTGTTTGTAAAGTCTGCAAGTGGATATTTGGACCTCTTAGATGCCTTCGTTGGAAACGGGATTTCTTCATATAATGCTAGAGGGAAGAATTCTTAGTAACTTCTTTGTGTTGTGTGTATTCAACTGACAGAGTTGAACCTTCCTTTAGACAGAGCAGATTTGAAAGTCTCTTTTTGTGGAATTTGCAAGTGGAGATTTCAAGCGCTTTGAGGCCAAAAGCAGAAAAGGAAATATTTTCCTATAAAAACTCGACAGAATCTTTCTCAGAAACTGCTCTGGGATGTGTGCGTTCAACTCACAGAGTTTAACTTTTCTTTTCATTCAGCAGTTTGGAAACACTCTGTTTGGAAAGTCTGCACGTGGATATTTTGACCTCTTTGAGGCCTTCGTTGGAAACGGGTTTTTTTCATGTAAGGCTAGACAGAAGAAATCTCAGTAACTTCCTTGTGTTGTGTGTATTCAACTGACAGAGTTGAACCTTCCTTTAGACAGAGCAGATTCGAAACACTCTTTTTCTGCAATTTGCAAGTGGAGACTTCAAGCGCTTTGAGGCCAAAGGCAGAAAAGGAAATATCTTCGTATAAAAACCCGACAGAATCATTCTCAGAAACTGCTCTGTGATGTGTGCGTTCAACTCACAGAGTTTAACTTTTCTTTTCATTCAGCAGTTTGGAAACACTCTGTTTGTAAAGTCTGCAAGTGGATATCTTGGCCTCTTAGAGGCCTTCGTTGGAAACGGGTTTTTTCATGTAAGGTTAGACAGAGGAATTCCCAGTAACTTCCTTGTGTTGTGTGCATTCAACTCACAGAGTTGAATGATTCTTTACACAGAGCAGATTTGAGACACTCTTTTGGTGGAATTTGTAAGTGGAGAATTCAGCCGCTTTGAGGTCAACGGTAGAAAAGGAAATATCTTCGTATAAAAACTAGACAGAATGATTCTCAGAAACTGTTTTGTGATGTGTGCGTTCAACTCACAGAGTTTAACCTTTCTTTTCAAAGAGCAGTTAGGAAACACTCTGTTTGTAAAGTCTGCAAGTGGATATTCAGACCTCTTTGAGGCCTTCGTTGGAAACGGGATTTCTTCATATTATGCTAGACAGATGAATTCTCAGTAACTTCCTTGTGTTGTGTGTATTCAACTCACAGAGTTGAACGATCCTTTACACAGAGCAGATTTGAAACACTGTTTTTCTGGAATTTGCAAGTGGAGATTTCAGCCGCTTTGAGGTCAATGGTAGAAAAGGAAATATCTTCGTATAAAAACTAGACAGAATGATTCTCAGAAACTCCTTTGTGATGTGTGCGTTCAACTCACAGAGTTTAACCTTTCTTTTCACAGAGCAGTTAGGAAACACTCTGTTTGTGAAGCCTGCCAGTGGATATTCGGACCTCTTTGAGGCCTTCGTTGGAAACGGGATTTCTTCATATTATGCTAGACAGAAGATTTCTCAGTAACTTCTTTGTGTTGTGTGTATGCAACTCACAGAGTTCAACCTTCCTTTAGACAGAGCAGATTTGAAACACTCTTTTTGTGGAATTTGCAAGTGGAGATTTCAAGCGCTTCGATGCCAATGGTAGAAAAGAAATATCTTCGTAGAAAAACAAGACAAACTCGTTCCCAGACACTGCGTAGTGATGTGTGTGTTTAACTCACAGAGTTTAACCTTTCTTTTCATACAGCATTCTGGAAACCCTGTGTTTGTAAAGTCTGCAAGTGGATATTTGGACCTCTTAGATGCCTTCGTTGGAAACGGGATTTCTTCATATAATGCTAGAGGGAAGAATTCTTAGTAACTTCTTTGTGTTGTGTGTATTCAACTGACAGAGTTGAACCTTCCTTTAGACAGAGCAGATTTGAAAGTCTCTTTTTGTGGAATTTGCAAGTGGAGATTTCAAGCGCTTTGAGGCCAAAAGCAGAAAAGGAAATATTTTCCTATAAAAACTAGACAGAATCTTTCTCAGAAACTGCTCTGGGATGTGTGCGTTCAACTCACAGAGTTTAACTTTTCTTTTCATTCAGCAGTTTGGAAACACTCTGTTTGGAAAGTCTGCACGTGGATATTTTGACATCTTTGAGGCCTTCGTTGGAAACGGGTTTTTTTCATGTAAGGCTAGACAGAAGAAATCTCAGTAACTTCCTTGTGTTGTGTGTATTCAACTGACAGAGTTGAACCTTCCTTTAGACAGAGCAGATTCGAAACACTCTTTTTCTGCAATTTGCAAGTGGAGACTTCAAGCGCTTTGAGGCCAAAGGCAGAAAAGGAAATATCTTCGTATAAAAACCCGACAGAATCATTCTCAGAAACTGCTCTGTGATGTGTGCGTTCAACTCACAGAGTTTAACTTTTCTTTTCATTCAGCAGTTTGGAAACACTCTGTTTGTAAAGTCTGCAAGTGGATATCTTGGCCTCTTAGAGGCCTTCGTTGGAAACGGGTTTTTTCATGTAAGGATAGACAGAGGAATTCCCAGTAACTTCCCTTGTGTTGTGTGCATTCAACTCACAGAGTTGAATGATTCTTTACACAGAGCAGATTTGAGACACTCTTTTGGTGGAATTTGTAAGTGGAGAATTCAGCTGCTTTGAGGTCAACGGTAGAAAAGGAAATATCTTCGTATAAAAACTAGACAGAATGATTCTCAGAAACTGTTTTGTGATGTGTGCGTTCAACTCACAGAGTTTAACCTTTCTTTTCAAAGAGCAGTTAGGAAACACTCTGTAAAGTCTGCAAGTGGATATTCAGACCTCTTTGAGGCCTTCGTTGGAAACGGGATTTCTTCATATAATGCTAGAGGGAAGAATTCTTAGTAACTTTCTTTGTGTTGTGTGTATTCAACTGACAGATTTGAACCTTCCTTTAGACAGAGCAGATTTGAAAGTCTCTTTTTGTGGAATTTGCAAGTGGAGATTTCAAGCGCTTTGAGGCCAAAAGCAGAAAAGGAAATATTTTCCTATAAAAACTAGAGAGAATGATTCTCAGAAACTCCTTTGTGATGTGTGCGTTCAACTCACAGAGTTTAACCTTTCTTTTCACAGAGCAGTTAGGAAACACTCTGTTTGTGAAGCCTGCCAGTGGATATTCCGACCTCTTTGAGGCCTTCGTTGGAAACGGGATTTCTTCATATTATGCTAGACAGAAGATTTCTCAGTAACTTCTTTGTGTTGTGTGTATGCAACTCACAGAGTTCAACCTTCCTTTAGACAGAGCAGATTTGAAACACTCTTTTTGTGGAATTTGCAAGTGGAGATTTCAAGCGCTTCGATGCCAATGGTAGAAAAGGAAATATCTTCGTATAAAAACAAGACAAACTCGTTCCCAGACACTGCGTAGTGATGTGTGTGTTTAACTCACAGAGTTTCACCTTTCTTTTCATACAGCATTCTGGAAACCCTGTGTTTGTAAAGTCTGCAAGTGGATATTTGGACCTCTTAGATGCCTTCGTTGGAAACGGGATTTCTTCATATAATGCTAGAGGGAAGAATTCTTAGTAACTTCTTTGTGTTGTGTGTATTCAACTGACAGAGTTGAACCTTCCTTTAGACAGAGCAGATTTGAAAGTCTCTTTTTGTGGAATTTGCAAGTGGAGATTTCAAGCGCTTTGAGGCCAAAAGCAGAAAAGGAAATATTTTCCTATAAAAACTCGACAGAATCTTTCTCAGAAACTGCTCTGGGATGTGTGCGTTCAACTCACAGAGTTTAACTTTTCTTTTCATTCAGCAGTTTGGAAACACTCTGTTTGGAAAGTCTGCACGTGGATATTTTGACCTCTTTGAGGCCTTCGTTGGAAACGGGTTTTTTTCATGTAAGGCTAGACAGAAGAAATCTCAGTAACTTCCTTGTGTTGTGTGTATTCAACTGACAGAGTTGAACCTTCCTTTAGACAGAGCAGATTCGAAACACTCTTTTTCTGCAATTTGCAAGTGGAGACTTCAAGCGCTTTGAGGCCAAAGGCAGAAAAGGAAATATCTTCGTATAAAAACCCGACAGAATCATTCTCAGAAACTGCTCTGTGATGTGTGCGTTCAACTCACAGAGTTTAACTTTTCTTTTCATTCAGCAGTTTGGAAACACTCTGTTTGTAAAGTCTGCAAGTGGATATCTTGGCCTCTTAGAGGCCTTCGTTGGAAGCGGGTTTTTTCATGTAAGGTTAGACAGAGGAATTCCCACTAACTTCCTTGTGTTGTGTGCATTCAACTCACAGAGTTGAATGATTCTTTACACAGAGCAGATTTGAGACACTCTTTTGGTGGAATTTGTAAGTGGAGAATTCAGCCGCTTTGATGTCAACGGTAGAAAAGGAAATATCTTCGTATAAAAACTAGACAGAATGATTCTCAGAAACTGTTTTGTGATGTGTGCTTTCAACTCACAGAGTTTAACCTTTCTTTTCAAAGAGCAGTTAGGAAACACTCTGTTTGTAAAGTCTGCAAGTGGATATTCAGACCTCTTTGAGGCCTTCGTTGGAAACGGGATTTCTTCATATTATGCTAGACAGATGAATTCTCAGTAACTTCCTTGTGTTGTGTGTATTCAGCTCACAGATTTGAACGATCCTTTACACAGAGCAGATTTGAAACACTGTTTTTCTGGAATTTGCAAGTGGAGATTTCAGCCGCTTTGAGGTCAATGGTAGAAAAGGAAATATCTTCGTATAAAAACTAGACAGAATGATTCTCAGAAACTCCTTTGTGATGTGTGCGTTCAACTCACAGAGTTTAACCTTTCTTTTCACAGAGCAGTTAGGAAACACTCTGTTTGTGAAGCCTGCCAGTGGATATTCGGACCTCTTTGAGGCCTTCGTTGGAAACGGGATTTCTTCATATTATGCTAGACAGAAGATTTCTCAGTAACTTCTTTGTGTTGTGTGTATGCAACTCACAGAGTTCAACCTTCCTTTAGACAGAGCAGATTTGAAACACTCTTTTTGTGGAATTTGCAAGTGGAGATTTCAAGCGCTTTGAGGCCAAAAGCAGAAAAGGAAATATTTTCCTATAAAAACTAGACAGAATCTTTCTCAGAAACTGCTCTGTGATGTGTGCGTTCAACTCACAGAGTTTAACTTTTCTTTTCATTCAGCAGTTTGGAAACACTCTGTTTGTAAGTCTGCAAGTGGATATCTTGGCCTCTTAGAGGCCTTCGTTGGAAACGGGTTTTTTCATGTAAGGATAGACAGAGGAATTCCCAGTAACTTCCTTGTGTTGTGTGCATTCAACTCACAGAGTTGAATGATTCTTTACACAGAGCAGATTTGAGACACTCTTTTGGTGGAATTTGTTAGTGGAGAATTCAGCCGCTTTGAGGTCAACGGTAGAAAAGGAAATATCTTCGTATAAAAACTAGACAGAATGATTCTCAGAAACTGTTTTGTGATGTGTGCGTTCAACTCACAGAGTTTAACCTTTCTTTTCAAAGAGCAGTTAGGAAACACTCTGTTTGTAAAGTCTGCAAGCGGATATTCAGACCTCTTTGAGGCCTTCGTTGGAAACGGGATTTCTTCATATTATGCTAGACAGATGAATTCTCAGTAACTTCCTTGTGTTGTGTGTATTCAACTCACAGAGTTGAACGATCCTTTACACAGAGCAGATTTGAAACACTGTTTTTCTGGAATTTGCAAGTGGAGATTTCAGCCGCTTTGAGGTCAATGGTAGAAAAGGAAATATCTTCGTATAAAAACTAGACAGAATGATTCTCAGAAACTCCTTTGTGATGTGTGCGTTCAACTCACAGAGTTTAACCTTTCTTTTCACAGAGCAGTTAGGAAACACTCTGTTTGTGAAGCCTGCCAGTGGATATTCGGACCTCTTTGAGGCCTTCGTTGGAAACGGGATTTCTTCATATTATGCTAGACAGAAGATTTCTCAGTAACTTCTTTGGGTTGTGTGTATGCAACTCACAGAGTTCAACCTTCCTTTAGAGAGAGCATATTTGAAACACTCTTTTTGTGGAATTTGCAAGTGGAGATTTCAAGCGCTTCGATGCCAATGGTAGAAAAGGAAATATCTTCGTATAAAAACAAGACAAACTCGTTCCCAGACACTGCGTAGTGATGTGTGTGTTTAACTCACAGAGTTTAACCTTTCTTTTCATACAGCATTCTGGAAACCCTGTGTTTGTAAAGTCTGCAAGTGGATATTTGGACCTCTTAGATGCCTTCGTTGGAAACGGGATTTCTTCATATAATGCTAGAGGGAAGAATTCTTAGTAACTTCTTTGTGTTGTGTGTATTCAACTGACAGAGTTGAACCTTCCTTTAGACAGAGCAGATTTGAAAGTCTCTTTTTGTGGAATTTGCAAGTGGAGATTTCAAGCGCTTTGAGGCCAAAAGCAGAAAAGGAAATATTTTCCTATAAAAACTCGACAGAATCTTTCTCAGAAACTGCTCTGGGATGTGTGCGTTCAACTCACAGAGTTTAACTTTTCTTTTCATTCAGCAGTTTGGAAACACTCTGTTTGGAAAGTCTGCACGTGGATATTTTGACCTCTTTGAGGCCTTCGTTGGAAACGGGTTTTTTTCATGTAAGGCTAGACAGAAGAAATCTCAGTAACTTCCTTGTGTTGTGTGTATTCAACTGACAGAGTTGAACCTTCCTTTAGACAGAGCAGATTCGAAACACTCTTTTTCTGCAATTTGCAAGTGGAGACTTCAAGCGCTTTGAGGCCAAAGGCAGAAAAGGAAATATCTTCGTATAAAAACCCGACAGAATCATTCTCAGAAACTGCTCTGTGATGTGTGCGTTCAACTCACAGAGTTTAACTTTTCTTTTCATTCAGCAGTTTGGAAACACTCTGTTTGTAAGGTCTGCAAGTGGATATCTTGGCCTCTTAGAGGCCTTCGTTGGAAACGGGTTTTTTCATGTAAGTTTAGACAGAGGAATTCCCAGTAACTTCCTTGTGTTGTGTGCATTCAACTCACAGAGTTGAATGATTCTTTACACAGAGCAGATTTGAGACACTCTTTTGGTGGAATTTGTAAGTGGAGAATTCAGCCGCTTTGAGGTCAACGGTAGAAAAGGAAATATCTTCGTATAAAAACTAGACAGAATGATTCTCAGAAACTGTTTTGTGATGTGTGCGTTCAACTCACAGAGTTTAACCTTTCTTTTCAGAGAGCAGTTAGGAAACACTCTGTTTGTAAATTCTGCAAGTGGATATTCAGACCTCTTTGAGGCCTTCGTTGGAAACGGGATTTCATCATATTATGCTAGACAGATGAATTCTCAGTAACTTCCTTGTGTTGTGTGTATTCAACTCACAGAGTTGAACGATCCTTTACACAGAGCAGATTTGAAACACTGTTTTTCTGGAATTTGCAAGTGGAGATTTCAGCCGATTTGAGGTCAATGGTAGAAAAGGAAATATCTTCGTATAAAAACTAGACAGAATGATTCTCAGAAACTCCTTTGTGATGTGTGCGTTCAACTCACAGAGTTTAACCTTTCTTTTCACAGAGCAGTTAGGAAACACTCTGTTTGTGAAGCCTGCCAGTGGATATTCGGACCTCTTTGAGGCCTTCGTTGGAAACGGGATTTCTTCATATTATGCTAGACAGAAGATTTCTCAGTAATTTCTTTGTGTTGTGTGTATGCAACTCACAGAGTTCAACCTTCCTTTAGACAGAGCAGATTTGAAACACTCTTTTTGTGGAATTTGCAAGTGGAGATTTCAAGCGCTTCGATGCCAATGGTAGAAAAGGAAATATCTTCGTATAAAAACAAGACAAACTCGTTCCCAGACACTGCGTAGTGATGTGTGTGTTTAACTCACAGAGTTTAACCTTTCTTTTCATACAGCATTCTGGAAACCCTCTGTTTGTAAAGTCTGCAAGTGGATATTTGGACCTCTTAGATGCCTTCGTTGCAAACGGGATTTCTTCATATAATGCTAGAGGGAAGAATTCTTAGTAACTTCTTTGTGTTGTGTGTATTCAACTGACAGAGTTGAACCTTCCTTTAGACAGAGCAGATTTGAAAGTCTCTTTTTGTGGAATTTGCAAGTGGAGATTTCAAGCGCTTTGAGGCCAAAAGCAGAAAAGGAAATATTTTCCTATAAAAACTCGACAGAATCTTTCTCAGAAACTGCTCTGGGATGTGTGCGTTCAACTCACAGAGTTTAACTTTTCTTTTCATTTAGCAGTTTGGAAACACTCTGTTTGGAAAGTCTGCACGAGGATATTGTGACCTCTTTGAGGCCTTCGTTGGAAACGGGTTTTTTTCATGTAAGGCTAGACAGAAGAAATCTCAGTAACTTCCTTGTGTTGTGTGTATTCAACTGACAGAGTTGAACCTTCCTTTAGACAGAGCAGATTCGAAACACTCTTTTTCTGCAATTTGCAAGTGGAGACTTCAAGCGCTTTGAGGCCAAAGGCAGAAAAGGAAATATCTTCGTATAAAAACCCGACAGAATCATTCTCAGAAACTGCTCTGTGATGTGTGCGTTCAACTCACAGAGTTTAACTTTTCTTTTCATTCAGCAGTTTGGAAACACTCTGTTTGTAAAGTCTGCAAGTGGATATCTTGGCCTCTTAGAGGCCTTCGTTGGAAACGGGTTTTTTCATGTAAGGTTAGACAGAGGAATTCCCAGTAACTTCCTTGTGTTGTGTGCATTCAACTCACAGAGTTGAATGATTCTTTACACAGAGCAGATTTGAGACACTCTTTTGGTGGAATTTGTAAGTGGAGAATTCAGCCGCTTTGAGGTCAACGGTAGAAAAGGAAATATCTTCGTATAAAAACTAGACAGAATGATTCTCAGAAACTGTTTTGTGATGTGTGCGTTCAACTCACAGAGTTTAACCTTTCTTTTCAAAGAGCAGTTAGGAAACACTCTGTTTGTAAAGTCTGCAAGTGGATATTCAGACCTCTTTGAAGCCTTCGTTGGAAACGGGATTTCTTCATATTATGCTAGACAGATGAATTCTCAGTAACTTCCTTGTGTTGTGTGTATTCAACTCACAGAGTTGAACGATCCTTTACACAGAGCAGATTTGAAACACTGTTTTTCTGGAATTTGCAAGTGGAGATTTCAGCCGCTTTGAGGTCAATGGTAGAAAAGGAAATATCTTCGTATAAAAACTAGACAGAATGATTCTCAGAAACTCCTTTGTGATGTGTGCGTTCAACTCACAGGAGTTTAACCTTTCTTTTCACAGAGCAGTTAGGAAACACTCTGTTTGTGAAGCCTGCCAGTGGATATTCGGACCTCTTTGAGGCCTTCGTTGGAAACGGGATTTCTACATATTATGCTAGACAGAAGATTTCTCAGTAACTTCTTCGGGTTGTGTGTATGCAACTCACAGAGTTCAACCTTCCTTTAGACAGAGCAGATTTGAAACACTCTTTTTGTGGAATTTGCAAGTGGAGATTTCAAGCGCTTCGATGCCAATGGTAGAAAAGGAAATATCTTCGTATAAAAACAAGACAAACTCGTTCCCAGACACTGCGTAGTGATGTGTGTGTTTAACTCACAGAGTTTAACCTTTCTTTTCATACAGCATTGTGGAAACCCTCTGTTTGTAAAGTCTGCAAGTGGATATTTGGACCTCTTAGATGCCTTCGTTGGAAACGGGATTTCTTCATATAATGCTAGAGGGAAGAATTCTTAGTAACTTCTTTGTGTTGTGTGTATTCAACTGACAGAGTTGAACCTTCCTTTAGACAGAGCAGATTTGAAAGTCTCTTTTTGTGGAATTTGCAAGTGGAGATTTCAAGCGCTTTGAGGCCAAAAGCAGAAAAGGAAATATTTTCCTATAAAAACTAGACAGAATCTTTCTCAGAAACTGCTCTGGGATGTGTGCGTTCAACTCACAGAGTTTAACTTTTCTTTTCATTCAGCAGTTTGGAAACACTCTGTTTGGAAAGTCTGCACGTGGATATTTTGACCTCTTTGAGGCCTTCGTTGGAAACGGGTTTTTTTCATGTAAGGCTAGACAGAAGAAATCTCAGTAACTTCCTTGTGTTGTGTGTATTCAACTGACAGAGTTGAACCTTCCTTTAGACAGAGCAGATTCGAAACACTCTTTTTCTGCAATTTGCAAGTGGAGACTTCAAGCGCTTTGAGGCCAAAGGCAGAAAAGGAAATATCTTCGTATAAAAACCCGACAGAATCATTCTCAGAAACTGCTCTGTGATGTGTGCGTTCAACTCACAGAGTTTAACTTTTCTTTTCATTCAGCAGTTTGGAAACACTCTGTTTGTAAAGTCTGCAAGTGGATATCTTGGCCTCTTAGAGGCCTTCGTTGGAAACGGGTTTTTTCATGTAAGGTTAGACAGAGGAATTCCCAGTAACTTCCTTGTGTTGTGTGCACTCAACTCACAGAGTTGAATGATTCTTTACACAGAGCAGATTTGAGACACTCTTTTGGTGGAATTTGTAAGTGGAGAATTCAGCCGCTTTGAGGTCAACGGTAGAAAAGGAAATATCTTCGTATAAAAACTAGACAGAATGATTCTCAGAAACTGTTTTGTGATGTGTGCGTTCAACTCACAGAGTTTAACCTTTCTTTTCAGAGAGCAGTTAGGAAACACTCTGTTTGTAAAGTCTGCAAGTGGATATTCAGACCTCTTTGAGGCCTTCGTTGGAAACGGGATTTCTTCATATTATGCTAGACAGATGAATTCTCAGTAACTTCCTTGTGTTGTGTGTATTCAACTCACAGAGTTGAACGATCCTTTACACAGAGCAGATTTGAAACACTGTTTTTCTGGAATTTGCAAGTGGAGATTTCAGCCGCTTTGAGGTCAATGGTAGAAAAGGAAATATCTTCGTATAAAAACTAGACAGATAATGATTCTCAGAAACTCCTTTGTGATGTGTGCGTTCAACTCACAGAGTTTAACCTTTCTTTTCACAGAGCAGTTAGGAAACACTCTGTTTGTGAAGCCTGCCAGTGGATATTCAGACCTCTTTGAGGCCTTCGTTGGAAACGGGATTTCTTCATATTATGCTAGACAGAAGATTTCTCAGTAACTTCTTTGTGTTGTGTGTATGCAACTCACAGAGTTCAACCTTCCTTTAGACAGAGCAGATTTGAAACACTCTTTTTGTGGAATTTGCAAGTGGAGATTTCAAGCGCTTCGATGCCAATGGTAGAAAAGGAAATATCTTCGTATAAAAACAAGACAAACTCGTTCCCAGACACTGCGTAGTGATGTGTGTGTTTAACTCACAGAGTTTAACCTTTCTTTTCATACAGCATTCTGGAAACCCTGTGTTTGTAAAGTCTGCAAGTGGATATTTGGACCTCTTAGATGCCTTCGTTGGAAACGGGATTTCTTCATATAATGCTAGAGGGAAGAATTCTTAGTAACTTCTTTGTGTTGTGTGTATTCAACTGACAGAGTTGAACCTTCCTTTAGACAGAGCAGATTTGAAAGTCTCTTTTTGTGGAATTTGCAAGTGGAGATTTCAAGCGCTTTGAGGCCAAAAGCAGAAAAGGAAATATTTTCCTATAAAAACTCGACAGAATCATTCTCAGAAACTGCTCTGTGATGTGTGCGTTCAACTCACAGAGTTTAACTTTTCTTTTCATTCAGCAGTTTGGAAACACTGTTTGGAAAGTCTGCACGTGGATATTTTGACCTCTTTGAGGCCTTCGTTGGAAACGGGCTTTTTTCATGTAAGGCTAGACAGAAGAAATCTCAGTAACTTCCTTGTGTTGTGTGTATTCAACTGACAGAGTTGAACCTTCCTTTAGACAGAGCAGATTCGAAACACTCTTTTTCTGCAATTTGCAAGTGGAGACTTCAAGCGCTTTGAGGCCAAAGGCAGAAAAGGAAATATCTTCGTATAAAAACCCGGCAGAATCATTCTCAGAAACTGCTCTGTGATGTGTGCGTTCAACTCACAGAGTTTAACTTTTCTTTTCATTCAGCAGTTTGGAAACACTCTGTTTGTAAAGTCTGCAAGTGGATATCTTGGCCTCTTAGAGGCCTTCGTTGGAAGCGGGTTTTTTCATGTAAGGATAGACAGAGGAATTCCCAGTAACTTCCTTGTGTTGTGTGCATTCAACTCACAGAGTTGAATGATTCTTTACACAGAGCAGATTTGAGACACTCTTTTGGTGGAATTTGTAAGTGGAGAATTCAGCCTCTTTGAGGTCAACGGTAGAAAAGGAAATATCTTCGTATAAAAACTAGACAGAATGATTCTCAGAAACTGTTTTGTGATGTGTGCGTTCAACTCACAGAGTTTAACCTTTCTTTTCAAAGAGCAGTTAGGAAACACTCTGTTTGTAAAGTCTGCAAGTGGATATTCAGACCTCTTTGAGGCCTTCGTTGGAAACGGGATTTCTTCATATTATGCTAGACAGAAGAATTCTCAGTAACTTCCTTGTGTTGTGTGTATTCAACTCACAGAGTTGAACGATCCTTTACACAGAGCAGATTTGAAACACTCTTTTTCTGGAATTTGCAAGTGGAGATTTCAGCCGCTTTGTGGTCAATGGTAGAAAAGGAAATATCTTCATATAAAAACTAGACAGAATGATTCTCAGAAACTCCTTTGTGATGTGTGCGTTCAACTCACAGAGTTTAACCTTTCTTTTCACAGAGCAGTTAGGAAACACTCTGTTTGTAAAGTCTGCAAGTGGATATTCAGACCTCTTTGAGGCCTTCGTTGGAAACGGGATTTCTTCATGTTATGCTAGACAGATGAATTCTCAGTAACTTCCTTGTGTTGTGTGTATTCAACTCACAGGGTTGAACGATCCTTTACACAGAGCAGATTTGAAACACTCTTTTTCTGGAATTTGCAAGTGGAGATTTCAGCCGCTTTGAGGTCAATGGTAGAAAAGGAAATATCTTCGTATAAAAAGTAGACAGAATGATTCTCAGAAACTCCTTTGTGATGTGTGCGTTCAACTCACAGAGTTTAACCTTTCTTTTCACAGAGCAGTTAGGAAACACTCTGTTTGTGAAGCCTGCCAGTGGATATTCGGACCTCTTTGAGGCCTTCGTTGGAAACGGGATTTCTTCATATTATGCTAGACAGAAGATTTCTCAGTAACTTCTTTGTGTTGTGTGTATGCAACTCACAGAGTTCAACCTTCCTTTAGACAGAGCAGATTTGAAACACTCTTTTTGTGGAATTTGCAAGTGGAGATTTCAAGCGCTTCGATGCCAATGGTAGAAAAGGAAATATCTTCGTATAAAACAAGACAAACTCGTTCCCAGACACTGCGTAGTGATGTGTGTGTTTAACTCACAGAGTTTAACCTTTCTTTTCATACAGCATTCTGGAAACCCTCTGTTTGTAAAGTCTGCAAGTGGATATTTGGACCTCTTAGATGCCTTCGTTGGAAACGGGATTTCTTCATATAATGCTAGAGGGAAGAATTCTTAGTAACTTCTTTGTGTTGTGTGTATTCAACTGACAGAGTTGAACTTCCTTTAGACAGAGCAGATTTGAAAGTCTCTTTTTGTGGAATTTGCAAGTGGAGATTTCAAGCGCTTTGAGGCCAAAAGCAGAAAAGGAAATATTTTCCTATAAAAATTAGACAGAATCATTCTCAGAAACTGCTCTGTGAAGTGTGCGTTTAACTCACAGAGTTTAACTTTTCTTTTCATTCAGCAGTTTGGAAACACTCTGTTTGTAAAGTCTGCACGTGGATATTTTGACCTCTTTGAGGCCTTCATTGGAAATGGGTTTTTTTCCTGTAAGGCTAGACAGAAGAAATCTCAGTAACTTCCTTGTGTTGTGTGTATTCAACTGACAGAGTTGAACCTTCCTTTAGACAGAGCAGATTCGAAACACTCTTTTTCTGCAATTTGCAAGTGGAGACTTCAAGCGCTTTGAGGCCAAAGGCAGAAAAGGAAATATCTTCGTATAAAAACCCGACAGAATCATTCTCAGAAACTGCTCTGTGATGTGTGCGTTCAACTCACAGAGTTTAACTTTTCTTTTCATTCAGCAGTTTGGAAACACTCTGTTTGTAAAGTCTGCAAGTGGATATCTTGGCCTCTTAGAGGCCTTCGTTGGAAACGGGTTTTTTCATGTAAGGTTAGACAGAGGAATTCCCACTAACTTCCTTGTGTTGTGTGCATTCAACTCACAGAGTTGAATGATTCTTTACACAGAGCAGATTTGAGACACTCTTTTGGTGGAATTTGTAAGTGGAGAATTCAGCTGCTTTGAGGTCAACGGTAGAAAAGGAAATATCTTCGTATAAAAACTAGACAGAATGATTCTCAGAAACTGTTTTGTGATGTGTGCTTTCAACTCACAGAGTTTAACCTTTCTTTTCAAAGAGCAGTTAGGAAACACTCTGTTTGTAAAGTCTGCAAGTGGATATTCAGACCTCTTTGAGGCCTTCGTTGGAAACGGGATTTCTTCATATTATGCTAGACAGATGAATTCTCAGTAACTTCCTTGTGTTGTGTGTATTCAACTCACAGAGTTGAACGATCCTTTACACAGAGCAGATTTGAAACACTGTTTTTCTGGAATTTGCAAGTGGAGATTTCAGCCGCTTTGAGGTCAATGGTAGAAAAGGAAATATCTTCGTATAAAAACTAGACAGAATGATTCTCAGAAACTCCTTTGTGATGTGTGCGTTCAACTCACAGAGTTTAACCTTTCTTTTCACAGAGCAGTTAGGAAACACTCTGTTTGTGAAGCCTGCCAGGGGATATTCGGACCTCTTTGAGGCCTTCGTTGGAAACGGGATTTCTTCATATTATGCTAGACAGAAGATTTCTCAGTAACTTCTTTGTGTTGTGTGTATGCAACTCACAGAGTTCAACCTTCCTTTAGACAGAGCAGATTTGAAACACTCTTTTTGTGGAATTTGCAAGTGGAGATTTCAAGCGCTTCGATGCCAATGGTAGAAAAGGAAATATCTTCGTATAAAAACAAGACAAACTCGTTCCCAGACACTGCGTAGTGATGTGTGTGTTTAACTCACAGAGTTTAACCTTTCTTTTCATACAGCAGTCTGGAAACCCTCTGTTTGTAAAGTCTGCAAGTGGATATTTGGACCTCTTAGATGCCTTCGTTGGAAACGGGATTTCTTCATATAATGCTAGAGGGAAGAATTCTTAGTAACTTCTTTGTGTTGTGTGTATTCAACTGACAGAGTTGAACCTTCCTTTAGACAGAGCAGATTTGAAAGTCTCTTTTTGTGGAATTTGCAAGTGGAGATTTCAAGCGCTTTGAGGCCAAAAGCAGAAAAGGAAATATTTTCCTATAAAAACTCGACAGAATCTTTCTCAGAAACTGCTCTGGGATGTGTGCGTTCAACTCACAGAGTTTAACTTTTCTTTTCATTCAGCAGTTTGGAAACACTCTGTTTGGAAAGTCTGCACGTGGATATTTTGACCTCTTTGAGGCCTTCGTTGGAAACGGGTTTTTTTCATGTAAGGCTAGACAGAAGAAATCTCAGTAACTTCCTTGTGTTGTGTGTATTCAACTGACAGAGTTGAACCTTCCTTTAGACAGAGCAGATTCGAAACACTCTTTTTCTGCAATTTGCAAGTGGAGACTTCAAGCGCTTTGAGGCCAAAGGCAGAAAAGGAAATATCTTCGTATAAAAACCCGACAGAATCATTCTCAGAAACTGCTCTGTGATGTGTGCGTTCAACTCACAGAGTTTAACTTTTCTTTTCATTCAGCAGTTTGGAAACACTCTGTTTGTAAAGTCTGCAAGTGGATATCTTGGCCTCTTAGAGGCCTTCGTTGGAAACGGGTTTTTTCATGTAAGGTTAGACAGAGGAATTCCCAGTAACTTCCTTGTGTTGTGTGCATTCAACTCACAGAGTTGAATGATTCTTTACACAGAGCAGATTTGAGACACTCTTTTGGTGGAATTTGTTAGTGGAGAATTCAGCCGCTTTGAGGTCAACGGTAGAAAAGGATATATCTTCGTATAAAAACTAGACAGAATGATTCTCAGAAACTGTTTTGTGATGTGTGCGTTCAACTCACAGAGTTTAACCTTTCTTTTCAAAGAGCAGTTAGGAAACACTCTGTTTGTAAAGTCTGCAAGTGGATATTCAGACCTCTTTGAGGCCTTCGTTGGAAACGGGATTTCTTCATATTATGCTAGACAGAAGAATTCTCAGTAACTTCCTTGTGTTGTGTGTATTCAACTCACAGAGTTGAACGATCCTTTACACAGAGCAGATTTGAAACACTGTTTTTCTGGAATTTGCAAGTGGAGATTTCAGCCGCTTTGAGGTCAATGGTAGAAAAGGAAATATCTTCGTATAAAAACTAGACAGAATGATTCTCAGAAACTCCTTTGTGATGTGTGCGTTCAACTCACAGAGTTTAACCTTTCTTTTCACAGAGCAGTTAGGAAACACTCTGTTTGTGAAGCCTGCCAGTGGATATTCGGACCTCTTTGAGGCCTTCGTTGGAAACGGGATTACTTCATATTATGCTAGACAGAAGATTTCTCAGTAACTTCTTTGTGTTGTGTGTATGCAACTCACAGAGTTCAACCTTCCTTTAGACAGAGCAGATTTGAAACACTCTTTTTGTGGAATTTGCAAGTGGAGATTTCAAGCGCTTTGAGGCCAAAAGCAGAAAAGGAAATATTTTCCTATAAAAACTAGACAGAATCTTTCTCAGAAACTGCTCTGTGATGTGTGCGTTCAACTCACAGAGTTTAACTTTTCTTTTCATTCAGCAGTTTGGAAACACTCTGTTTGTAAAGTCTGCAAGTGGATATCTTGGCCTCTTAGAGGCCTTCGTTGGAAACGGGTTTTTTCATGTAAGGATAGACAGAGGAATTCCCAGTAACTTCCTTGTGTTGTGTGCATTCAACTCACAGAGTTGAATGATTCTTTACACAGAGCAGATTTGAGACACTCTTTTGGTGGAATTTGTAAGTGGAGAATTCAGCCGCTTTGAGGTCAACGGTAGAAAAGGAAATATCTTCGTATAAAAACTAGACAGAATGATTCTCAGAAACTGTTTTGTGATGTGTGCGTTCAACTCACAGAGTTTAACCTTTCTTTTCAAAGAGCAGTTAGGAAACACTCTGTTTGTAAAGTCTGCAAGTGGATATTCAGACCTCTTTGAGGCCTTCGTTGGAAACGGGATTTCTTCATATTATGCTAGACAGATGAATTCTCAGTAACTTCCTTGTGTTGTGTGTATTCAACTCACAGAGTTGAACGATCCTTTACACAGAGCAGATTTGAAACACTGTTTTTCTGGAATTTGCAAGTGGAGATTTCAGCCGCTTTGAGGTCAATGGTAGAAAAGGAAATATCTTCGTATAAAAACTAGACAGAATGATTCTCAGAAACTCCTTTGTGATGTGTGCGTTCAACTCACAGAGTTTAACCTTTCTTTTCACAGAGCAGTTAGGAAACACTCTGTTTGTGAAGCCTGCCAGTGGATATTCGGACCTCTTTGAGGCCTTCGTTGGAAACGGGATTTCTTCATATTATGCTAGACAGAAGATTTCTCAGTAACTTCTTTGTGTTGTGTGTATGCAACTCACAGAGTTCAACCTTCCTTTAGACAGAGCAGATTTGAAACACTCTTTTTGTGGAATTTGCAAGTGGAGATTTCAAGCGCTTTGAGGCCAAAAGCAGAAAAGGAAATATTTTCCTATAAAAACTAGACAGAATATCATTCTCAGAAACTGCTCTGTGATGTGTGCGTTCAACTCACAGAGTTTAACTTTTCTTTTCATTCAGCAGTTTGGAAACACTCTGTTTGGAAAGTCTGCACGTGGATATTTTGACTTCTTTGACGCCTTCGTTGGAAACTGGTTTTTTTCATGTAAGGCTAGACAGAGGAAATCTCAGTAACTTCCTTGTGTTGTGTGTATTCAACTGACAAGGTTGAACCTTCCTTTAGACAGAGCAGATTCGAAACACTCTTTTTCTGCAATTTGCAAGTGGAGACTTCAAGCGCTTTGAGGCCAAAGGCAGAAAAGGAAATATCTTCGTATAAAAACCCGACAGAATCATTCTCAGAAACTGCTCTGTGATGTGTGCGTTCAACTCACAGAGTTTAACTTTTCTTTTCATTCAGCAGTTTGGAAACACTCTGTTTGTAAAGTCTGCAAGTGGATATATTGGCCTCTTAGAGGCCTTCGTTGGAAACGGGTTTTTTTCATATAAGGTTAGACAGAGGAATTCCCAGTAACTTCCTTGTGTTGTGTGCATTCAACTCACAGAGTTGAATGATTCTTTACACAGAGCAGATTTGAGACACTCTTTTGGTGGAATTTGTAAGTGGAGAATTCAGCCGCTTTGAGGTCAATGGTAGAAAAGGAAATATCTTCGTATAAAAACTAGACAGAATGATTCTCAGAAACTGTTTTGTGATGTGTGCGTTCAACTCACAGAGTTTAACCTTTCTTTTCAAAGAGCAGTTAGGAAACACTCTGTTTGTAAAGTCTGCAAGTGGATATTCAGACCTCTTTGAGGCCTTCGTTGGAAACGGGATTTCTTCATATTATGCTAGACAGATGAATTCTCAGTAACTTCCTTGTGTTGTGTGTATTCAACTCACAGAGTTGAACGATCCTTTACACAGAGCAGATTTGAAACACTGTTTTTCTGGAATTTGCAAGTGGAGATTTCAGCCGCTTTGAGGTCAATGGTAGAAAAGGAAATATCTTCGTATAAAAACTAGACAGAATGATTCTCAGAAACTCCTTTGTGATGTGTGCGTTCAACTCACAGGGTTTAACCTTTCTTTTCACAGAGCAGTTAGGAAACACTCTGTTTGTGAAGCCTGCCAGTGGATATTCGGACCTCTTTGAGGCCTTCGTTGGAAACGGGATTTCTTCATATTATGCTAGACAGAAGATTTCTCAGTAACTTCTTTGTGTTGTGTGTATGCAACTCACAGAGTTCAACCTTCCTTTAGACAGAGCAGATTTGAAACACTCTTTTTGTGGAATTTGCAAGTGGAGATTTCAAGCGCTTCGATGCCAATGGTAGAAAAGGAAATATCTTCGTATAAAAACAAGACAAACTCGTTCCCAGACACTGCGTAGTGATGTGTGTGTTTAACTCACAGAGTTTAACCTTTCTTTTCATACAGCATTCTGGAAACCCTGTGTTTGTAAAGTCTGCAAGTGGATATTTGGACCTCTTAGATGCCTTCGTTGGAAACGGGATTTCTTCATATAATGCTAGAGGGAAGAATTCTTAGTAACTTCTTTGTGTTGTGTGTATTCAACTGACAGAGTTGAACCTTCCTTTAGACAGAGCAGATTTGAAAGTCTCTTTTTGTGGAATTTGCAAGTGGAGATTTCAAGCGCTTTGAGGCCAAAAGCAGAAAAGGAAATATTTTCCTATAAAAACTCGACAGAATCTTTCTCAGAAACTGCTCTGGGATGTGTGCGTTCAACTCACAGAGTTTAACTTTTCTTTTCATTCAGCAGTTTGGAAACACTCTGTTTGGAAAGTCTGCACGTGGATATTTTGACCTCTTTGAGGCCTTCGTTGGAAACGGGTTTTTTTCATGTAAGGCTAGACAGAAGAAATCTCAGTAACTTCCTTGTGTTGTGTGTATTCAACTGACAGAGTTGAACCTTCCTTTAGACAGAGCAGATTCGAAACACTCTTTTTCTGCAATTTGCAAGTGGAGACTTCAAGCGCTTTGAGGCCAAAGGCAGAAAAGGAAATATCTTCGTATAAAAACCCGACAGAATCATTCTCAGAAACTGCTCTGTGATGTGTGCGTTCAACTCACAGAGTTTAACTTTTCTTTTCATTCAGCAGTTTGGAAACACTCTGTTTGTAAAGTCTGCAAGTGGATATCTTGGCCTCTTAGAGGCCTTCGTTGGAAACGGGTTTTATCATGTAAGGTTAGACAGAGGAATTCCCAGTAACTTCCTTGTGTTGTGTGCATTCAACTCACAGAGTTGAATGATTCTTTACACAGAGCAGATTTGAGACACTCTTTTGGTGGAATTTGTAAGTGGAGAATTCAGCCGCTTTGAGGTCAACGGTAGAAAAGGAAATATCTTCGTATAAAAACTAGACAGAATGATTCTCAGAAACTGTTTTGTGATGTGTGCGTTCAACTCACAGAGTTTAACCTTTCTTTTCAAAGAGCAGTTAGGAAACACTCTGTTTGTAAAGTCTGCAAGTGGATATTCAGACCTCTTTGAGGCCTTCGTTGGAAACGGGATTTCTTCATATTATGCTAGACAGATGAATTCTCAGTAACTTCCTTGTGTTGTGTGTATTCAACTCACAGAGTTGAACGATCCTTTACACAGAGCAGATTTGAAACACTGTTTTTCTGGAATTTGCAAGTGGAGATTTCAGCCGCTTTGAGGTCAATGGTAGAAAAGGAAATATCTTCGTATAAAAACTAGACAGAATGATTCTCAGAAACTCCTTTGTGATGTGTGCGTTCAACTCACAGAGTTTAACCTTTCTTTTCACAGAGCAGTTAGGAAACACTCTGTTTGTGAAGCCTGCCAGTGGATATTCGGACCTCTTTGAGGCCTTCGTTGGAAACGGGATTTCTTCATATTATGCTAGACAGAAGATTTCTCAGTAACTTCTTTGTGTTGTGTGTATGCAACTCACAGAGTTCAACCTTCCTTTAGACAGAGCAGATTTGAAACACTCTTTTTGTGGAATTTGCAAGTGGAGATTTCAAGCGCTTCGATGCCAATGGTAGAAAAGGAAATATCTTCGTATAAAAACAAGACAAACTCGTTCCCAGACACTGCGTAGTGATGTGTGTGTTTAACTCACAGAGTTTCACCTTTCTTTTCATACAGCATTCTGGAAACCCTGTGTTTGTAAAGTCTGCAAGTGGATATTTGGACCTCTTAGATGCCTTCGTTGGAAACGGGATTTCTTCATATAATGCTAGAGGGAAGAATTCTTAGTAACTTCTTTGTGTTGTGTGTATTCAACTGACAGAGTTGAACCTTCCTTTAGACAGAGCAGATTTGAAAGTCTCTTTTTGTGGAATTTGCAAGTGGAGATTTCAAGCGCTTTGAGGCCAAAAGCAGAAAAGGAAATATTTTCCTATAAAAACTCGACAGAATCATTCTCAGAAACTGCTCTGTGATGTGTGCGTTCAACTCACAGAGTTTAACTTTTCTTTTCATTCAGCAGTTTGGAAACACTGTTTGGAAAGTCTGCACGTGGATATTTTGACCTCTTTGAGGCCTTCGTTGGAAACGGGTTTTTTTCATGTAAGGCTAGACAGAAGATTTCTCAGTAACTTCTTTGTGTTGTGTGTATGCAACTCACAGAGTTCAACCTTCCTTTAGACAGAGCAGATTCGAAACACTCTTTTTCTGCAATTTGCAAGTGGAGACTTCAAGCGCTTTGAGGCCAAAGGCAGAAAAGGAAATATCTTCGTATAAAAACCCGACAGAATCATTCTCAGAAACTGCTCTGTGATGTGTGCGTTCAACTCACAGAGTTTAACTTTTCTTTTCATTCAGCAGTTTGGAAACACTCTGTTTGTAAAGTCTGCAAGTGGATATCTTGGCCTCTTAGAGGCCTTCGTTGGAAACGGGTTTTTTCATGTAAGGTTAGACAGAGGAATTCCCAGTAACTTCCTTGTGTTGTGTGCATTCAACTCACAGAGTTGAATGATTCTATACACAGAGCAGATTTGAGACACTCTTTTGGTGGAATTTGTAAGTGGAGAATTCAGCTGCTTTGAGGTCAACGGTAGAAAAGGAAATATCTTCGTATAAAAACTAGACAGAATGATTCTCAGAAACTGTTTTGTGATGTGTGCGTTCAACTCACAGAGTTTAACCTTTCTTTTCAAAGAGCAGTTAGGAAACACTCTGTTTGTAAAGTCTGCAAGTGGATATTCAGACCTCTTTGAGGCCTTCGTTGGAAACGGGATTTCTTCATATTATGCTAGACAGATGAATTCTCAGTAACTTCCTTGTGTTGTGTGTATTCAACTCACAGAGTTGAACGATCCTTTACACAGAGCAGATTTGAAACACTGTTTTTCTGGAATTTGCAAGTGGAGATTTCAGCCGCTTTGAGGTCAATGGTAGAAAAAGAAATATCTTCGTATAAAAACTAGACAGAATGATTCTCAGAAACTCCTTTGTGATGTGTGCGTTCAACTCACAGAGTTTAACCTTTCTTTTCACAGAGCAGTTAGGAAACACTCTGTTTGTGAAGCCTGCCAGTGGATATTCGGACCTCTTTGAGGCCTTCGTTGGAAACGGGATTTCTTCATATTATGCTAGACAGAAGATTTCTCAGTAACTTCTTTGTGTTGTGTGTATGCAACTCACAGAGTTCAACCTTCCTTTAGACAGAGCAGATTTGAAACACTCTTTTTGTGGAATTTGCAAGTGGAGATTTCAAGCGCTTCGATGCCAATGGTAGAAAAGGAAATATCTTCGTATAAAAACAAGACAAACTCGTTCCCAGACACTGCGTAGTGATGTGTGTGTTTAACTCACAGAGTTTAACCTTTCTTTTCATACAGCATTCTGGAAACCCTCTGTTTGTAAAGTCTGCAAGTGGATATTTGGACCTCTTAGATGCCTTCGTTGGAAACGGGATTTCCTCATATAATGCTAGAGGGAAGAATTCTTAGTAACTTCTTTGTGTTGTGTGTATTCAACTGACAGAGTTGAACCTTCCTTTAAACAGAGCAGATTTGAAAGTCTCTTTTTGTGGAATTTGCAAGTGGAGATTTCAAGCGCTTTGAGGCCAAAGGCAGAAAAGGAAATATTTTCCTATAAAAACTAGACAGAATCTTTCTCAGAAACTGCTCTGGGATGTGTGCGTTCAACTCACAGAGTTTAACTTTTCTTTTCATTCAGCAGTTTGGAAACACTCTGTTTGGAAAGTCTGCACGTGGATATTTTGACCTCTTTGAGGCCTTCGTTGGAAACGGGTGTTTTTCATGTAAGGCTAGACAGAAGAAATCTCAGTAACTTCCTTGTGTTGTGTGTATTCAACTGACAGAGTTGAACCTTCCTTTAGACAGAGCAGATTCGAAACACTCTTTTTCTGCAATTTGCAAGTGGAGACTTCAAGCGCTTTGAGGCCAAAGGCAGAAAAGGATATATCTTCGTATAAAAACCCGACAGAATCATTCTCAGAAACTGCTCTGTGATGTGTGCGTTCAACTCACAGAGTTTAACTTTTCTTTTCATTCAGCAGTTTGGAAACACTCTGTTTGTAAAGTCTGCAAGTGGATATCTTGGCCTCTTAGAGGCCTTCGTTGGAAACGGGTTTTTTCATGTAAGGATAGACAGAGGAATTCCCAGTAACTTCCCTTGTGTTGTGTGCATTCAACTCACAGAGTTGAATGATTCTTTACACAGAGCAGATTTGAGACACTCTTTTGGTGGAATTTGTAAGTGGAGAATTCAGCCGCTTTGAGGTCAACGGTAGAAAAGGAAATATCTTCGTATAAAAACTAGACAGAATGATTCTCAGAGACTGTTTTGTGATGTGTGCGTTCAACTCACAGAGTTTAACCTTTCTTTTCAAAGAGCAGTTAGGAAACACTCTGTTTGTAAAGTCTGCAAGTGGATATTCAGACCTCTTTGAGGCCTTCGTTGGAAACGGGATTTCTTCATATTATGCTAGACAGATGAATTCTCAGTAACTTCCTTGTGTTGTGTGTATTCAACTCACAGAGTTGAACGATCCTTTACACAGAGCAGATTTGAAACACTGTTTTCCTGGAATTTGCAAGTGGAGATTTCAGCCGCTTTGAGGTCAATGGTAGAAAAGGAAATATCTTCGTATAAAAACTAGACAGAATGATTCTCAGAAACTCCTTTGTGATGTGTGCGTTCAACTCACAGAGTTTAACCTTTCTTTTCACAGAGCAGTTAGGAAACACTCTGTTTGTGAAGCCTGCCAGTGGATATTCGGACCTCTTTGAGGCCTTCGTTGGAAACGGGATTTCTTCATATTATGCTAGACAGAAGATTTCTCAGTAACTTCTTTGTGTTGTGTGTATGCAACTCACAGAGTTCAACCTTCCTTTAGACAGAGCAGATTTGAAACACTCTTTTTGTGGAATTTGCAAGTGGAGATTTCAAGCGCTTCGATGCCAATGGTAGAAAAGGAAATATCTTCGTATAAAAACAAGACAAACTCGTTCCCAGACACTGCGTAGTGATGTGTGTGTTTAACTCACAGAGTTTAACCTTTCTTTTCATACAGCATTCTGGAAACCCTGTGTTTGTAAAGTCTGCAAGTGGATATTTGGACCTCTTAGATGCCTTCGTTGGAAACGGGATTTCTTCATATAATGCTAGAGGGAAGAATTCTTAGTAACTTCTTTGTGTTGTGTGTATTCAACTGACAGAGTTGAACCTTCCTTTAGACAGAGCAGATTTGAAAGTCTCTTTTTGTGGAATTTGCAAGTGGAGATTTCAAGCGCTTTGAGGCCAAAAGCAGAAAAGGAAATATTTTCCTATAAAAACTCGACAGAATCATTCTCAGAAACTGCTCTGTGATGTGTGCGTTCAACTCACAGAGTTTAACTTTTCTTTTCATTCAGCAGTTTGGAAACACTGTTTGGAAAGTCTGCACGTGGATATTTTGACCTCTTTGAGGCCTTCGTTGGAAACGGGTTTTTTTCATGTAAGGCTAGACAGAAGAAATCTCAGTAACTTCCTTGTGTTGTGTGTATTCAACTGACAGAGTTGAACCTTCCTTTAGACAGAGCAGATTCGAAACAATCTTTTTCTGCAATTTGCAAGTGGAGACTTCAAGCGCTTTGAGGCCAAAGGCAGAAAAGGGAATATCTTCGTATAAAAACCCGACAGAATCATTCTCAGAAACTGCTCTGTGATGTGTGCGTTCAACTCACAGAGTTTAACTTTTCTTTTCATTCAGCAGTTTGGAAACACTCTGTTTGTAAAGTCTGCAAGTGGATATCTTGGCCTCTTAGAGGCCTTCGTTGGAAACGGGTTTTTTCATGTAAGGTTAGACAGAGGAATTCCCAGTAACTTCCTTGTGTTGTGTGCATTCAACTCACAGAGTTGAATGATTCTTTACACAGAGCAGATTTGAGACACTCTTTTGGTGGAATTTGTAAGTGGAGAATTCAGCCGCTTTGAGGTCAACGGTAGAAAAGGAAATATCTTCGTATAAAAACTAGACAGAATGATTCTCAGAAACTGTTTTGTGATGTGTGCGTTCAACTCACAGAGTTTAACCTTTCTTTTCAAAGAGCAGTTAGGAAACACTCTGTTTGTAAAGTCTGCAAGTGGATATTCAGACCTCTTTGAGGCCTTCGTTGGAAACGGGATTTCTTCATATTATGCTAGACAGATGAATTCTCAGTAACTTCCTTGTGTTGTGTGTATTCAACTCACAGAGTTGAACGATCCTTTACACAGAGCAGATTTGAAACACTGTTTTTCTGGAATTTGCAAGTGGAGATTTCAGCCGCTTTGAGGTCAATGGTAGAAAAGGAAATATCTTCGTATAAAAACTAGACAGAATGATTCTCAGAAACTCCTTTGTGATGTGTGCGTTCAACTCACAGAGTTTAACCTTTCTTTTCACAGAGCAGTTAGGAAACACTCTGTTTGTGAAGCCTGCCAGTGGATATTCGGACCTCTTTGAGGCCTTCGTTGGAAACGGGATTTCTTCATATTATGCTAGACAGAAGATTTCTCAGTAACTTCTTTGTGTTGTGTGTATGCAACTCACAGAGTTCAACCTTCCTTTAGACAGAGCAGATTTGAAACACTCTTTTTGTGGAATTTGCAAGTGGAAATTTCAAGCGCATCGATGCCAATGGTAGAAAAGGAAATATCTTCGTATAAAAACAAGACAAACTCGTTCCCAGACACTGCGTAGTGATGTGTGTGTTTAACTCACAGAGTTTAACCTTTCTTTTCATACAGCATTCTGGAAACCCTCTGTTTGTAAAGTCTGCAAGTGGATATTTGGACCTCTTAGATGCCTTCGTTGGAAACGGGATTTCCTCATATAATGCTAGAGGGAAGAATTCTTAGTAACTTCTTTGTGTTGTGTGTATTCAACTGACAGAGTTGAACCTTCCTTTAGTCAGAGCAGATTTGAAAGTCTCTTTTTGTGGAATTTGCAAGTGGAGATTTCAAGCGCTTTGAGGCCAAAAGCAGAAAAGGAAATATTTTCCTATAAAAACTAGACAGAATCTTTCTCAGAAACTGCTCTGTGATGTGTGCGTTCAACTCACAGAGTTTAACTTTTCTTTTCATTCAGCAGTTTGGAAACACTCTGTTTGGAAAGTCTGCACGTGGATATTTTGACCTCTTTGAGGCCTTCGTTGGAAACGGGTTTTTTTCATGTAAGGCTAGACAGAAGAAATCTCAGTAACTTCCTTGTGTTGTGTGTATTCAACTGACAGAGTTGAACCTTCCTTTAGACAGAGCAGATTCGAAACACTCTTTTTCTGCAATTTGCAAGTGGAGACTTCAAGCGCTTTGAGGCCAAAGGCAGAAAAGGAAATATCTTCGTATAAAAACCCGACAGAATCATTCTCAGAAACTGCTCTGTGATGTGTGCGTTCAACTCACAGAGTTTAACTTTTCTTTTTCATTCAGCAGTTTGGAAACACTCTGTAAAGTCTGCAAGTGGATATCTTGGCCTCTTAGAGGCCTTCGTTGGAAGCGGGTTTTTTCATGTAAGGTTAGACAGAGGAATTCCCAGTAACTTCCTTGTGTTGTGTGCATTCAACTCACAGAGTTGAATGATTCTTTACACAGTGCAGATTGGAGACACTCTTTTGGTGGAATTTGTAAGTGGAGAATTCAGCCGCTTTGAGGTCAACGGTAGAAAAGGAAATATCTTCGTATAAAAACTAGACAGAATGATTCTCAGAAACTGTTTTGTGATGTGTGCGTTCAACTCACAGAATTTAACCCTTCTTTTCAAAGACCAGTTAGGAAACACTCTGTTTGTAAAGTCTGCAAGTGGATATTCAGACCTCTTTGAGGCCTTCGTTGGAAACGGGATTTCTTCATATTATGCTAGACAGAACAATTCTCAGTAACTTCCTTGTGTTGTGTGTATTCAACTCACAGAGTTGAACGATCCTTTACACAGAGCAGATTTGAAACACTCTTTTTCTGGAATTTGCAAGTGGAGATTTCAGCCGCTTTGAGGTCAATGGTAGAAAAGGAAATATCTTCATATAAAAACTAGACAGAATGATTCTCAGAAACTCCTTTGTGATGTGTGCGTTCAACTCACAGAGTTTAAACTTTCTTTTCACAGAGCAGTTAGGAAACACTCTGTTTGTGAAGTCTGCCAGTGGATATTCGGACCTCTTTGAGGCCTTCGTTGGAAACGGGATTTCTTCATATTATGCTAGACAGATTTCTCAGTAACTACTTTGTGTTGTGTGTATGCAGCTCACAGAGTTCATCCTTCCTTTAGACAGAGCAGATTTGAAACACTCTTTTTGTGGAATTTGCAAGTGGAGATTTCAAGCGCTTCGATGCCAATGGTCGAAAAGGAAATATCTTCGTATAAAAACAAGACAAACTCGTTCCCAGACACTGCGTAGTGATGTGTGTGTTTAACTCACAGAGTTTAACCTTTCTTTTCATACAGCATTCTGGAAACCCTGTGTTTGTAAAGTCTGCAAGTGGATATTTGGACCTCTTAGATGCCTTCGTTGGAAACGGGATTTCTTCATATAATGCTAGAGGGAAGAATTCTTAGTAACTTCTTTTTGTTGTGTGTATTCAACTGACAGAGTTGAACCTTCCTTTAGACAGAGCAGATTTGAAAGTCTCTTTTTGTGGAATTTGCAAGTGGAGATTTCAAGCGCTTTGAGGCCAAAAGCAGAAAAGGAAATATTTTCCTATAAAAACTCGACAGAATCTTTCTCAGAAACTGCTCTGGGATGTGTGCGTTCAACTCACAGAGTTTAACTTTTCTTTTCATTCAGCAGTTTGGAAACACTCTGTTTGGAAAGTCTGCACGTGGATATTTTGACCTCTTTGAGGCCTTCGTTGGAAACGGGTTTTTTTCATGTAAGGCTAGACAGAAGAAATCTCAGTAACTTCCTTGTGTTGTGTGTATTCAACTGACAGAGTTGAACCTTCCTTTAGACAGAGCAGATTCGAAACACTCTTTTTCTGCAATTTGCAAGTGGAGACTTCAAGCGCTTTGAGGCCAAAGGCAGAAAAGGAAATATCTTCGTATAAAAACCCGACAGAATCATTCTCAGAAACTGCTCTGTGATGTGTGCGTTCAACTCACAGAGTTTAACTTTTCTTTTCATTCAGCAGTTTGGAAACACTCTGTTTGTAAAGTCTGCAAGTGGATATCTTGGCCTCTTAGAGGCCTTCGTTGGAAGCGGGTTTTTTCATGTAAGGTTAGACAGAGGAATTCCCAGTAACTTCCTTGTGTTGTGTGCATTCAACTCACAGAGTTGAATGATTCTTTACACAGAGCACATTTGAGACACTCTTTTGGTGGAATTTGTAAGTGGAGAATTCAGCCGCTTTGAGGTCAACGATAGAAAAGCAAATATCTTCGTATAAAAACTAGACAGAATGATTCTCAGAAACTGTTTTGTGATGTGTGCGTTCAACTCACAGAGTTTAACCTTTCTTTTCAAAGAGCAGTTAGGAAACACTCTGTTTGTAAAGTCTGCAAGTGGATATTCAGTCCTCTTTGAGGCCTTCGTTGGAAACGGGATTTCTTCATATTATGCTAGACAGATGAATTCTCAGTAACTTCCTTGTGTTGTGTGTATTCAACTCACAGAGTTAAACGATCCTTTCCACAGAGCAGATTTGAAACACTGTTTTTCTGGAATTTGCAAGTGGAGATTTCAGCCCCTTTGAGGTCAATGGTAGAAAAGGAAATATCTTCGTATAAAAACTAGACAGAATGATTCTCAGAAACTCCTTTGTGATGTGTGCGTTCAACTCACAGAGTTTAACCTTTCTTTTCACAGAGCAGTTAGGAAACACTCTGTTTGTGAAGCCTGCCAGTGGATATTCGGACCTCTTTGAGGCCTTCATTGGAAACGGGATTTCTTCATATTATGCTAGACAGAAGATTTCTCAGTAACTTCTTTGTGTTGTGTGTATGCAACTCACAGAGTTCAACCTTCCTTTAGACAGAGCAGATTTGAAACACTCTTTTTGTGGAATTTGCAAGTGGAGATTTCAAGCGCTTCGATGCCAATGGTAGAAAAGGAAATATCTTCGTATAAAAACAAGACAAACTCGTTCCCAGACACTGCGTAGTGATGTGTGTGTTTAACTCACAGAGTTTAACCTTTCTTTTCATACAGCATTCTGGAAACCCTGTGTTTGTAAAGTCTGAAAGTGGATATTTGGACCTCTTAGATGCCTTCGTTGGAAACGGGATTTCTTCATATAATGCTAGAGGGAAGAATTCTTAGTAACTTCTTTGTGTTGTGTGTATTCAACTGACAGAGTTGAACCTTCCTTTAGACAGAGCAGATTTGAAAGTCTCTTTTTGTGGAATTTGCAAGTGGAGATTTCAAGCGCTTTGAGGCCAAAAGCAGAAAAGGAAATATTTTCCTATAAAAACTAGACAGAATCATTCTCAGAAACTGCTCTGTGATGTGTGTGTTCAACTCACAGAGTTTAACTTTCTTTTCATTCAGCAGTTTGGAAACACTCTGTTTGGAAAGTCTGCACGTGGATATTTTGACCTCTTTGAGGCCTTCGTTGGAAACGGGTTTTTTTCATGTAACACTAGACAGAAGAAATCTCAGTAACTTCCTTGTGTTGTGTGTATTCAACTGACAGAGTTGAACCTTCCTTTAGACAGAGCAGATTCGAAACACTCTTTTTCTGCAATTTGCAAGTGGAGACTTCAAGCGCTTTGAGGCCAAAGGCAGAAAAGGAAATATCTTCGTAGAAAAACCCGACAGAATCATTCTCAGAAACTGCTCTGTGATGTGTGCGTTCAACTCACAGAGTTTAACTTTTCTTTTCATTCAGCAGTTTGGAAACACTCTGTTTGTAAAGTCTGCAAGTGGATATCTTGGCCTCTTAGAGGCCTTCGTTGGAAACGGGTTTTTTCATGTAAGGTTAGACAGAGGAATTCCCAGTAACTTCCTTGTGTTGTATGCATTCAACTCACAGAGTTGAATGATTCTTTACACAGAGCAGATTTGAGACACTCTTTTGGTGGAATTTGTAAGTGGAGAATTCAGCCGCTTTGAGGTCAACGGTAGAAAAGGAAATATCTTCGTATAAAAACTAGAAAGAATGATTCTCAGAAACTGTTTTGTGATGTGTGCGTTCAACTCACAGAGTTTAACCTTTCTTTTCAAAGAGCAGTTAGGAAACACTCTGTTTGTAAAGTCTGCAAGTGGATATTCAGACCTCTTTGAGGCCTTCGTTGGAAACGGGATTTCTTCATATTATGCTAGACAGATGAATTCTCAGTAACTTCCTTGTGTTGTGTGTATTCAACTCACAGAGTTGAACGATCCTTTACACAGAGCAGATTTGAAACACTGTTTTTCTGGAATTTGCAAGTGGAGATTTCAGCCACTTTGAGGTCAATGGTAGAAAAGGAAATATCTTCGTATAAAAACTAGACAGAATGATTCTCAGAAACTCCTTTGTGATGTGTGCGTTCAACTCACAGGGTTTAACCTTTCTTTTCACAGAGCAGTTAGGAAACACTCTGTTTGTGAAGCCTGCCAGTGGATATTCGGACCTCTTTGAGGCCTTCGTTGGAAACGGGATTTCTTCATATTATGCTAGACAGAAGATTTCTCAGTAACTTCTTTGTGTTGTGTGTATGCAACTCACAGAGTTCAACCTTCCTTTAGACAGAGCAGATTTGAAACACTCTTTTTGTGGAATTTGCAAGTGGAGATTTCAAGCGCTTCGATGCCAATGGTAGAAAAGGAAATATCTTCGTATAAAAACAAGACAAACTCGTTCCCAGACACTGCGTAGTGATGTGTGTGTTTAACTCACAGAGTTTCACCTTTCTTTTCATACAGCATTCTGGAAACCCTCTGTTTGTAAAGTCTGCAAGTGGATATTTGGACCTCTTAGATGCCTTCGTTGGAAACGGTATTTCTTCATATAATGCTAGAGGGAAGAATTCTTAGTAACTTCTTTGTGTTGTGTGTATTCAACTGACAGAGTTGAACCTTCCTTTAGACAGAGCAGATTTGAAAGTCTCTTTTTGTGGAATTTGCAAGTGGAGATTTCAAGCGCTTTGAGGCCAAAAGCAGAAAAGGAAATGTTTTCCTATAAAAACTAGACAGAATCTTTCTCAGAAACTGCTCTGGGATGTGTGCGTTCAACTCACAGAGTTTAACTTTTCTTTTCATTCAGCAGTTTGGAAACACTCTGTTTGGAAAGTCTGCACGTGGATATTTTGACCTCTTTGAGGCCTTCGTTGGAAACGGGTTTTTTTCATGTAAGGCTAGACAGAAGAAATCTCAGTAAATTCCCTTGTGTTGTGTGTATTCAACTGACAGAGTTGAACCTTCCTTTAGACAGAGCAGATTCGAAACACTCTTTTTCTGCAATTTGCAAGTGGAGACTTCAAGCGCTTTGAGGCCAAAGGCAGAAAAGGAAATATCTTCGTATAAAAACCCGACAGAATCATTCTCAGAAACTGCTCTGTGATGTGTGCGTTCAACTCACAGAGTTTAACTTTTCTTTTCATTCAGCAGTTTGGAAACACTCTGTTTGTAAAGTCTGCAAGTGGATATCTTGGCCTCTTAGAGGCCTTCGTTGGAAACGGGTTTTTTCATGTAAGGTTAGACAGAGGAATTCCCAGTAACTTCCTTGTGTTGTGTGCATTCAACTCACAGAGTTGAATGATTCTTTACACAGAGCAGATTTGAGACACTCTTTTGGTGGAATTTGTAAGTGGAGAATTCAGCCGCTTTGAGGTCAACGGTAGAAAAGGAAATATCTTCGTATAAAAACTAGACAGAATGATTCTCAGAAACTGTTTTGTGATGTGTGCGTTCAACTCACAGAGTTTAACCTTTCTTTTCAAAGAGCAGTTAGGAAACACTCTGTTTGTAAAGTCTGCAAGTGGATATTCAGACCTCTTTGAGGCCTTCGTTGGAAACGGGATTTCTTCATATTATACTAGACAGATGAATTCTCAGTAACTTCCTTGTGTTGTGTGTATTCAACTCACAGAGTTGAACGATCCTTTACACAGAGCAGATTTGAAACACTGTTTTTCTGGAATTTGCAAGTGGAGATTTCAGCCGCTTTGAGGTCAATGGTAGAAAAGGAAATATCTTCGTATAAAAACTAGACAGAATGATTCTCAGAAACTCCTTTGTGATGTGTGCGTTCAACTCACAGAGTTTAACCTGTCTTTTCACAGAGCAGTTAGGAAACACTCTGTTTGTGAAGCCTGCCAGTGGATATTCGGACCTCTTTGAGGCCTTCGTTGGAAACGGGATTTCTTCATATTATGCTAGACAGAAGATTTCTCAGTAACTTCTTTGTGTTGTGTGTATGCAACTCACAGAGTTCAACCTTCCTTTAGACAGAGCAGATTTGAAACACTCTTTTTGTGGAATTTGCAAGTGGAGATTTCAAGCGCTTCGATGCCAATGGTAGAAAAGGAAATATCTTCGTATAAAAACAAGACAAACTCGTTCCCAGACACTGCGTAGTGATGTGTGTGTTTAACTCACAGAGTTTAACCTTTCTTTTCATACAGCATTCTGGAAACCCTCTGTTTGTAAAGTCTGCAAGTGGATATTTGGACCTCTTAGATGCCTTCGTTGGAAACGGGATTTCTTCATATAATGCTAGAGGGAAGAATTCTTAGTAACTTCTTTGTGTTGTGTGTATTCAACTGACAGAGTTGAACTTTCCTTTAGACAGAGCAGATTTGAAACTCTCTTTTTGTGGAATTTGCAAGTGGAGATTTCAAGCGCTTTGAGGCCAAAAACAGAAAAGGAAATATTTTCCTATAAAAACTAGACAGAATCATTCTCAGAAACTGCTCAGTGATGTGTGCGTTCAACTCACAGAGTTTAACTTTTCTTTTCATTCAGCAGTTTGGAAACACTCTGTTTGTAAAGTCTGCACGTGGATATTTTGACCTCTTTGAGGCCTTCGTTGGGAACGGGTTTTTTTCATGTAATGCTAGACAGAAGAAATCTCAGTAACTTCCTTGTGTTGTGTGTATTCAACTGCCAGAGTTGAACCTTCCTTTAGACAGAGCACATTCGAAACACTCTTTTTGTGCAATTTGCAAGTGGAGACTTCAAGCGCTTTGAGGCCAAAGGCAGAAGAGGAAATATCTTCGTATAAAAACCAGACAGAATCATTCTGAGAAACTGCTCTGTGATGTGTGCGTTCAACTCACAGAGTTTAACTTGTCTTTTCATTCAGCAGTTTGGAAACACTCTGTTTGTAAAGTCTGCAAGTGGATATATTGGCCTCTTTGAGGCCTTCGTTGGAAACGGGTTTTTTTCATGTAAGGCTAGACAGAGGAATTCCCAGTAACTTCCTTGTGTTGTGTGCATTCAACTCACAGAGTTGAATGATTCTTTACACAGAGCAGATTTGAGACACTCTTTTGGTGGAATTTGTAAGTGGAGAATTCAGCCGCTTTGAGGTCAACGGTAGAAAAGGAAATATCTTCGTATAAAAACTAGACAGAATGATTCTCAGAAACTGTTTTGTGATGTGTGCGTTCAACTCACAGAGTTTAACCTTTCTTTTCAAAGAGCAGTTAGGAAGCACTCTGTTTGTAAAGTCTGCAAGTGGATATTCAGACCTCTTTGAGGCCTTCGTTGGAAACGGGATTTCTTCATATTATGCTAGACAGATGAATTCTCAGTAACTTCCCTTGTGTTGTGTGTATTCAACTCACAGAGTTGAACGATCCTTTACACAGAGCAGATTTGAAACACTGTTTTTCTGGAATTTGCAAGTGGAGATTTCAGCCGCTTTGAGGTCAATGGTAGAAAAGGAAATATCTTCGTATAAAAACTAGACAGAATGATTCTCAGAAACTCCTTTGTGATGTGTGCGTTCAACTCACAGAGTTTAACCTTTCTTTTCACAGAGCAGTTAGGAAACACTCTGTTTGTGAAGCCTGCCAGTGGATATTCGGACCTCTTTGAGGCCTTCGTTGGAAACGGGATTTCTTCATATTATGCTAGACAGAAGATTTCTCAGTAACTTCTTTGGGTTGTGTGTATGCAACTCACAGAGTTCAACCTTCCTTTAGACAGAGCAGATTTGAAACACTCTTTTTGTGGAATTTGCAAGTGGAGATTTCAAACGCTTCGATGCCAATGGTAGAAAAGGAAATATCTTCGTATAAAAACAAGACAAACTCATTCCCAGACACTGCGTAGTGATGTGTGTGTTTAACTCACAGAGTTTAACCTTTCTTTTCATACAGCATTCTGGAAACCCTCTGTTTGTAAAGTCTGCAAGTGGATATTTGGACCTCTTAGATGCCTTCGTTGGAAACGGGATTTCTTCATATAATGCTAGAGGGAAGAATTCTTAGTAACTTCTTTGTGTTGTGTGTATTCAACTGACAGAGTTGAACCTTCCTTTAGACAGAGCAGATTTGAAAGTCTCTTTTTGTGGAATTTGCAAGTGGAGATTTCAAGCGCTTTGAGGCCAAAAGCAGAAAAGGAAATATTTTCCTATAAAAACTCGACAGAATCTTTCTCAGAAACTGCTCTGGGATGTGTGCGTTCAACTCACAGAGTTTAACTTTTCTTTTCATTCAGCAGTTTGGAAACACTCTGTTTGGAAAGTCTGCACGTGGATATTTTGACCTCTTTGAGGCCTTCGTTGGAAACGGGTTTTTTTCATGTAAGGCTAGACAGAAGAAATCTCAGTAACTTCCTTGTGTTGTGTGTATTCAACTGACAGAGTTGAACCTTCCTTTAGACAGAGCAGATTCGAAACACTCTTTTTCTGCAATTTGCAAGTGGAGACTTCAAGCGCTTTGAGTCCAAAGGCAGAAAAGGAAATATCTTCGTATAAAAACCCGACAGAATCATTCTCAGAAACTGCTCTGTGATGTGTGCGTTCAACTCACAGAGTTTAACTTTTCTTTTCATTCAGCAGTTTGGAAACACTCTGTTTGTAAAGTCTGCAAGTGGATATCTTGGCCTAATTAGAGGCCTTCGTTGGAAACGGGTTTTTTCATGTAAGGTTAGACAGAGGAATTCCCAGTAACTTCCTTGTGTTGTGTGCACTCAACTCACAGAGTTGAATGATTCTTTACACAGAGCAGATTTGAGACACTCTTTTGGTGGAATTTGTAAGTGGAGAATTCAGCTGCTTTGAGGTCAACGGTAGAAAAGGAAATATCTTCGTATAAAAACTAGACAGAATGATTCTCAGAAACTGTTTTGTGATGTGTGCGTTCAACTCACAGAGTTTAACCTTTCTTTTCAAAGAGCAGTTAGGAAACACTGTTTGTAAAGTCTGCAAGTGGATATTCAGACCTCTTTGAGGCCTTCGTTGGAAACGGGATTTCTTCATATTATGCTAGACAGATGAATTCTCAGTAACTTCCTTGTGTTGTGTGTATTCAACTCACAGAGTTGAACGATCCTTTACACAGAGCAGATTTGAAACACTCTTTTTCTGGAATTTGCAAGTGGAGATTTCAGCCGCTTTGAGGTCAATGGTAGAAAAGGAAATATCTTCGTATAAAAACTAGACAGAATGATTCTCAGAAACTCCTTTGTGATGTGTGCGTTCAACTCACAGAGTTTAACCTTTCTTTTCACAGAGCAGTTAGGAAACACTCTGTTTGTGAAGCCTGCCAGTGGATATTCGGACCTCTTTGAGGCCTTCGTTGGAAACGGGATTTCTTCATATTATGCTAGACAGAAGATTTCTCAGTAACTTCTTTGTGTTGTGTGTATGCAACTCACAGAGTTCAACCTTCCTTTAGACAGAGCAGATTTGAAACACTCTTTTTGTGGAATTTGCAAGTGGAGATTTCAAGCGCTTTGAGGCCAAAAGCAGAAAAGGAAATATTTTCCTATAAAAACTAGACAGAATCTTTCTCAGAAACTGCTCTGGGATGTGTGCGTTCAACTCACAGAGTTTAACTTTTCTTTTCATTCAGCAGTTTGGAAACACTCTGTTTGGAAAGTCTGCACGTGGATATTTTGACCTCTTTGAGGCCTTCGTTGGAAACGGGTTTTTTTCATGTAAGGCTAGACAGAAGAAATCTCAGTAACTTCCTTGTGTTGTGTGTATTCAACTGACAGAGTTGAACCTTCCTTTAGACAGAGCAGATTCGAAACACTCTTTTTCTGCAATTTGCAAGTGGAGACTTCAAGCGCTTTGAGGCCAAAGGCAGAAAAGGAAATATCTTCGTATAAAAACCCGACAGAATCATTCTCAGAAACTGCTCTGTGATGTGTGCGTTCAACTCACAGAGTTTAACTTTTCTTTTCATTCAGCAGTTTGGAAACACTCTGTTTGTAAAGTCTGCAAGTGGATATCTTGGCCTCTTAGAGGCCTTCGTTGGAAACGGGTTTTTTCATGTAAGGTTAGACAGAGGAATTCCCGGTAACTTCCTTGTGTTGTGTGCATTCAACTCACAGAGTTGAATGATTCTTTACACAGAGCAGATTTGAGACACTCTTTTGGTGGAATTTGTAAGTGGAGAATTCAGCCGCTTTGAGGTCAACGGTAGAAAAGGAAATATCTTCGTATAAAAACTAGACAGAATGATTCTCAGAAACTGTTTTGTGATGTGTGCGTTCAACTCACAGAGTTTAACCTTTCTTTTCAAAGAGCAGTTAGGAAACACTCTGTTTGTAAAGTCTGCAAGTGGATATTCAGACCTCTTTGAGGCCTTCGTTGGAAACGGGATTTCTTCATATTATGCTAGACAGATGAATTCTCAGTAACTTCCTTGTGTTGTGTGTATTCAACTCACAGAGTTAAACGATCCTTTACACAGAGCAGATTTGAAACACTGTTTTTCTGGAATTTGCAAGTGGAGATTTCAGCCGCTTTGAGGTCAATGGTAGAAAAGGAAATATCTTCGTATAAAAACTAGACAGAATGATTCTCAGAAACTCCTTTGTGATGTGTGCGTTCAACTCACAGAGTTTAACCTTTCTTTTCACAGAGCAGTTAGGAAACACTCTGTTTGTGAAGCCTGCCAGTGGATATTCGGACCTCTTTGAGGCCTTCGTTGGAAACGGGATTTCTTCATATTATGCTAGACAGAAGATTTCTCAGTAACTTCTTTGTGTTGTGTGTATGCAACTCACAGAGTTCAACCTTCCTTTAGACAGAGCAGATTTGAAACACTGTTTTTGTGGAATTTGCAAGTGGAGATTTCAAGCGCTTCGATGCCAATGGTAGAAAAGGAAATATCTTCGTATAAAAACAAGACAAACTCGTTCCCAGACACTGCGTAGTGATGTGTGTGTTTAACTCACAGAGTTTAACCTTTCTTTTCATACAGCATTCTGGAAACCCTGTGTTTGTAAAGTCTGCAAGTGGATATTTGGACCTCTTAGATGCCTTCGTTGGAAACGGGATTTCTTCATATAATGCTAGAGGGAAGAATTCTTAGTAACTTCTTTGTGTTGTGTGTATTCAACTGACAGAGTTGAACCTTCCTTTAGACAGAGCAGATTTGAAAGTCTCTTTTTGTGGAATTTGCAAGTGGAGATTTCAAGCGCTTTGAGGCCAAAAGCAGAAAAGGAAATATTTTCCTATAAAAACTCGACAGAATCTTTCTCAGAAACTGCTCTGGGATGTGTGCGTTCAACTCACAGAGTTTAACTTTTCTTTCCATTCAGCAGTTTGGAAACACTCTGTTTGGAAAGTCTGCACGTGGATATTTTGACCTCTTTGAGGCCTTCGTTGGAAACGGGTTTTTTTCTTGTAAGGCTAGACAGAAGAAATCTCAGTAACTTCCTTGTGTTGTGTGTATTCAACTGACAGAGTTGAACCTTCCTTTAGACAGAGCAGATTCGAAACACTCTTTTTCTGCAATTTGCAAGTGGAGACTTCAAGCGCTTTGAGGCCAAAGGCAGAAAAGGAA
This sequence comes from Homo sapiens, assembly GCF_000001405.40. NCBI lineage: Eukaryota > Metazoa > Chordata > Mammalia > Primates > Hominidae > Homo > Homo sapiens. The sequence goes on from NC_000016.10 coordinate 37,705,672, forward strand.
ATATCTTCGTATAAAAACCCGACAGAATCATTCTCAGAAACTGCTCTGTGATGTGTGCGTTCAACTCACAGAGTTTAACTTTTCTTTTCATTCAGCAGTTTGGAAACACTCTGTTTGTAAAGTCTGCAAGTGGATATCTTGGCCTCTTAGAGGCCTTCGTTGGAAACGGGTTTTTTCATGTAAGGTTAGACAGAGGAATTCCCAGTAACTTCCTTGTGTTGTGTGCATTCAACTCACAGAGTTGAATGATTCTTTACACAGAGCAGATTTGAGACACTCTTTTGGTGGAATTTGTAAGTGGAGAATTCAGCCGCTTTGAGGTCAACGGTAGAAAAGGAAATATCTTCGTATAAAAACTAGACAGAATGATTCTCAGAAACTGTTTTGTGATGTGTGCGTTCAACTCACAGAGTTTAACCTTTCTTTTCAAAGAGCAGTTAGGAAACACTCTGTTTGTAAAGTCTGCAAGTGGATATTCAGACCTCTTTGAGGCCTTCGTTGGAAACGGGATTTCTTCATATTATGCTAGACAGATGAATTCTCAGTAACTTCCTTGTGTTGTGTGTATTCAACTCACAGAGTTAAACGATCCTTTACACAGAGCAGATTTGAAACACTGTTTTTCTGGAATTTGCAAGTGGAGATTTCAGCCGCTTTGAGGTCAATGGTAGAAAAGGAAATATCTTCGTATAAAAACTAGACAGAATGATTCTCAGAAACTCCTTTGTGATGTGTGCGTTCAACTCACAGAGTTTAACCTTTCTTTTCATACAGCATTCTGGAAACCCTGTGTTTGTAAAGTCTGCAAGTGGATATTTGGACCTCTTAGATGCCTTCGTTGGAAACGGGATTTCTTCATATAATGCTAGAGGGAAGAATTCTTAGTAACTTCTTTGTGTTGTGTGTATTCAACTGACAGAGTTGAACCTTCTTTAGACAGAGCAGATTTGAAAGTCTCTTTCTGTGGAATTTGCAAGTGGAGATTTCAAGCGCTTTGAGGCCAAAAGCAGAAAAGGAAATATTTTCCTATAAAAACTCGACAGAATCTTTCTCAGAAACTGCTCTGGGATGTGTGCGTTCAACTCACAGAGTTTAACTTTTCTTTTCATTCAGCAGTTTGGAAACACTCTGTTTGGAAAGTCTGCACGTGGATATTTTGACCTCTTTGAGGCCTTCGTTGGAAACGGGTTTTTTTCATGTAAGGCTAGACAGAAGAAATCTCAGTAACTTCCTTGTGTTGTGTGTATTCAACTGACAGAGTTGAACCTTCCTTTAGACAGAGCAGATTCGAAACACTCTTTTTCTGCAATTTGCAAGTGGAGACTTCAAGCGCTTTGAGGCCAAAGGCAGAAAAGGAAATATCTTCGTATAAAAACCCGACAGAATCATTCTCAGAAACTGCTCTGTGATGTGTGCGTTCAACTCACAGAGTTTAACTTTTCTTTTCATTCAGCAGTTTGGAAACACTCTGTTTGTAAAGTCTGCAAGTGGATATCTTGGCCTCTTAGAGGCCTTCGTTGGAAACGGGTTTTTTCATGTAAGGTTAGACAGAGGAATTCCCAGTAACTTCCTTGTGTTGTGTGCATTCAACTCACAGAGTTGAATGATTCTTTACACAGAGCAGATTTGAGACACTCTTTTGGTGGAATTTGTAAGTGGAGAATTCAGCCGCTTTGAGGTCAACGGTAGAAAAGGAAATATCTTCGTATAAAAACTAGACAGAATGATTCTCAGAAACTGTTTTGTGATGTGTGCGTTCAACTCACAGAGTTTAACCTTTCTTTTCAAAGAGCAGTTAGGAAACACTCTGTTTGTAAAGTCTGCAAGTGGATATTCAGACCTCTTTGAGGCCTTCGTTGGAAACGGGATTTCTTCATATTATGCTAGACAGATGAATTCTCAGTAACTTCCTTGTGTTGTGTGTATTCAACTCACAGAGTTGAACGATCCTTTACACAGAGCAGATTTGAAACACTGTTTTTCTGGAATTTGCAAGTGGAGATTTCAGCCGCTTTGAGGTCAACGGTAGAAAAGGAAATATCTTCGTATAAAAACTAGACAGAATGATTCTCAGAAACTCCTTTGTGATGTGTGCGTTCAACTCACAGAGTTTAACCTTTCTTTTCACAGAGCAGTTAGGAAACACTCTGTTTGTGAAGCCTGCCAGTGGATATTCGGACCTCTTTGAGGCCTTCGTTGGAAACGGGATTTCTTCATATTATGCTAGACAGAAGATTTCTCAGTAACTTCTTTGTGTTGTGTGTATGCAACTCACAGAGTTCAACCTTCCTTTAGACAGAGCAGATTTGAAACACTCTTTTTGTGGAATTTGCAAGTGGAGATTTCAAACGCTTCGATGCCAATGGTAGAAAAGGAAATATCTTCGTATAAAAACAAGACAAACTCGTTCCCAGACACTGCGTAGTGATGTGTGTGTTTAACTCACAGAGTTTAACCTTTCTTTTCATACAGCATTCTGGAAACCCTCTGTTTGTAAAGTCTGCAAGTGGATATTTGGACCTCTTAGATGCCTTCGTTGGAAACGGGATTTCTTCATATAATGCTAGAGGGAAGAATTCTTAGTAACTTCTTTGTGTTGTGTGTATTCAACTGACAGAGTTGAACCTTCCTTTAGACAGAGCAGATTTGAAAGTCTCTTTTTGTGGAATTTGCAAGTGGAGATTTCAAGCGCTTTGAGGCCAAAAGCAGAAAAGGAAATATTTTCCTATAAAAACTCGACAGAATCTTTCTCAGAAACTGCTCTGTGATGTGTGCGTTCAACTCACAGAGTTTAACTTTTCTTTTCATTCAGCAGTTTGGAAACACTCTGTTTGTAAAGTCTGCAAGTGGATATCTTGGCCTCTTAGAGGCCTTCGTTGGAAACGGGTTTTTTCATGTAAGGTTAGACAGAGGAATTCCCAGTAACTTCCCTTGTGTTGTGTGCATTCAACTCACAGAGTTGAATGATTCTTTACACAGAGCAGATTTGAGACACTCTTTTGGTGGAATTTGTAAGTGGAGAATTCAGCTGCTTTGAGGTCAACGGTAGAAAAGGAAATATCTTCGTATAAAAACTAGACAGAATGATTCTCAGAAACTGTTTTGTGATGTGTGCGTTCAACTCACAGAGTTTAACCTTTCTTTTCAAAGAGCAGTTAGGAAACACTCTGTTTGTAAAGTCTGCAAGTGGATATTCAGACCTCTTTGAGGCCTTCGTTGGAAACGGGATTTCTTCATATTATGCTAGACAGATGAATTCTCAGTAACTTCCTTGTGTTGTGTGTATTCAACTCACAGAGTTAAACGATCCTTTACACAGAGCAGATTTGAAACACTGTTTTTCTGGAATTTGCAAGTGGAGATTTCAGCCGCTTTGAGGTCAATGGTAGAAAAGGAAATATCTTCGTATAAAAACTAGACAGAATGATTCTCAGAAACTCCTTTGTGATGTGTGCGTTCAACTCACAGAGTTTAACCTTTCTTTTCACAGAGCAGTTAGGAAACACTCTGTTTGTGAAGCCTGCCAGTGGATATTCGGACCTCTTTGAGGCCTTCGTTGGAAACGGGATTTCTTCATATTATACTAGACAGAAGATTTCTCAGTAACTTCTTTGTGTTGTGTGTATGCAACTCACAGAGTTCAACCTTCCTTTAGACAGAGCAGATTTGAAACACTCTTTTTGTGGAATTTGCAAGTGGAGATTTCAAGCGCTTTGAGGCCAAAAGCAGAAAAGGAAATATTTTCCTATAAAAACTAGACAGAATCTTTCTCAGAAACTGCTCTGTGATGTGTGCGTTCAACTCACAGAGTTTAACTTTTCTTTTCATTCAGCAGTTTGGAAACACTCTGTTTGTAAAGTCTGCAAGTGGATATCTTGGCCTCTTAGAGGCCTTCGTTGGAAACGGGTTTTTTCATGTAAGGATAGACAGAGGAATTCCCAGTAACTTCCTTGTGTTGTGTGCATTCAACTCACAGAGTTGAATGATTCTTTACACAGAGCAGATTTGAGACACTCTTTTGGTGGAATTTGTTAGTGGAGAATTCAGCCGCTTTGAGGTCAACGGTAGAAAAGGAAATATCTTCGTATAAAAACTAGACAGAATGATTCTCAGAAACTGTTTTGTGATGTGTGCGTTCAACTCACAGAGTTTAACCTTTCTTTTCAAAGAGCAGTTAGGAAACACTCTGTTTGTAAAGTCTGCAAGTGGATATTCAGACCTCTTTGAGGCCTTCGTTGGAAACGGGATTTCTTCATATTATGCTAGACAGATGAATTCTCAGTAACTTCCTTGTGTTGTGTGTATTCAACTCACAGAGTTGAACGATCCTTTACACAGAGCAGATTTGAAACACTGTTTTTCTGAAATTTGCAAGTGGAGATTTCAGCCGCTTTGAGGTCAATGGTAGAAAAAGAAATATCTTCGTATAAAAACTAGACGGAATGATTCTCAGAAACTCCTTTGTGATGTGTGCGTTCAACTCACAGAGTTTAACCTTTCTTTTCACAGAGCAGTTAGGAAACACTCTGTTTGTGAAGCCTGCCAGTGGATATTCGGACCTCTTTGAGGCCTTCGTTGGAAACGGGATTTCTTCATATTATGCTAGACAGAAGATTTCTCAGTAACTTCTTTGTGTTGTGTGTATGCAACTCACAGAGTTCAACCTTCCTTTAGACAGAGCAGATTTGAAACACTCTTTTTGTGGAATTTGCAAGTGGAGATTTCAAGCGCTTCGATGCCAATGGTAGAAAAGAAATATCTTCGTAGAAAAACAAGACAAACTCGTTCCCAGACACTGCGTAGTGATGTGTGTGTTTAACTCACAGAGTTTCACCTTTCTTTTCATACAGCATTCTGGAAACCCTGTGTTTGTAAAGTCTGCAAGTGGATATTTGGACCTCTTAGATGCCTTCGTTGGAAACGGGATTTCTTCATATAATGCTAGAGGGAAGAATTCTTAGTAACTTCTTTGTGTTGTGTGTATTCAACTGACAGAGTTGAACCTTCCTTTAGACAGAGCAGATTTGAAAGTCTCTTTTTGTGGAATTTGCAAGTGGAGATTTCAAGCGCTTTGAGGCCAAAAGCAGAAAAGGAAATATTTTCCTATAAAACCTCGACAGGAATCTTTCTCAGAAACTGCTCTGGGATGTGTGCGTTCAACTCACAGAGTTTAACTTTTCTTTTCATTCAGCAGTTTGGAAACACTCTGTTTGGAAAGTCTGCACGTGGATATTTTGACCTCTTTGAGGCCTTCGTTGGAAACGGGTTTTTTTCATGTAAGGCTAGACAGAAGAAATCTCAGTAACTTCCTTGTGTTGTGTGTATTCAACTGACAGAGTTGAACCTTCCTTTAGACAGAGCAGATTCGAAACACTCTTTTTCTGCAATTTGCAAGTGGAGACTTCAAGCGCTTTGAGGCCAAAGGCAGAAAAGGAAATATCTTCGTATAAAAACCCGACAGAATCATTCTCAGAAACTGCTCTGTGATGTGTGCGTTCAACTCACAGAGTTTAACTTTTCTTTTCATTCAGCAGTTTGGAAACACTCTGTTTGTAAAGTCTGCAAGTGGATATCTTGGCCTCTTAGAGGCCTTCGTTGGAAACGGGTTTTTTCATGTAAGGTTAGACAGAGGAATTCCCAGTAACTTCCTTGTGTTGTGTGCATTCAACTCACAGAGTTGAATGATTCTTTACACAGAGCAGATTTGAGACACTCTTTGGGTGGAATTTGTAAGTGGAGAATTCAACCGCTTTGAGGTCAACGGTAGAAAAGGAAATACCTTCGTATAAAAACTAGACAGAATGATTCTCAGAAACTGTTTTGTGATGTGTGCGTTCAACTCACAGAGTTTAACCTTTCTTTTCAAAGAGCAGTTAGGAAACACTCTGTTTGTAAAGTCTGCAAGTGGATATTCAGACCTCTTTGAGGCCTTCGTTGGAAACGGGATTTCTTCATATTATGCTAGACAGAAGAATTCTCAGTAACTTCCTTGTGTTGTGTGTATTCAACTCACAGGGTTGAACGATCCTTTACACAGCGCAGATTTGAAACACTCTTTTTCTGGAATTTGCAAGTGGAGATTTCAGCCGCTTTGAGGTCAATGGTAGAAAAGGAAATATCTTCGTATAAAAAGTAGACAGAATGATTCTCAGAAACTCCTTTGTGATGTGTGCGTTCAACTCACAGAGTTTAACCTTTCTTTTCACAGAGCAGTTAGGAAACACTCTGTTTGTGAAGTCTGCCAGTGGATATTCGGACCTCTTTGAGGCCTTCGTTGGAAACGGGATTTCTTCATATTATGCTAGACAGATTTCTCAGTAACTACTTTGTGTTGTGTGTACGCAACTCAAAGAGTTCATCCTTCCCTTAGACAGAGCAGATTTGAAACACTCTTTTTGTGGAATTTGCAAGTGGAGATTTCAAGCGCTTCGACGCCAATGGTCGAAAAGGAAATATCTTCGTATAAAAACAAGACAAACTCGTTCCCAGACACTGCGTAGTGATGTGTGTGTTTAACTCACAGAGTTTAACCTTTCTTTTCATACAGCATTCTGGAAACCCTCTGTTTGTAAAGTCTGCAAGTGGATATTTGGACCTCTTAGATGCCTTCGTTGGAAACGGGATTTCTTCATATAATGCTAGAGGGAAGAATTCTTAGTAACTTCTTTGTGTTGTGTGTATTCAACTGACAGAGTTGAACCTTCCTTTAGACAGAGCAGATTTGAAAGTCTCTTTTTGTGGAATTTGCAAGTGGAGATTTCAAGCGCTTTGAGGGCAAAAGCAGAAAAGGAAATACTTTCCTATAAAAACTAGACAGAATCTTTCTCAGAAACTGCTCTGGGATGTGTGCGTTCAACTCACAGAGTTTAACTTTTCTTTTCATTCAGCAGTTTGGAAACACTCTGTTTGGAAAGTCTGCACGTGGATATTTTGACCTCTTTGAGGCCTTCGTTGGAAACGGGTTTTTTTCATGTAAGGCTAGACAGAAGAAATCTCAGTAACTTCCTTGTGTTGTGTGTATTCAACTGACAGAGTTGAACCTTCCTTTAGACAGAGCAGATTCGAAACACTCTTTTTCTGCAATTTGCAAGTGGAGACTTCAAGCGCTTTGAGGCCAAAGGCAGAAAAGGAAATATCTTCGTATAAAAACCCGACAGAATCATTCTCAGAAACTGCTCTGTGATGTGTGCGTTCAACTCACAGAGTTTAACTTTTCTTTTCATTCAGCAGTTTGGAAACACTCTGTTTGTAAAGTCTGCAAGTGGATATCTTGGCCTCTTAGAGGCCTTCGTTGGAAACGGGTTTTTTCATGTAAGGATAGACAGAGGAATTCCCAGTAACTTCCTTGTGTTGTGTGCATTCAACTCACAGAGTTGAATGATTCTTTACACAGAGCAGTTTTGAGACACTCTTTTGGTGGAATTTGTAAGTGGAGAATTCAGCCGCTTTGAGGTCAACGGTAGAAAAGGAAATATCTTCGTATAAAAACTAGACAGAATGATTCTCAGAAACTGTTTTGTGATGTGTGCGTTCAACTCACAGAGTTTAACCTTTCTTTTCAAAGAGCAGTTAGGAAACACTCTGTTTGTAAAGTCTGCAAGTGGATATTCAGACCTCTTTGAGGCCTTCGTTGGAAACGGGATTTCTTCATATTATGCTAGACAGATGAATTCTCAGTAACTTCCTTGTGTTGTGTGTATTCAACTCACAGAGTTGAACGATCCTTTACACAGAGCAGATTTGAAACACTGTTTTTCTGGAATTTGCAAGTGGAGATTTCAGCCGCTTTGAGGTCAATGGTAGAAAAGGAAATATCTTCGTATAAAAACTAGACAGAATGATTCTCAGAAACTCCTTTGTGATGTGTGCGTTCAACTCACAGAGTTTAACCTTTCTTTTCACAGAGCAGTTAGGAAACACTCTGTTTGTGAAGCCTGCCAGTGGATATTCGGACCTCTTTGAGGCCTTCGTTGGAAACGGGATTTCTTCATATTATGCTAGACAGAAGATTTCTCAGTAACTTCTTTGTGTTGTGTGTATGCAACTCACAGAGTTCAACCTTCCTTTAGACAGAGCAGATTTGAAACACTCTTTTTGTGGAATTTGCAAGTGGAGATTTCAAGCGCTTCGATGCCAATGGTAGAAAAGGAAATATCTTCGTATAAAAACAAGACAAACTCGTTCCCAGACACTGCGTAGTGATGTGTGTGTTTAACTCACAGAGTTTCACCTTCCTTTTCATACAGCATTCTGGAAACCCTCTGTTTGTAAAGTCTGCAAGTGGATATTTGGACCTCTTAGATGCCTTCGTTGGAAACGGGATTTCTTCATATAATGCTAGAGGGAAGAATTCTTAGTAACTTCTTTGTGTTGTGTGTATTCAACTGACAGAGTTGAACCTTCCTTTAGACAGAGCAGATTTGAAAGTCTCTTTTTGTGGAATTTGCAAGTGGAGATTTCAAGCGCTTTGAGGCCAAAAGCAGAAAAGGAAATATTTTCCTATAAAAACTAGACAGAATCATTCTCAGAAACTGCTCTGTGATGTGTGCGTTCAACTCACAGAGTTTAACTTTTCTTTTCATTCAGCAGTTTGGAAACACTCTGTTTGGAAAGTCTGCACGTGGATATTTTGACCTCTTTGAGGCCTTCGTTGGAAACGGGTTTTTTTCATGTAAGGCTAGACAGAAGAAATCTCAGTAACTTCCTTGTGTTGTGTGTATTCAACTGACAGAGTTGAACCTTCCTTTAGACAGAGCAGATTCGAAACACTCTTTTTCTGCAATTTGCAAGTGGAGACTTCAAGCGCTTTGAGGCCAAAGGCAGAAAAGGAAATATCTTCGTATAAAAACCCGACAGAATCATTCTCAGAAACTGCTCTGTGATGTGTGCGTTCAACTCACAGAGTTTAACTTTTCTTTTCATTCAGCAGTTTGGAAACACTCTGTTTGTAAAGTCTGCAAGTGGATATCTTGGCCTCTTAGAGGCCTTCGTTGGAAACGGGTTTTTTCATGTAAGGTTAGACAGAGGAATTCCCAGTAACTTCCTTGTGTTGTGTGCATTCAACTCACAGAGTTGAATGATTCTTTACACAGAGCAGATTTGAGACACTCTTTTGGTGGAATTTTTAAGTGGAGAATTCAGCCGCTTTGAGGTCAACGGTAGAAAAGGAAATATCTTCGTATAAAAACTAGACAGAATGATTCTCAGAAACTGTTTTGTGATGTGTGCGTTCAACTCACAGAGTTTAACCTTTCTTTTCAAAGAGCAGTTAGGAAACACTCTGTTTGTAAAGTCTGCAAGTGGATATTCAGACCTCTTTGAGGCCTTCGTTGGAAACGGGATTTCTTCATATTATGCTAGACAGAATGAATTCTCAGTAACTTCCTTGTGTTGTGTGTATTCAACTCACAGAGTTGAACGATCCTTTACACAGAGCAGATTTGAAACACTGTTTTTCTGGAATTTGCAAGTGGAGATTTCAGCCGCTTTGAGGTCAATGGTAGAAAAGGAAATATCTTCGTATAAAAACTGGACAGAATGATTCTCAGAAACTCCTTTGTGATGTGTGCGTTCAACTCACAGGGTTTAACCTTTCTTTTCACAGAGCAGTTAGGAAACACTCTGTTTGTGAAGCCTGCCAGTGGATATTCGGACCTCTTTGAGGCCTTCGTTGGAAACGGGATTTCTTCATATTATGCTAGACAGAAGATTTCTCAGTAACTTCTTTGTGTTGTGTGTATGCAACTCACAGAGTTCAACCTTCCTTTAGACAGAGCAGATTTGAAACACTCTTTTTGTGGAATTTGCAAGTGGAGATTTCAAGCGCTTCGATGCCAATGGTAGAAAAGGAAATATCTTCGTATAAAAACAAGACAAACTCGTTCCCAGACACTGCGTAGTGATATGTGTGTTTAACTCACAGAGTTTAACCTTTCTTTTCATACAGCATTCTGGAAACCCTGTGTTTGTAAAGTCTGCAAGTGGATATTTGGACCTCTTAGATGCCTTCGTTGGAAACGGGATTTCTTCATATAATGCTAGAGGGAAGAATTCTTAGTAACTTCTTTGTGTTGTGTGTATTCAACTGACAGAGTTGAACCTTCCTTTAGACAGAGCAGATTTGAAAGTCTCTTTTTGTGGAATTTGCAAGTGGAGATTTCAAGCGCTTTGAGGCCAAAAGCAGAAAAGGAAATATTTTCCTATAAAAACTCGACAGAATCTTTCTCAGAAACTGCTCTGGGATGTGTGCGTTCAACTCACAGAGTTTAACTTTTCTTTTCATTCAGCAGTTTGGAAACACTCTGTTTGGAAAGTCTGCACGTGGATATTTTGACCTCTTTGAGGCCTTCGTTGGAAACGGGTTTTTTTCATGTAAGGCTAGACAGAAGAAATCTCAGTAACTTCCTTGTGTTGTGTGTATTCAACTGACAGAGTTGAACCTTCCTTTAGACAGAGCAGATTCGAAACACTCTTTTTCTGCAATTTGCAAGTGGAGACTTCAAGCGCTTTGAGGCCAAAGGCAGAAAAGGAAATATCTTCGTATAAAAACCCGACAGAATCATTCTCAGAAACTGCTCTGTGATGTGTGCGTTCAACTCACAGAGTTTAACTTTTCTTTTCATTCAGCAGTTTGGAAACACTCTGTTTGTAAAGTCTGCAAGTGGATATCTTGGCCTCTTAGAGGCCTTCGTTGGAAACGGGTTTTTTCATGTAAGGATAGACAGAGGAATTCCCAGTAACTTCCTTGTGTTGTGTGCATTCAACTCACAGAGTTGAATGATTCTTTACACAGAGCAGATTTGAGACACTCTTTTGGTGGAATTTGTAAGTGGAGAATTCAGCCGCTTTGAGGTCAACGGTAGAAAAGGAAATATCTTCGTATAAAAACTAGACAGAATGATTCTCAGAAACTGTTTTGTGATGTGTGCGTTCAACTCACAGAGTTTAACCTTTCTTTTCAAAGAGCAGTTAGGAAACACTCTGTTTGTAAAGTCTGCAAGTGGATATTCAGACCTCTTTGAGGCCTTCGTTGGAAACGGGATTTCTTCATATTATGCTAGACAGATGAATTCTCAGTAACTTCCTTGTGTTGTGTGTATTCAACTCACAGAGTTGAACGATCCTTTACACAGAGCAGATTTGAAACACTGTTTTTCTGGAATTTGCAAGTGGAGATTTCAGCTGCTTTGAGGTCAATGGTAGAAAAGGAAATATCTTCGTATAAAAACTAGACAGAATGATTCTCAGAAACTCCTTTGTGATGTGTGCGTTCAACTCACAGAGTTTAACCTTTCTTTTCACAGAGCAGTTAGGAAACACTCTGTTTGTGAAGCCTGCCAGTGGATATTCGGACCTCTTTGAGGCCTTCGTTGGAAACGGGATTTCTTCATATTATGCTAGACAGAAGATTTCTCAGTAACTTCTTTGTGTTGTGTGTATGCAACTCACAGAGTTCAACCTTCCTTTAGACAGAGCAGATTTGAAACACTCTTTTTGTGGAATTTGCAAGTGGAGATTTCAAGCGCTTCGATGCCAATGGTAGAAAAGGAAATATCTTCGTTTAAAAACAAGACAAACTCGTTCCCAGACACTGCGTAGTGATGTGTGTGTTTAACTCACAGCAGTTTCACCTTTCTTTTCATACAGCATTCTGGAAACCCTCTGTTTGTAAAGTCTGCAAGTGGATATTTGGACCTCTTAGATGCCTTCGTTGGAAACGGGATTTCTTCATATAATGCTAGAGGGAAGAATTCTTAGTAACTTCTTTGTGTTGTGTGTATTCAACTGACAGAGTTGAACCTTCCTTTAGACAGAGCAGATTTGAAAGTCTCTTTTTGTGGAATTTGCAAGTGGAGATTTCAAGCGCTTTGAGGCCAAAAGCAGAAAAGGAAATATTTTCCTATAAAAACTAGACAGAATCTTTCTCAGAAACTGCTCTGGGATGTGTGCGTTCAACTCACAGAGTTTAACTTTTCTTTTCATTCAGCAGTTTGGAAACACTCTGTTTGGAAAGTCTGCACGTGGATATTTTGACCTCTTTGAGGCCTTCGTTGGAAACGGGTTTTTTTCATGTAAGGCTAGACAGAAGAAATCTCAGTAACTTCCTTGTGTTGTGCGTATTCAACTGACAGAGTTGAACCTTCCTTTAGACAGAGCAGATTCGAAACACTCTTTTTCTGCAATTTGCAAGTGGAGACTTCAAGCGCTTTGAGGCCAAAGGCAGAAAAGGAAATATCTTCGTATAAAAACCCGACAGAATCCTTCTCAGAAACTGCTCTGTGATGTGTGCGTTCAACTCACAGCAGTTTAACTTTTCTTTTCATTCAGCAGTTTGGAAACACTCTGTTTGTAAAGTCTGCAAGTGGATATCTTGGCCTCTTAGAGGCCTTCGTTGGAAACGGGTTTTTTCATGTAAGGATAGACAGAGGAATTCCCAGTAACTTCCTTGTGTTGTGTGCATTCAACTCACAGAGTTGAATGATTCTTTACACAGAGCAGATTTGAGACACTCTTTGGGTGGAATTTGTAAGTGGAGAATTCAGCCGCTTTGAGGTCAACGGTAGAAAAGGAAATATCTTCGTATAAAAACTAGACAGAATGATTCTCAGAAACTGTTTTGTGATGTGTGCGTTCAACTCACAGAGTTTAACCTTTCTTTTCAAAGAGCAGTTAGGAAACACTCTGTTTGTAAAGTCTGCAAGTGGATATTCAGACCTCTTTGAGGCCTTCGTTGGAAACGGGATTTCTTCATATTATGCTAGACAGATGAATTCTCAGTAACTTCCTTGTGTTGTGTGTATTCAACTCACAGAGTTGAACGATCCTTTACACAGAGCAGATTTGAAACACTGTTTTTCTGGAATTTGCAAGTGGAGATGTCAGCCGCTTTGAGGTCAATGGTAGAAAAGGAAATATCTTCGTATAAAAACTAGACAGAATGATTCTCAGAAACTCCTTTGTGATGTGTGCGTTCAACTCACAGAGTTTAACCTTTCTTTTCACAGAGCAGTTAGGAAACACTCTGTTTGTGAAGCCTGCCAGTGGATATTCGGACCTCTTTGAGGCCTTCGTTGGAAACGGGATTTCTTCATATTTTGCTAGACAGAAGATTTCTCAGTAACTTCTTTGTGTTGTGTGTATGCAACTCACAGAGTTCAACCTTCCTTTAGACAGAGCAGATTTGAAACACTCTTTTTGTGGAATTTGCAAGTGGAAATTTCAAGCGCATCGATGCCAATGGTAGAAAAGGAAATATCTTCGTATACAAACAAGACAAACTCGTTCCCAGACACTGCGTAGTGATGTGTGTGTTTAACTCACAGAGTTTAACCTTTCTTTTCATACAGCATTCTGGAAACCCTGTGTTTGTAAAGTCTGCAAGTGGATATTTGGACCTCTTAGATGCCTTCGTTGGAAACGGGATTTCTTCATATAATGCTAGAGGGAAGAATTCTTAGTAACTTCTTTGTGTTGTGTGTATTCAACTGACAGAGTTGAACCTTCCTTTAGACAGAGCAGATTTGAAAGTCTCTTTTTGTGGAATTTGCAAGTGGAGATTTCAAGCGCTTTGAGGCCAAAAGCAGAAAAGGAAATATTTTCCTATAAAAACTCGACAGAATCTTTCTCAGAAACTGCTCTGGGATGTGTGCGTTCAACTCACAGAGTTTAACTTTTCTTTTCATTCAGCAGTTTGGAAACACTCTGTTTGGAAAGTCTGCACGTGGATATTTTGACCTCTTTGAGGCCTTCGTTGGAAACGGGTTTTTTTCATGTAAGGCTAGACAGAAGAAATCTCAGTAACTTCCTTGTGTTGTGTGTATTCAACTGACAGAGTTGAACCTTCCTTTAGACAGAGCAGATTCGAAACACTCTTTTTCTGCAATTTGCAAGTGGAGACTTCAAGCGCTTTGAGGCCAAAGGCAGAAAAGGAAATATCTTCGTATAAAAACCCGACAGAATCATTCTCAGAAACTGCTCTGTGATGTGTGCGTTCAACTCACAGAGTTTAACTTTTCTTTTCATTCAGCAGTTTGGAAACACTCTGTTTGTAAAGTCTGCAAGTGGATATCTTGGCCTCTTAGAGGCCTTCGTTGGAAACGGGTTTTTTCATGTAAGGTTAGACAGAGGAATTCCCAGTAACTTCCTTGTGTTGTGTGCATTCAACTCACAGAGTTGAATGATTCTTTACACAGAGCAGTTTTGAGACACTCTTTTGGTGGAATTTGTAAGTGGAGAATTCAGCCGCTTTGAGGTCAACGGTAGAAAAGGAAATATCTTCGTATAAAAACTAGACAGAATGATTCTCAGAAACTGTTTTGTGATGTGTGCGTTCAACTCACAGAGTTTAACCTTTCTTTTCAAAGAGCAGTTAGGAAACACTCTGTAAAGTCTGCAAGTGGATATTCAGACCTCTTTGAGGCCTTCGTTGGAAACGGGATTTCTTCATATTATGCTAGACAGATGAATTCTCAGTAACTTCCTTGTGTTGTGTGTATTCAACTCACAGAGTTGAACGATCCTTTACACAGAGCAGATTTGAAACACTGTTTTTCTGGAATTTGCAAGTGGAGATTTCAGCCGCTTTGAGGTCAATGGTAGAAAAGGAAATATCTTCGTATAAAAACTAGACAGAATGATTCTCAGAAACTCCTTTGTGATGTGTGCGTTCAACTCACAGAGTTTAACCTTTCTTTTCACAGAGCAGTTAGGAAACACTCTGTTTGTGAAGCCTGCCAGTGGATAATCGGACCTCTTTGAGGCCTTCGTTGGAAACGGGATTTCTTCATATTATGCTAGACAGAAGATTTCTCAGTAACTTCTTTGTGTTGTGTGTATGCAACTCACAGAGTTCAACCTTCCTTTAGACAGAGCAGATTTGAAACACTCTTTTTGTGGAATTTGCAAGTGCAGATTTCAAGCGCTTCGATGCCAATGGTAGAAAAGGAAATATCTTCGTATAAAAACAAGACAAACTCGTTCCCAGACACTGCGTAGTGATGTGTGTGTTTAACTCACAGAGTTTAACCTTTCTTTTCATACAGCATTCTGGAAACCCTCTGTTTGTAAAGTCTGCAAGTGGATATTTGGACCTCTTGGATGCCTTCTTTGGAAACGGGATTTCTTCATATAATGCTAGAGGGAAGAATTCTTAGTAACTTCTTTGTGTTGTGTGTATTCAACTGACAGAGTTGAACCTTCCTTTAGACAGAGCAGATTTGAAAGTCTCTTTTTGTGGAATTTGCAAGTGGAGATTTCAAGCGCTTTGAGGCCAAAAGCAGAAAAGGAAATATTTTCCTATAAAAACTCGACAGAATCTTTCTCAGAAACTGCTCTGTGATGTGTGCGTTCAACTCACAGAGTTTAACTTTTCTTTTCATTCAGCAGTTTGGAAACACTCTGTTTGGAAAGTCTGCACGTGGATATTTTGACCTCTTTGAGGCCTTCGTTGGAAACGGGTTTTTTTTCATGTAAGGCTAGACAGAGAAATCTCAGTAACTTCCTTGTGTTGTGTGTATTCAACTGACAGAGTTGAACCTTCCTTTAGACAGAGCAGATTCGAAACACTCTTTTTCTGCAATTTGCAAGTGGAGACTTCAAGCGCTTTGAGGCCAAAGGCAGAAAAGGAAATATCTTCGTATAAAAACCCGACAGAATCATTCTCAGAAACTGCTCTGTGATGTGTGCGTTCAACTCACAGAGTTTAACTTTTCTTTTCATTCAGCAGTTTGGAAACACTCTGTTTGTAAAGTCTGCAAGTGGATATCTTGGCCTCTTAGAGGCCTTCGTTGGAAACGGGTTTTTTCATGTAAGGTTAGACAGAGGAATTCCCCACTAACTTCCTTGTGTTGTGTGCATTCAACTCACAGAGTTGAATGATTCTTTACACAGAGCAGATTTGAGACACTCTTTTGGTGGAATTTGTAAGTGGAGAATTCAGCCGCTTTGATGTCAACGGTAGAAAAGGAAATATCTTCGTATAAAAACTAGACAGAATGATTCTCAGAAACTGTTTTGTGATGTGTGCGTTCAACTCACAGAGTTTAACCTTTCTTTTCAAAGAGCAGTTAGGAAACACTCTGTTTGTAAAGTCTGCAAGTGGATATTCAGACCTCTTTGAGGCCTTCGTTGGAAACGGGATTTCTTCATATTATGCTAGACAGATGAATTCTCAGTAACTTCCTTGTGTTGTGTGTATTCAACTCACAGAGTTGAACGATCCTTTACACAGAGCAGATTTGAAACACTGTTTTTCTGGAATTTGCAAGTGGAGATTTCAGCTGATTTGAGGTCAATGGTAGAAAAGGAAATATCTTCGTATAAAAACTACACAGAATGATTCTCAGAAACTCCTTTGTGATGTGTGCGTTCAACTCACAGAGTTTAACCTTTCTTTTCACAGAGCAGTTAGGAAACACTCTGTTTGTGAAGCCTGCCAGTGGATATTCGGACCTCTTTGAGGCCTTCGTTGGAAACGGGATTTCTTCATATTATGCTAGACAGAAGATTTCTCAGTAACTTCTTTGTGTTGTGTGTATGCAACTCACAGAGTTCAACCTTCCTTTAGACAGAGCAGATTTGAAACACTCTTTTTGTGGAATTTGCAAGTGGAGATTTCAAGCGCTTCGATGCCAATGGTAGAAAAGGAAATATCTTCGTATAAAAACAAGACAAACTCGTTCCCAGACACTGCGTAGTGATGTGTGTGTTTAACTCACAGAGTTTAACCTTTCTTTTCATACAGCATTCTGGAAACCCTGTGTTTGTAAAGTCTGCAAGTGGATATTTGGACCTCTTAGATGCCTTCGTTGGAAACGGGATTTCTTCATATAATGCTAGAGGGAAGAATTCTTAGTAACTTCTTTGTGTTGTGTGTATTCAACTGACAGAGTTGAACCTTCCTTTAGACAGAGCAGATTTGAAAGTCTCTTTTTGTGGAATTTGCAAGTGGAGATTTCAAGCGCTTTGAGGCCAAAAGCAGAAAAGGAAATATTTTCCTATAAAAACTCGACAGAATCTTTCTCAGAAACTGCTCTGGGATGTGTGCGTTCAACTCACAGAGTTTAACTTTTCTTTTCATTCAGCAGTTTGGAAACACTCTGTTTGGAAAGTCTGCACGTGGATATTTTGACCTCTTTGAGGCCTTCGTTGGAAACGGGTTTTTTTCATGTAAGGCTAGACAGAAGAAATCTCAGTAACTTCCTTGTGTTGTGTGTATTCAACTGACAGAGTTGAACCTTCCTTTAGACAGAGCAGATTCGAAACACTCTTTTTCTGCAATTTGCAAGTGGAGACTTCAAGCGCTTTGAGGCCAAAGGCAGAAAAGGAAATATCTTCGTATAAAAACCCGACAGAATCATTCTCAGAAACTGCTCTGTGATGTGTGCGTTCAACTCACAGAGTTTAACTTTTCTTTTCATTCAGCAGTTTGGAAACACTCTGTTTGTAAAGTCTGCAAGTGGATATCTTGGCCTCTTAGAGGCCTTCGTTGGAAACGGGTTTTATCATGTAAGGTTAGACAGAGGAATTCCCACTAACTTCCTTGTGTTGTGTGCATTCAACTCACAGAGTTGAATGATTCTTTACACAGAGCAGATTTGAGACACTCTTTTGGTGGAATTTGTAAGTGGAGAATTCAGCCGCTTTGATGTCAACGGTAGAAAAGGAAATATCTTCGTATAAAAACTAGACAGAATGATTCTCAGAAACTGTTTTGTGATGTGTGCGTTCAACTCACAGAGTTTAACCTTTCTTTTCAAAGAGCAGTTAGGAAACACTCTGTTTGTAAAGTCTGCAAGTGGATATTCAGACCTCTTTGAGGCCTTCGTTGGAAACGGGATTTCTTCATATTATGCTAGACAGATGAATTCTCAGTAACTTCCTTGTGTTGTGTGTATTCAACTCACAGAGTTGAACGATCCTTTACACAGAGCAGATTTGAAACACTGTTTTTCTGGAATTTGCAAGTGGAGATTTCAGCCGCTTTGAGGTCAATGGTAGAAAAGGAAATATCTTCGTATAAAAACTAGACAGAATGATTCTCAGAAACTCCTTTGTGATGTGTGCGTTCAACTCACAGAGTTTAACCTTTCTTTTCACAGAGCAGTTAGGAAACACTCTGTTTGTGAAGCCTGCCAGTGGATATTCGGACCTCTTTGAGGCCTTCGTTGGAAACGGGATTTCTTCATATTATGCTAGACAGAAGATTTCTCAGTAACTTCTTTGTGTTGTGTGTATGCAACTCACAGAGTTCAACCTTCCTTTAGACAGAGCAGATTTGAAACACTCTTTTTGTGGAATTTGCAAGTGGAGATTTCAAGCGCTTCGATGCCAATGGTAGAAAAGGAAATATCTTCGTATAAAAACAAGACAAACTCGTTCCCAGACACTGCGTAGTGATGTGTGTGTTTAACTCACAGAGTTTAACCTTTCTTTTCATACAGCATTCTGGAAACCCTGTGTTTGTAAAGTCTGCAAGTGGATATTTGGACCTCTTAGATGCCTTCGTTGGAAACGGGATTTCTTCATATAATGCTAGAGGGAAGAATTCTTAGTAACTTCTTTGTGTTGTGTGTATTCAACTGACAGAGTTGAACCTTCCTTTAGACAGAGCAGATTTGAAAGTCTCTTTTTGTGGAATTTGCAAGTGGAGATTTCAAGCGCTTTGAGGCCAAAAGCAGAAAAGGAAATATTTTCCTATAAAAACTCGACAGAATCTTTCTCAGAAACTGCTCTGGGATGTGTGCGTTCAACTCACAGAGTTTAACTTTTCTTTTCATTCAGCAGTTTGGAAACACTCTGTTTGGAAAGTCTGCACGTGGATATTTTGACCTCTTTGAGGCCTTCGTTGGAAACGGGTTTTTTTCATGTAAGGCTAGACAGAAGAAATCTCAGTAACTTCCTTGTGTTGTGTGTATTCAACTGACAGAGTTGAACCTTCCTTTAGACAGAGCAGATTCGAAACACTCTTTTTCTGCAATTTGCAAGTGGAGACTTCAAGCGCTTTGAGGCCAAAGGCAGAAAAGGAAATATCTTCGTATAAAAACCCGACAGAATCATTCTCAGAAACTGCTCTGTGATGTGTGCGTTCAACTCACAGAGTTTAACTTTTCTTTTCATTCAGCAGTTTGGAAACACTCTGTTTGTAAAGTCTGCAAGTGGATATCTTGGCCTCTTAGAGGCCTTCGTTGGAAACGGGTTTTTTCATGTAAGGTTAGACAGAGGAATTCCCAGTAACTTCCTTGTGTTGTGTGCATTCAACTCACAGAGTTGAATGATTCTTTACACAGAGCAGATTTGAGACACTCTTTTGGTGGAATTTGTAAGTGGAGAATTCAGCCGCTTTGAGGTCAACGGTAGAAAAGGAAATATCTTCGTATAAAAACTAGACAGAATGATTCTCAGAAACTGTTTTGTGATGTGTGCGTTCAACTCACAGAGTTTAACCTTTCTTTTCAAAGAGCAGTTAGGAAACACTCTGTTTGTAAAGTCTGCAAGTGGATATTCAGACCTCTTTGAGGCCTTCGTTGGAAACGGGATTTCTTCATATTATGCTAGACAGATGAATTCTCAGTAACTTCCTTGTGTTGTGTGTATTCAACTCACAGAGTTGAACGATCCTTTACACAGAGCAGATTTGAAACACTGTTTTTCTGGAATTTGCAAGTGGAGATTTCAGCCGCTTTGAGGTCAATGGTAGAAAAGGAAATATCTTCGTATAAAAACTAGACAGAATGATTCTCAGAAAATGTTTTGTGATGTGTGCGTTCAACTCACAGAGTTTAACCTTTCTTTTCATAGAGCAGTTAGGAAACACTCTGTTTGGGAACTCTGCCAGTGGATATTCGGACCTCTTTGAGGCCTTCGTTGGAAACGGGATTTCTTCATATTATGCTTGACAAAAGATTTCTCAGTAACTACTTTGTGTTGTGTGTATGCAACTCACAGAGTTCAACCTTCCTTTAGACAGAGCAGATTTGAAACACTCTTTTTTTGGAATTTGCTAGTGGAGATTTCAAGCGCTTCGATGCCAATGGTAGAAAAGGATACTTCTTCGTATAAAAACAAGACAAAATCATTCCCAGAATCTGCGTAGTGATGTGTGTGTTTAACTCAAAGAGTTTAACCTTTCTTTTCATACAGCATTCTGGGAACACTCTGTTTGTAAAGTCTGCAAGTGGATATTTGGACCGCTTAGATGTCTTCATTGGAAACGGGATTTCTTCATATAATGTTAGAGGGAAGAATTCTTAGTAACTTCTTTGTGGTGTGTGTATTCAACTCACAGAGTTGAACCATCCTTTACACAGAGCAGATCTGAAACACTCTTTTTGTGGAATTTGCAAGTGGAGATTTCAGCCACCTTGAGGTCAATGTTAGAAAAGGAAATATCTTCGTATAAAAACTAGACAGAATGATTCTCAGAAAGTGTTTTGTGACGTGTGCGTTCAACTCACAGAGTTTAACCTTTCTTTTCATAGAGCAGTCAGGAAACACTCTGTTTGTGAAGCCTACCAGT
This sequence comes from Homo sapiens, assembly GCF_000001405.40. NCBI lineage: Eukaryota > Metazoa > Chordata > Mammalia > Primates > Hominidae > Homo > Homo sapiens. Next base: position 37,726,187 of record NC_000016.10, read on the forward strand.
GGATGTTCGGACCTCTTTGAGGCCTTCGTTGGAAACGGGATTTCTTTATATTATGCTAGACAGAAGATTTCTCAGTAACTACTTTGTGTTGTGTGTATGCAACTCACAGAGTTCAACCTTCCTTTAGACAGAGCAGATTTGAAACACTCTTTTTGTGGAATTTGCAAGTGGAGATTTCAAACGCTTCGATGCCAATGGTAGAAAAGGAAATATCTTCGTACAAAAACAAGACAAACTCGTTCCCAGACACTGCGTAGTGATGTGTGTGTTTAACTCACAGAGTTTAACCTTTCTTTTCATACAGCATTCTGGAAACCCTCTGTTTGTAAACTCTGCAAGTGGATATTTGGACCTCTTAAATGCCTTCGTTGGAAACGGGATTTCTTCATATAATGCTAGAGGGAAGAATTCTTAGTAACTTCTTTGTGTTGTGTGTATTCAACTGACAGAGTTGAACTTTCCTTTAGACAGAGCAGATTTGAAACTCTCTTTTTGTGGAATTTGCAAGTGGAGATTTCAAGCGCTTTGAGGCCAAAAACAGAAAAGGAAATATTTTCCTATAAAAACTAGACAGAATCTTTCTCAGAAACTGCTCTGGGATGTGTGCGTTCAACTCACAGAGTTTAACTTTTCTTTTCATTCAGCAGTTTGGAAACACTCTGTTTGGAAAGTCTGCACGTGGATATTTTGACCTCTTTGAGGCCTTCGTTGGAAACGGGTTTTTTTCATGTAAGGCTAGACAGAAGAAATCTCAGTAAATTCCCTTGTGTTGTGTGTATTCAACTGACAGAGTTGAACCTTCCTTTAGACAGAGCAGATTCGAAACACTCTTTTTCTGCAATTTGCAAGTGGAGACTTCAAGCGCTTTGAGGCCAAAGGCAGAAAAGGAAATATCTTCGTATAAAAACCCGACAGAATCATTCTCAGAAACTGCTCTGTGATGTGTGCGTTCAACTCACAGAGTTTAACTTTTCTTTTCATTCAGCAGTTTGGAAACACTCTGTTTGTAAAGTCTGCAAGTGGATATCTTGGCCTCTTAGAGGCCTTCGTTGGAAACGGGTTTTTTCATGTAAGGTTAGACAGAGGAATTCCCAGTAACTTCCTTGTGTTGTGTGCATTCAACTCACAGAGTTGAATGATTCTTTACACAGAGCAGTTTTGAGACACTCTTTTGGTGGAATTTGTAAGTGGAGAATTCAGCCGCTTTGAGGTCAACGGTAGAAAAGGAAATATCTTCGTATAAAAACTAGACAGAATGATTCTCAGAAACTGTTTTGTGATGTGTGCGTTCAACTCACAGAGTTTAACCTTTCTTTTCAAAGAGCAGTTAGGAAACACTCTGTTTGTAAAGTCTGCAAGTGGATATTCAGACCTCTTTGAGGCCTTCGTTGGAAACGGGATTTCTTCATATTATGCTAGACAGATGAATTCTCAGTAACTTCCTTGTGTTGTGTGTATTCAACTCACAGAGTTGAACGATCCTTTACACAGAGCAGATTTGAAACACTGTTTTTCTGGAATTTGCAAGTGGAGATTTCAGCCGCTTTGAGGTCAATGGTAGAAAAGGAAATATCTTCGTATAAAAACTAGACAGAATGATTCTCAGAAACTCCTTTGTGATGTGTGCGTTCAACTCACAGAGTTTAACCTTTCTTTTCACAGAGCAGTTAGGAAACACTCTGTTTGTGAAGCCTGCCAGTGGATATTCGGACCTCTTTGAGGCCTTCGTTGGAAACGGGATTTCTTCATATTATGCTAGACAGAAGATTTCTCAGTAACTTCTTTGTGTTGTGTGTATGCAACTCACAGAGTTCAACCTTCCTTTAGACAGAGCAGATTTGAAACACTCTTTTTGTGGAATTTGCAAGTGGAGATTTCAAGCGCTTCGATGCCAATGGTAGAAAAGGAAATATCTTCGTATAAAAACAAGACAAACTCGTTCCCAGACACTGCGTAGTGATGTGTGTGTTTAACTCACAGAGTTTCACCTTTCTTTTCATACAGCATTCTGGAAACCCTCTGTTTGTAAAGTCTGCAAGTGGATATTTGGACCTCTTAGATGCCTTCGTTGGAAACGGGATTTCTTCATATAATGCTAGAGGGAAGAATTCTTAGTAACTTCTTTGTGTTGTGTGTATTCAACTGACAGAGTTGAACCTTCCTTTAGACAGAGCAGATTTGAAAGTCTCTTTTTGTGGAATTTGCAAGTGGAGATTTCAAGCGCTTTGAGGCCAAAAGCAGAAAAGGAAATATTTTCCTATAAAAACTAGACAGAATCTTTCTCAGAAACTGCTCTGGGATGTGTGCGTTCAACTCACAGAGTTTAACTTTTCTTTTCATTCAGCAGTTTGGAAACACTCTGTTTGGAAAGTCTGCACAGTGGATATTTTGACCTCTTTGAGGCCTTCGTTGGAAACGGGTTTTTTTCATGTAAGGCTAGACAGAAGAAATCTCAGTAACTTCCTTGTGTTGTGTGTATTCAACTGACAGAGTTGAACCTTCCTTTAGACAGAGCAGATTCGAAACACTCTTTTTCTGCAATTTGCAAGTGGAGACTTCAAGCGCTTTGAGGCCAAAGGCAGAAAAGGAAATATCTTCGTATAAAAACCCGACAGAATCATTCTCAGAAACTGCTCTGTGATGTGTGCGTTCAACTCACAGAGTTTAACTTTTCTTTTCATTCAGCAGTTTGGAAACACTCTGTTTGTAAAGTCTGCAAGTGGATATCTTGGCCTCTTAGAGGCCTTCGTTGGAAACGGGTTTTTTCATGTAAGGATAGACAGAGGAATTCCCAGTAACTTCCTTGTGTTGTGTGCATTCAACTCACAGAGTTGAATGATTCTTTACACAGAGCAGATTTGAGACACTCTTTTGGTGGAATTTGTAAGTGGAGAATTCAGCCGCTTTGAGGTCAACGGTAGAAAAGGAAATATCTTCGTATAAAAACTAGGCAGAATGATTCTCAGAAACTGTTTTGTGATGTGTGCGTTCAACTCACAGAGTTTAACCTTTCTTTTCAAAGAGCAGTTAGGAAACACTCTGTTTGTAAAGTCTGCAAGTGGATATTCAGACCTCTTTGAGGCCTTCGTTGGAAACGGGATTTCTTCATATTATGCTAGACAGAAGAATTCTCAGTAACTTCCTTGTGTTGCGTGTATTCAACTCACAGAGTTGAACGATCCTTTACACAGAGCAGATTTGAAACCCTCTTTTTCTGGAATTTGCAAGTGGAGATTTCAGCCGCTTTGAGTTCAATGGTAGAAAAGGAAATATCTTAGTATAAAAACTAGATAGAATGATTCTCAGAAACTCCTTTGTGATGTGTGCGTTCAACTCACAGAGTTTAACCTTTCTTTTCATAGAGCAGTTAGGAAACACTCTGTTTGTGAAGTCTGCCAGTGGATATTCGGACCTCTTTGAGTCCTTCTTTGGAAACGGGATTTCTTCATATTATGCTAGACAGAAGATTTCTCAGTAACTACTTTGTGTTGTGTATATGCAACTCACAGAGTTCAACCATCCTTTAGACAGAGCTGATTTGAAACACTCTTTTTGTGGAATTTGCAAGTGAAGATTTCAAGCGCTTCGATGCCAATGGTAGAAAAGGAAATATCTGAGTATCAAAACAAGACAAAATCATTCCCAGAAACTGCGTAGTGATGTGTGTGTTTAACTCACGGAGTTTAACCTTTCTTTTCATACAGCATTCTGGAAACACTCTGTTTGTAAAGTCTACAAGTGGATATTTGGAGCTCTTAGATGCCTTCATTGGAAACGGAATTTCTTAATATAATTCTAGAGGGAAGAATTCTTAGTAACTTCTTTGTGTTGTGTGTATTCAACTGACAGGGTTGAACCTTCCTTTAGACAGAGCAGATTTGAAAGTCTCTTTTTGTGGAATTTGCAAGTGGAGATTTCAAGCGCTTTGAGGCCAAAAGCAGAAAAGGAAATATTTTCCTATAAAAACTAGACAGAATCTTTCTCAGAAACTGCTCTGGGATGTGTGCGTTCAACTCACAGAGTTTAACTTTTCTTTTCATTCAGCAGTTTGGAAACACTCTGTTTGGAAAGTCTGCACGTGGATATTTTGACCTCTTTGAGGCCTTCGTTGGAAACGGGTTTTTTTCATGTAACGCTAGACAGAAGAAATCTCAGTAACTTCCTTGTGTTATGTGTATTCAACTGACAGAGTTGAACCTTCCTTTAGACAGAGCAGATTCGAAGCACTCTTTTTCTGCAATTTGCAAGTGGAGACTTCAAGCGCTTTGAGGCCAAAGGCAGAAAAGGAAATATCTTCGTATAAAAACCCGACAGAATCATTCTCAGAAACTGCTCTGTGATGTGTGCGTTCAACTCACAGAGTTTAACTTTTCTTTTCATTCAGCAGTTTGGAAACACTCTGTTTGTAAAGTCTGCAAGTGGATATCTTGGCCTCTTAGAGGCCTTCGTTGGAAACGGGTTTTTTCATGTAAGGATAGACAGAGGAATTCCCAGTAACTTCCTTGTGTTGCGTGCATTCAACTCACAGAGTTGAACGATTCTTTACACAGAGCAGATTTGAGACACTCTTTTGGTGGAATTTGTAAGTGGAGAATTCAGCCGCTTTGAGGTCAACGGTAGAAAAGGAAATATCTTCGTATAAAAACTAGACAGAATGATTCTCAGAAACTGTTTTGTGATGTGTGCGTTCAACTCACAGAGTTTAACCTTTCTTTTCAAAGAGCAGTTAGGAAACACTCTGTTTGTAAAGTCTGCAAGTGGATATTCAGACCTCTTTGAGGCCTTCGTTGGAAACGGGATTTCTTCATATTATGCTAGACAGATGAATTCTCAGTAACTTCCTTGTGTTGTGTGTATTCAACTCACAGAGTTGAACGATCCTTTACACAGAGCAGATTTGAAACACTGTTTTTCTGGAATTTGCAAGTGGAGATTTCAGCCGCTTTGAGGTCAATGGTAGAAAAAGAAATATCTTCGTATAAAAACTAGACAGAATGATTCTCAGAAACTCCTTTGTGATGTGTGCATTCAACTCACAGAGTTTAACCTTTCTTTTCACAGAGCAGTTAGGAAACACTCTGTTTGTGAAGCCTGCCAGTGGATATTCGGACCTCTTTGAGGCCTTCGTTGGAAACGGGATTTCTTCATATTATGCTAGACAGAAGATTTCTCAGTAACTTCTTTGTGTTGTGTGTATGCAACTCACAGAGTTCAACCTTCCTTTAGACAGAGCAGATTTGAAACACTCTTTTTGTGGAATTTGCAAGTGGAGATTTCAAGCGCTTCGATGCCAATGGTAGAAAAGGAAATATCTTCGTATAAAAACAAGACAAACTCGTTCCCAGACACTGCGTAGTGATGTGTGTGTTTAACTCACAGAGTTTAACTTTTCTTTTCATACAGCATTCTGGAAACCCTGTGTTTGTAAAGTCTGCAAGTGGATATTTGGACCTCTTAGATGCCTTCGTTGGAAACGGGATTTCTTCATATAATGCTAGAGGGAAGAATTCTTAGTAACTTCTTTGTGTTGTGTGTATTCAACTGACAGAGTTGAACCTTCCTTTAGACAGAGCAGATTTGAAAGTCTCTTTTTGTGGAATTTGCAAGTGGAGATTTCAAGCGCTTTGAGGCCAAAAGCAGAAAAGGAAATATTTTCCTATAAAAACTCGACAGAATCTTTCTCAGAAACTGCTCTGGGATGTGTGCGTTCAACTCACAGAGTTTAACTTTTCTTTTCATTCAGCAGTTTGGAAACACTCTGTTTGGAAAGTCTGCACGTGGATATTTTGACCTCTTTGAGGCCTTCGTTGGAAACGGGTTTTTTTCATGTAAGGCTAGACAGAAGAAATCTCAGTAACTTCCTTGTGTTGTGTGTATTCAACTGACAGAGTTGAACCTTCTTTTAGAGAGAGCAGATTCGAAACACTCTTTTTCTGCAATTTGCAAGTGGAGACTTCAAGCGCTTTGAGGCCAAAGGCAGAAAAGGAAATATCTTCGTATAAAAACCCGACAGAATCATTCTCAGAAACTGCTCTGTGATGTGTGCGTTCAACTCACAGAGTTTAACTTTTCTTTTCATTCAGCAGTTTGGAAACACTCTGTTTGTAAAGTCTGCAAGTGGATATCTTGGCCTCTTAGAGGCCTTCGTTGGAAACGGGTTTTTTCATGTAAGGTTAGACAGAGGAATTCCCAGTAACTTCCTTGTGTTGTGTGCATTCAACTCACAGAGTTGAACGATTCTTTACACAGAGCAGATTTGAGACACTCTTTTGGTGGAATTTGTAAGTGGAGAATTCAGCCGCTTTGAGGTCAACGGTAGAAAAGGAAATATCTTCGTATAAAAACTAGACAGAATGATTCTCAGAAACTGTTTTGTGATGTGTGCGTTCAACTCACAGAGTTTAACCTTTCTTTTCAAAGAGCAGTTAGGAAACACTCTGTTTGTAAAGTCTGCAAGTGGATATTCAGACCTACTTTGAGGCCTTCGTTGGAAACGGGATTTCTTCATATTATGCTAGACAGATGAATTCTCAGTAACTTCCTTGTGTTGTGTGTATTCAACTCACAGAGTTGAACGATCCTTTACACAGAGCAGATTTGAAACACTGTTTTTCTGGAATTTGCAAGTGGAGATTTCAGCCGCTTTGAGGTCAATGGTAGAAAAAGGAATATCTTCGTATAAAAACTAGACAGAATGATTCTCAGAAACTCCTTTGTGATGTGTGCGTTCAACTCACAGAGTTTAACCTTTCTTTTCACAGAGCAGTTAGGAAACACTCTGTTTGTGAAGCCTGCCAGTGGATATTCGGACCTCTTTGAGGCCTTCGTTGGAAACGGGATTTCTTCATATTATGCTAGACAGAAGATTTCTCAGTAACTTCTTTGTGTTGTGTGTATGCAACCTACAGAGTTCAACCTTCCTTTAGACAGAGCAGATTTGAAACACTCTTTTTGTGGAATTTGCAAGTGGAGATTTCAAGCGCTTCGATGCCAATGGTAGAAAAGGAAATATCTTCGTAGAAAAACAAGACAAACTCGTTCCCAGACACTGCGTAGTGATGTGTGTGTTTAACTCACAGAGTTTCACCTTTCTTTTCATACAGCATTCTGGAAACCCTCTGTTTGTAAAGTCTGCAAGTGGATATTTGGACCTCTTAGATGCCTTCGTTGGAAACGGGATTTCTTCATATAATGCTAGAGGGAAGAATTCTTAGTAACTTCTTTGTGTTGTGTGTATTCAACTGACAGAGTTGAACCTTCCTTTAGACAGAGCAGATTTGAAAGTCTCTTTTTGTGGAATTTGCAAGTGGAGATTTCAAGCGCTTTGAGGCCAAAAGCAGAAAAGGAAATATTTTCCTATAAAAACTAGACAGAATCTTTCTCAGAAACTGCTCTGGGATGTGTGCGTTCAACTCACAGAGTTTAACTTTTCTTTCCATTCAGCAGTTTGGAAACACTCTGTTTGGAAAGTCTGCACGTGGATATTTTGACCTCTTTGAGGCCTTCGTTGGAAACGGGTTTTTTTCATGTAAGGCTAGACAGAAGAAATCTCAGTAACTTCCTTGTGTTGTGTGTATTCAACTGACAGAGTTGAACCTTCCTTTAGACAGAGCAGATTCGAAACACTCTTTTTCTGCAATTTGCAAGTGGAGACTTCAAGCGCTTTGAGGCCAAAGGCAGAAAAGGAAATATCTTCGTATAAAAACCCGACAGAATCATTCTCAGAAACTGCTCTGTGATGTGTGCGTTCAACTCACAGAGTTTAACTTTTCTTTTCATTCAGCAGTTTGGAAACACTCTGTAAAGTCTGCAAGTGGATATCTTGGCCTCTTAGAGGCCTTCGTTGGAAGCGGGTTTTTTCATGTAAGGTTAGACAGAGGAATTCCCAGTAACTTCCTTGTGTTGTGTGCATTCAACTCACAGAGTTGAATGATTCTTTACACAGAGCAGATTTGAGACACTCTTTTGGTGGAATTTGTAAGTGGAGAATTCAGCCGCTTTGAGGTCAACGGTAGAAAAGGAAATATCTTCGTATAAAAACTAGACAGAATGATTCTCAGAAACTGTTTTGTGATGTGTGCGTTCAACACACAGAGTTTAACCTTTCTTTTCAAAGAGCAGTTAGGAAACACTCTGTTTGTAAAGTCTGCAAGTGGATATTCAGACCTCTTTGAGGCCTTCGTTGGAAACGGGATTTCTTCATATTATGCTAGACAGATGAATTCTCAGTAACTTCCTTGTGTTGTGTGTATTCAACTCACAGAGTTGAACGATCCTTTACACAGAGCAGATTTGAAACACTGTTTTTCTGGAATTTGCAAGTGGAGATTTCAGCCGCTTTGAGGTCAATGGTAGAAAAGGAAATATCTTCGTATAAAAACTAGACAGAATGATTCTCAGAAACTCCTTTGTGATGTGTGCGTTCAACTCACAGAGTTTAACCTTTCTTTTCACAGAGCAGTTAGGAAACACTCTGTTTGTGAAGCCTGCCAGTGGATATTCGGACCTCTTTGAGGCCTTCGTTGGAAACGGGATTTCTTCATATTATACTAGACAGAAGATTTCTCAGTAACTTCTTTGTGTTGTGTGTATGCAACTCACAGAGTTCAACCTTCCTTTAGACAGAGCAGATTTGAAACACTCTTTTTGTGGAATTTGCAAGTGGAGATTTCAAGCGCTTTGAGGCCAAAAGCAGAAAAGGAAATATTTTCCTATAAAAACTAGACAGAATCTTTCTCAGAAACTGCTCTGTGATGTGTGCGTTCAACTCACAGAGTTTAACTTTTCTTTTCATTCAGCAGTTTGGAAACACTCTGTTTGTAAAGTCTCCAAGTGGATATCTTGGCCTCTTAGAGGCCTTCGTTGGAAACGGGTTTTTTCATGTAAGGATAGACAGAGGAATTCCCAGTAACTTCCCTTGTGTTGTGTGCATTCAACTCACAGAGTTGAATGATTCTTTACACAGAGCAGATTTGAGACACTCTTTTGGTGGAATTTGTAAGTGGAGAATTCAGCCGCTTTGAGGTCAACGGTAGAAAAGGAAATATCTTCGTATAAAAACTAGACAGAATGATTCTCAGAAACTGTTTTGTGATGTGTGCGTTCAACTCACAGAGTTTAACCTTTCTTTTCAAAGAGCAGTTAGGAAACACTCTGTTTGTAAAGTCTGCAAGTGGATATTCAGACCTCTTTGAGGCCTTCGTTGGAAACTGGATTTCTTCATATTATGCTAGACAGATGAATTCTCAGTAACTTCCTTGTGTTGTGTGTATTCAACTCACAGAGTTGAACGATCCTTTACACAGAGCAGATTTGAAACACTGTTTTTCTGGAATTTGCAAGTGGAGATTTCAGCCGCTTTGAGGTCAATGGTAGAAAAGGAAATATCTTCGTATAAAAACTAGACAGAATGATTCTCAGAAACTCCTTTGTGATGTGTGCGTTCAACTCACAGAGTTTAACCTTTCTTTTCACAGAGCAGTTAGGAAACACTCTGTTTGTGAAGCCTGCCAGTGGATATTCGGACCTCTTTGAGGCCTTCGTTGGAAACGGGATTTCTTCATATTATGCTAGACAAAAGATTTCTCAGTAACTTCTTTGTGTTGTGTATATGCAACTCACAGAGTTCAACCTTCCTTTAGACAGAGCAGATTTGAAACACTCTTTTTGTGGAATTTGCAAGTGGAGATTTCAAGCGCTTCGATGCCAATGGTAGAAAAGGAAATATCTTCGGATAAAAACAAGACAAACTCGTTCCCAGACACTGCGTAGTGATGTGTGTGTTTAACTCACAGAGTTTCACCTTTCTTTTCATACAGCATTCTGGAAACCCTCTGTTTGTAAAGTCTGCAAGTGGATATTTGGACCTCTTAGATGCCTTCGTTGGAAACGGGATTTCTTCATATAATGCTAGAGGGAAGAATTCTTAGTAACTTCCTTTGTGTTGTGTGTATTCAACTGACAGAGTTGAACCTTCCTTTAGACAGAGCAGATTTGAAAGTCTCTTTTTGTGGAATTTGCAAGTGGAGATTTCAAGCGCTTTGAGGCCAAAAGCAGAAAAGGAAATATTTTCCTATAAAAACTCGACAGAATCATTCTCAGAAACTGCTCTGTGATGTGTGTGTTCAACTCACAGAGTTTAACTTTCTTTTCATTCAGCAGTTTGGAAACACTCTGTTTGGAAAGTCTGCACGTGGATATTTTGACCTCTTTGAGGCCTTCGTTGGAAACGGGTTTTTTTCATGTAAGGCTAGACAGAAGAAATCTCAGTAACTTCCTTGTGTTGTGTGTATTCAACTGACAGAGTTGAACCTTCCTTTAGACAGAGCAGATTCGAAACACTCTTTTTCTGCAATTTGCAAGAGGAGACTTCAAGCGCTTTGAGGCCAAAGGCAGAAAAGGAAATATCTTCGTATAAAAACCCGACAGAATCATTCTCAGAAACTGCTCTGTGATGTGTGCGTTCAACTCACAGAGTTTAACTTTTCTTTTCATTCAGCAGTTTGGAAACACTCTGTTTGTAAAGTCTGCAAGTGGATATCTTGGCCTCTTAGAGGCCTTCGTTGGAAACGGGTTTTTTCATGTAAGGTTAGACAGAGGAATTCCCAGTAACTTCCTTGTGTTGTGTGCATTCAACTCACAGAGTTGAATGATTCTTTACACAGACCTGATTTGAGACACACTTTTGGTGGAATTTGTAAGTGGAGAATTCAGCCGCTTTGAGGTCAACGGTAGAAAAGGAAATATCTTCGTATAAAAACTGGAAAGAATGATTCTCAGAAACTGTTTTGTGATGTGTGCATTCAACTCAAAGAGTTTAACCTTTGTTTTCAAAGAGCAGTTAGGAAACACTCTGTTTGTAAAGTCTGCAAGTGGATATTCAGACCTCTTTGAAGCCTTCGTTGGAAACGGGATTTCATCATATTATGCTAGACAGATGAATTCTCAGTAACTTCCTTGTGCTGTGTGTATTCAACTCACAGAGTTTAACGATCCTTTACACAGAGCAGATTTGAAACACTGTTTTTCTGGAATTTGCAAGTGGAGATTTCAGCCGCTTTGAGGTCAATGGTAGAAAAGGAAATATCTTCGTATAAAAACTGGACAGAATGATTCTCAGAAACTCCTTTGTGATGTGTGCGTTCAACTCACAGAGTTTAACCTTTCTTTTCACAGAGCAGTTAGGAAACACTCTGTTTGTGAAGCCTGCCAGTGGATATTCGGACCTCTTTGAGGCCTTCGTTGGAAACGGGATTTCTTCATATTTTGCTAGACAGAAGATTTCTCAGTAACTTCTTTGTGTTGTGTGTATGCTACTCACAGAGTTCAACCTTCCTTTAGACAGAGCAGATTTGAAACACTCTTTTTGTGGAATTTGCAAGTGGAAATTTCAAGCGCATCGATGCCAATGGTAGAAAAGGAAATATCTTCGTATAAAAACAAGACAAACTCGTTCCCAGACACTGCGTAGTGATGTGTGTGTTTAACTCACAGAGTTTAACCTTTCTTTTCATACAGCATTCTGGAAACCCTCTGTTTGTAAAGTCTGCAAGTGGATATTTGGACCTCTTAGATGCCTTCGTTGGAAACGGGATTTCCTCATATAATGCTAGAGGGAAGAATTCTTAGTAACTTCTTTGTGTTGTGTGTATTCAACTGACAGAGTTGAACCTTCCTTTAGACAGAGCAGATTTGAAAGTCTCTTTTTGTGGAATTTGCAAGTGGAGATTTCAAGCGCTTTGAGGCCAAAAGCAGAAAAGGAAATATTTTCCTATAAAAACTAGACAGAATCTTTCTCAGAAACTGCTCTGGGATGTGTGCGTTCAACTCACAGAGTTTAACTTTTCTTTTCATTCAGCAGTTTGGAAACACTCTGTTTGGAAAGTCTGCAAGTGGATATCTTGGCCTCTTAGAGGCCTTCGTTGGAAACGGGTTTCTTCATTTAAGGTTAGACAGAGGAATTCCCAGTAACTTCCTTGTGTTGTGTGCATTCAACTCACAGAGTTGAATGATTCTTTACACAGAGCAGATTTGAGACACTCTTTGGGTGGAATTTGTAAGTGGAGAATTCAGCCGCTTTGAGGTCAACGGTAGAAAAGGAAATATCTTCGTATAAAAACTAGACAGAATGATTCTCAGAAACTGTTTTGTGATGTGTGCGTTCAACTCACAGAGTTTAACCTTTCTTTTCAAAGAGCAGTTAGGAAACACTCTGTAAAGTCTGCAAGTGGATATTCAGACCTCTTTGAGGCCTTCGTTGGAAACGGGATTTCTTCATATAATGCTAGAGGGATGAATTCTCAGTAACTTCCTTGTGTTGTGTGTATTCAACTCACAGAGTTGAACGATCCTTTACACAGAGCAGATTTGAAACACTGTTTTTCTGGAATTTGCAAGTGGAGATTTCAGCCGCTTTGAGGTCAATGGTAGAAAAGGAAATATCTTCGTATAAAAACTAGACAGAATGATTCTCAGAAACTCCTTTGTGATGTGTGCGTTCAACTCACAGAGTTTAACCTTTCTTTTCACAGAGCAGTTAGGAAACACTCTGTTTGTGAAGCCTGCCAGTGGATATTCGGACCTCTTTCAGGCCTTCGTTGGAAACGGGATTTCTTCATATTATGCTAGACAGAAGATTTCTCAGTAACTTCTTTGTGTTGTGTGTATGCAACTCACAGAGTTCAACCTTCCTTTAGACAGAGCAGATTTGAAACACTCTTTTTGTGGAATTTGCAAGTGGAGATTTCAAGCGCTTCGATGCCAATGGTAGAAAAGGAAATATCTTCGTATAAAAACAAGACAAACTCGTTCCCAGACACTGCGTAGTGATGTGTGTGTTTAACTCACAGAGTTTCACCTTTCTTTTCATACAGCATTCTGGAAACCCTCTGTTTGTAAAGTCTGCAAGTCGATATTTGGACCTCTTAGATGCCTTCGTTGGAAACGGGATTTCTTCATATAATGCTAGAGGGAAGAATTCTTAGTAACTTCTTTGTGTTGTGTGTATTCAACTGACAGAGTTGAACCTTCCTTTAGACAGAGCAGATTTGAAAGTCTCTTTTTGTGGAATTTGCAAGTGGAGATTTCAAGCGCTTTGAGGCCAAAAGCAGAAAAGGAAATATTTTCCTATAAAACCTCGACAGAATCATTCTCAGAAACTGCTCTGTGATGTGTGCAGTTCAACTCACAGAGTTTAACTTTTCTTTTCATTCAGCAGTTTGGAAACACTGTTTGGAAAGTCTGCACGTGGATATTTTGACCTCTTTGAGGCCTTCGTTGGAAACGGGTTTTTTTCATGTAAGGCTAGACAGAAGAAATCTCAGTAACTTCCTTGTGTTGTGTGTATTCAACTGACAGAGTTGAACCTTCCTTTAGACAGAGCAGATTCGAAACACTCTTTTTCTGCAATTTGCAAGTGGAGACTTCAAGCGCTTTGAGGCCAAAGGCAGAAAAGGAAATATCTTCGTATAAAAACCCGACAGAATCATTCTCAGAAACTGCTCTGTGATGTGTGCGTTCAACTCACAGAGTTTAACTTTTCTTTTCATTCAGCAGTTTGGAAACACTCTGTTTGTAAAGTCTGCAAGTGGATATCTTGGCCTCTTAGAGGCCTTTGTTGGAAACGGGTTTTTTCATGTAAGGATAGACAGAGGAATTCCCAGTAACTTCCTTGTGTTGTGTGCATTCAACTCACAGAGTTGAATGATTCTTTACACAGAGCAGATTTGAGACACTCTTTTGGTGGAATTTGTAAGTGGAGAATTCAGCCGCTTTGAGGTCAACGGTAGAAAAGGAAATATCTTCGTATAAAAACTAGACAGAATGATTCTCAGAAACTGTTTTGTGATGTGTGCGTTCAACTCACAGAGTTTAACCTTTCTTTTCAAAGAGCAGTTAGGAAACACTCTGTTTGTAAAGTCTGCAAGTGGATATTCAGACCTCTTTGAGGCCTTCGTTGGAAACGGGATTTCTTCATATTATGGTAGACAGATGAATTCTCAGTAACTTCCTTGTGTTGTGTGTATTCAACTCACAGAGTTGAACGATCCTTTACACAGAGCAGATTTGAAACACTGTTTTTCTGGAATTTGCAAGTGGAGATTTCAGCCGATTTGAGGTCAATGGTAGAAAAGGAAATATCTTCGTATAAAAACTAGACAGAATGATTCTCAGAAACTCCTTTGTGATGTGTGCGTTCAACTCACAGAGTTTAACCTTTCTTTTCACAGAGCAGTTAGGAAACACTCTGTGAAGCCTGCCAGTGGATATTCGGACCTCTTTGAGGCCTTCGTTGGAAACGGGATTTCTTCATATTATGCTAGACAGAAGATTTCTCAGTAACTTCTTTGTGTTGTGTGTATGCAACTCACAGAGTTCAACCTTCCTTTAGACAGAGCAGATTTGAAACACTCTTTTTGTGGAATTTGCAAGTGGAGATTTCAAGCGCTTCGATGCCAATGGTAGAAAAGGAAATATCTTCGTATAAAAACAAGACAAACTCGTTCCCAGACACTGCGTAGTGATGTGTGTGTTTAACTCACAGAGTTTAACCTTTCTTTTCATACAGCATTCTGGAAACCCTCTGTTTGTAAAGTCTGCAAGTGGATATTTGGACCTCTTAGATGCCTTCGTTGGAAACGGGATTTCCTCATATAATGCTAGAGGGAAGAATTCTTAGTAACTTCTTTGTGTTGTGTGTATTCAACTGACAGAGTTGAACCTTCCTTTAGACAGAGCAGATTTGAAAGTCTCTTTTTGTGGAATTTGCAAGTGGAGATTTCAAGCGCTTTGAGGCCAAAAGCAGAAAAGGAAATATTTTCCTATAAAAACTAGACAGAATCTTTCTCAGAAACTGCTCTGGGATGTGTGCGTTCAACTCACAGAGTTTAACTTTTCTTTTCATTCAGCAGTTTGGAAACACTCTGTTTGGAAAGTCTGCACGTGGATATTTTGACCTCTTTGAGGCCTTCGTTGGAAACGGGTTTTTTCATGTAAGGCTAGACAGAAGGAAATCTCAGTAACTTCCTTGTGTTGTGTGTATTCAACTGACAGAGTTGAACCTTCCTTTAGACAGAGCAGATTCGAAACACTCTTTTTCTGCAATTTGCAAGTGGAGACTTCAAGCGCTTTGAGGCCAAAGGCAGAAAAGGAAATATCTTCGTATAAAAACCCGACAGAATCATTCTCAGAAACTGCTCTGTGATGTGTGCGTTCAACTCACAGAGTTTAACTTTTCTTTTCATTCAGCAGTTTGGAAACACTCTGTTTGTAAAGTCTGCAAGTGGATATCTTGGCCTCTTAGAGGCCTTCGTTGGAAACGGGTTTTTTCATGTAAGGTTAGACAGAGGAATTCCCAGTAACTTCCTTGTGTTGTGTGCATTCAACTCACAGAGTTGAATGATTCTTTACACAGAGCAGTTTTGAGACACTCTTTTGGTGGAATTTGTAAGTGGAGAATTCAGCCGCTTTGAGGTCAACGGTAGAAAAGGAAATATCTTCGTATAAAAACTAGACAGAATGATTCTCAGAAACTGTTTTGTGATGTGTGCGTTCAACTCACAGAGTTTAACCTTTCTTTTCAAAGAGCAGTTAGGAAACACTCTGTTTGTAAAGTCTGCAAGTGGATATTCAGACCTCTTTGAGGCCTTCGTTGGAAACGGGATTTCTTCATATTATGCTAGACAGATGAATTCTCAGTAACTTCCTTGTGTTGTGTGTATTCAACTCACAGAGTTGAACGATCCTTTACACAGAGCAGATTTGAAACACTGTTTTTCTGGAATTTGCAAGTGGAGATTTCAGCCGCTTTGAGGTCAATGGTAGAAAAGGAAATATCTTCGTATAAAAACTAGACAGAATGATTCTCAGAAACTCCTTTGTGATGTGTGCGTTCAACTCACAGAGTTTAACCTTTCTTTTCACAGAGCAGTTAGGAAACACTCTGTTTGTGAAGCCTGCCAGTGGATATTCGGACCTCTTTGAGGCCTTCGTTGGAAACGGGATTTCTTCATATTATGCTAGACAGAAGATTTCTCAGTAACTTCTTTGTGTTGTGTGTATGCAACTCACAGAGTTCAACCTTCCTTTAGACAGAGCAGATTTGAAACACTCTTTTTGTGGAATTTGCAAGTGGAGATTTCAAGCGCTTCGATGCCAATGGTAGAAAAGGAAATATCTTCGTATAAAAACAAGACAAACTCGTTCCCAGACACTGCGTAGTGATGTGTGTGTTTAACTCACAGAGTTTCACCTTTCTTTTCATACAGCATTCTGGAAACCCTGTGTTTGTAAAGTCTGCAAGTGGATATTTGGACCTCTTAGATGCCTTCGTTGGAAACGGGATTTCTTCATATAATGCTAGAGGGAAGAATTCTTAGTAACTTCTTTGTGTTGTGTGTATTCAACTGACAGAGTTGAACCTTCCTTTAGACAGAGCAGATTTGAAAGTCTCTTTTTGTGGAATTTGCAAGTGGAGATTTCAAGCGCTTTGAGGCCAAAAGCAGAAAAGGAAATATTTTCCTATAAAAACTCGACAGAATCTTTCTCAGAAACTGCTCTGGGATGTGTGCGTTCAACTCACAGAGTTTAACTTTTCTTTTCATTCAGCAGTTTGGAAACACTCTGTTTGGAAAGTCTGCACGTGGATATTTTGACCTCTTTGAGGCCTTCGTTGGAAACGGGTTTTTTTCATGTAAGGCTAGACAGAAGAAATCTCAGTAACTTCCTTGTGTTGTGTGTATTCAACTGACAGAGTTGAACCTTCCTTTAGACAGAGCAGATTCGAAACACTCTTTTTCTGCAATTTGCAAGTGGAGACTTCAAGCGCTTTGAGGCCAAAGGCAGAAAAGGAAATATCTTCGTATAAAAACCCGACAGAATCATTCTCAGAAACTGCTCTGTGATGTGTGCGTTCAACTCACAGAGTTTAACTTTTCTTTTCATTCAGCAGTTTGGAAACACTCTGTTTGTAAAGTCTGCAAGTGGATATCTTGGCCTCTTAGAGGCCTTCGTTGGAAGCGGGTTTTTTCATGTAAGGATAGACAGAGGAATTCCCAGTAACTTCCTTGTGTTGTGTGCATTCAACTCACAGAGTTGAATGATTCTTTACACAGAGCAGATTTGAGACACTCTTTTGGTGGAATTTGTAATTGGAGAATTCAGCCGCTTTGAGGTCAACGGTAGAAAAGGAAATATCTTCGTATAAAAACTAGACAGAATGATTCTCAGAAACTGTTTTGTGATGTGTGCGTTCAACTCACAGAGTTTAACCTTTCTTTTCAAAGAGCAGTTAGGAAACACTCTGTTTGTAAAGTCTGCAAGTGGATATTCAGACCTCTTTGAGGCCTTCGTTGGAAACGGGATTTCTTCATATTATGCTAGACAGATGAATTCTCAGTAACTTCCTTGTGTTGTGTGTATTCAACTCACAGAGTTGAACGATCCTTTACACAGAGCAGATTTGAAACACTGTTTTTCTGGAATATGCAAGTGGAGATTTCAGCCGCTTTGAGGTCAATGGTAGAAAAGGAAATATCTTCGTATAAAAACTAGACAGAATGATTCTCAGAAACTCCTTTGTGATGTGTGCGTTCAACTCACAGAGTTTAACCTTTCTTTTCACAGAGCAGTTAGGAAACACTCTGTTTGTGAAGCCTGCCAGTGGATATTCGGACCTCTTTGAGGCCTTCGTTGGAAACGGGATTTCTTCATATTATGCTAGACAGAAGATTTCTCAGTAACTTCTTTGTGTTGTGTGTATGCAACTCACAGAGTTCAACCTTCCTTTAGACAGAGCAGATTTGAAACACTCTTTTTGTGGAATTTGCAAGTGGAGATTTCAAGCGCTTCGATGCCAATGGTAGAAAAGGAAATATCTTCGTATAAAAACAAGACAAACTCGTTCCCAGACACTGCGTAGTGATGTGTGTGTTTAACTCACAGAGTTTAACTTTTCTTTTCATACAGCATTCTGGAAACCCTGTGTTTGTAAAGTCTGCAAGTGGATATTTGGACCTCTTAGATGCCTTCGTTGGAAACGGGATTTCTTCATATAATGCTAGAGGGAAGAATTCTTAGTAACTTCTTTGTGTTGTGTGTATTCAACTGACAGAGTTGAACCTTCCTTTAGACAGAGCAGATTTGAAAGTCTCTTTCTGTGGAATTTGCAAGTGGAGATTTCAAGCGCTTTGAGGCCAAAAGCAGAAAAGGAAATATTTTCCTATAAAAACTCGACAGAATCTTTCTCAGAAACTGCTCTGGGATGTGTGCGTTCAACTCACAGAGTTTAACTTTTCTTTTCATTCAGCAGTTTGGAAACACTCTGTTTGGAAAGTCTGCACGTGGATATTTTGACCTCTTTGAGGCCTTCGTTGGAAACGGGTTTTTTTCATGTAAGGCTAGACAGAAGAAATCTCAGTAACTTCCTTGTGTTGTGTGTATTCAACTGACAGAGTTGAACCTTCCTTTAGACAGAGCAGATTTGAAACAATCTTTTTCGGCAATTTGCAAGTGGAGACTTCAAGCGCTTTGAGGCCAAAGGCAGAAAAGGGAATATCTTCGTATAAAAACCCGACAGAATCATTCTCAGAAACTGCTCTGTGATGTGTGCGTTCAACTCACAGAGTTTAACTTTTCTTTTCATTCAGCAGTTTGGAAACACTCTGTTTGTAAAGTCTGCAAGTGGATATCTTGGCCTCTTAGAGGCCTTCGTTGGAAACGGGTTTTTTCATGTAAGGATAGACAGAGGAATTCCCAGTAACTTCCTTGTGTTGTGTGCATTCAACTCACAGAGTTGAATGATTCTTTACACAGAGCAGATTTGAGACACTCTTTTGGTGGAATTTGTAAGTGGAGAATTCAGCCGCTTTGAGGTCAACGGTAGAAAAGGAAATATCTTCGTATAAAAACTAGACAGAATGATTCTCAGAAACTGTTTTGTGATGTGTGCGTTCAACTCACAGAGTTTAACCTTTCTTTTCAAAGAGCAGTTAGGAAACACTCTGTTTGTAAAGTCTGCAAGTGGATATTCAGACCTCTTTGAGGCCTTCGTTGGAAACGGGATTTCTTCATATTATGCTAGACAGATGAATTCTCAGTAACTTCCTTGTGTTGTGTGTATTCAACTCACAGAGTTGAACGATCCTTTACACAGAGCAGATTTGAAACACTGTTTTTCTGGAATTTGCAAGTGGAGATGTCAGCCGCTTTGAGGTCAATGGTAGAAAAGGAAATATCTTCGTATAAAAACTAGACAGAATGATTCTCAGAAACTCCTTTGTGATGTGTGCGTTCAACTCAGAGTTTAACCTTTCTTTTCACAGAGCAGTTAGGAAACACTCTGTTTGTGAAGCCTGCCAGTGGATATTCGGACCTCTTTGAGGCCTTCGTTGGAAACGGGATTTCTTCATATTATGCTAGACAGAAGATTTCTCAGTAACTTCTTTGTGTTGTGTGTATGCAACTCACAGAGTTCAACCTTCCTTTAGACAGAGCAGATTTGAAACACTCTTTTTGTGGAATTTGCAAGTGGAGATTTCAAGCGCTTCGATGCCAATGGTAGAAAAGGAAATATCTTCGTATAAAAACAAGACAAACTCGTTCCCAGACACTGCGTAGTGATGTGTGTGTTTAACTCACAGAGTTTAACCTTTCTTTTCATACAGCATTCTGGAAACCCTCTGTTTGTAAAGTCTGCAAGTGGATATTTGGACCTCTTAGATGCCTTCGTTGGGAACGGGATTTCTTCATATAATGCTAGAGGGAAGAATTCTTAGTAACTTTTTTGTGTTGTGTGTATTCAACTGACAGAGTTGAACCTTCCTTTAGACAGAGCAGATTTGAAAGTCTCTTTTTGTGGAATTTGCAAGTGGAGATTTCAAGCGCTTTGAGGCCAAAAGCAGAAAAGGAAATATTTTCCTATAAAAACTAGACAGAATCTTTCTCAGAAACTGCTGTGGGATGTGTGCGTTCAACTCACAGAGTTTAACTTTTCTTTTCATTCAGCAGTTTGGAAACACTCTGTTTGGAAAGTCTGCACGTGGATATTTTGACCTCTTTGAGGCCTTCGTTGGAAACGGGTTTTTTTCATGTAAGGCTAGACAGAAGAAATCTCAGTAACTTCCTTGTGTTGTGTGTATTCAACTGACAGAGTTGAACCTTCCTTTAGACAGAGCAGATTCGAAACACTCTTTTTCTGCAATTTGCAAGTGGAGACTTCAAGCGCTTTGAGGCCAAAGGCAGAAAAGGAAATATCTTCGTATAAAAACCCGACAGAATCATTCTCAGAAACTGCTCTGTGATGTGTGCGTTCAACTCACAGAGTTTAACTTTTCTTTTCATTCAGCAGTTTGGAAACACTCTGTTTGTAAAGTCTGCAAGTGGATATCTTGGCCTCTTAGAGGCCTTCGTTGGAAATGGGTTTTTTCATGTAAGGTTAGACAGAGGAATTCCCAGTAACTTCCTTGTGTTGTGTGCATTCAACTCACAGAGTTGAATGATTCTTTACACAGAGCAGATTTGAGACACTCTTTTGGTGGAATTTGTAAGTGGAGAATTCAGCCGCTTTGAGGTCAACGGTAGAAAAGGAAATATCTTCGTATAAAAACTAGACAGAATGATTCTCAGAAACTGTTTTGTGATGTGTGCGTTCAACTCACAGAGTTTAACCTTTCTTTTCAGAGAGCAGTTAGGAAACACTCTGTAAAGTCTGCAAGTGGATATTCAGACCTCTTTGAGGCCTTCGTTGGAAACGGGATTTCTTCATATTATGCTAGACAGATGAATTCTCAGTAACTTCCTTGTGTTGTGTGTATTCAACTCACAGAGTTGAACGATCCTTTACACAGAGCAGATTTGAAACACTGTTTTTCTGGAATTTGCAAGTGGAGATTTCAGCCGCTTTGAGGTCAATGGTAGAAAAGGAAATATCTTCGTATAAAAACTAGACAGAATGATTCTCAGAAACTCCTTTGTGATGTGTGCGTTCAACTCACAGAGTTTAACCTTTCTTTTCACAGAGCAGTTAGGAAACACTCTGTTTGTGAAGCCTGCCAGTGGATATTCAGACCTCTTTCAGGCCTTCGTTGGAAACGGGATTTCTTCATATTATGCTAGACAGAAGATTTCTCAGTAACTTCTTTGTGTTGTGTGTATGCAACTCACAGAGTTCAACCTTCCTTTAGACAGAGCAGATTTGAAACACTCTTTTTGTGGAATTTGCAAGTGGAGATTTCAAGCGCTTCGATGCCAATGGTAGAAAAGGAAATATCTTCGTATAAAAACAAGACAAACTCGTTCCCAGACACTGCGTAGTGATGTGTGTGTTTAACTCACAGAGTTTAACCTTTCTTTTCATACAGCATTCTGGAAACCCTGTGTTTGTAAAGTCTGCAAGTGGATATTTGGACCTCTTAGATGCCTTCGTTGGAAACGGGATTTCTTCATATAATGCTAGAGGGAAGAATTCTTAGTAACTTCTTTGTGTTGTGTGTATTCAACTGACAGAGTTGAACCTTCCTTTAGACAGAGCAGATTTGAAAGTCTCTTTTTGTGGAATTTGCAAGTGGAGATTTCAAGCGCTTTGAGGCCAAAAGCAGAAAAGGAAATATTTTCCTATAAAAACTCGACAGAATCTTTCTCAGAAACTGCTCTGGGATGTGTGCGTTCAACTCACAGAGTTTAACTTTTCTTTTCATTCAGCAGTTTGGAAACACTCTGTTTGGAAAGTCTGCACGTGGATATTTTGACCTCTTTGAGGCCTTCGTTGGAAACGGGTTTTTTTCATGTAAGGCTAGACAGAAGAAATCTCAGTAACTTCCTTGTGTTGTGTGTATTCAACTGACAGAGTTGAACCTTCCTTTAGACAGAGCAGATTCGAAACACTCTTTTTCTGCAATTTGCAAGTGGAGACTTCAAGCGCTTTGAGGCCAAAGGCAGAAAAGGAAATATCTTCGTATAAAAACCCGACAGAATCATTCTCAGAAACTGCTCTGTGATGTGTGCGTTCAACTCACAGAGTTTAACTTTTCTTTTCATTCAGCAGTTTGGAAACACTCTGTTTGTAAAGTCTGCAAGTGGATATCTTGGCCTCTTAGAGGCCTTCGTTGGAAACGGGTTTTTTCATGTAAGGTTAGACAGAGGAATTCCCAGTAACTTCCTTGTGTTGTGTGCACTCAACTCACAGAGTTGAATGATTCTTTACACAGAGCAGATTTGAGACACTCTTTTGGTGGAATTTGTAAGTGGAGAATTCAGCCGCTTTGAGGTCAACGGTAGAAAAGGAAATATCTTCGTATAAAAACTAGACAGAATGATTCTCAGAAACTGTTTTGTGATGTGTGCGTTCAACTCACAGAGTTTAACCTTTCTTTTCAAAGAGCAGTTAGGAAACACTCTGTTTGTAAAGTCTGCAAGTGGATATTCAGACCTCTTTGAGGCCTTCGTTGGAAACGGGATTTCTTCATATTATGCTAGACAGATGAATTCTCAGTAACTTCCTTGTGTTGTGTGTATTCAACTCACAGAGTTGAACGATCCTTTACACAGAGCAGATTTGAAACACTGTTTTTCTGGAATTTGCAAGTGGAGATTTCAGCCGCTTTGAGGTCAATGGTAGAAAAGGAAATATCTTCGTATAAAAACTAGACAGAATGGTTCTCAGAAACTCCTTTGTGATGTGTGCGTTCAACTCACAGAGTTTAACCTTTCTTTTCACAGAGCAGTTAGGAAACACTCTGTTTGTGAAGCCTGCCAGTGGATATTCGGACCTCTTTGAGGCCTTCGTTGGAAACGGGATTTCTTCATATTATGCTAGACAGAAGATTTCTCAGTAACTTCTTTGTGTTGTGTGTATGCAACTCACAGAGTTCAACCTTCCTTTAGACAGAGCAGATTTGAAACACTCTTTTTGTGGAATTTGCAAGTGGAGATTTCAAGCGCTTCGATGCCAATGGTAGAAAAGGAAATATCTTCGTATAAAAACAAGACAAACTCGTTCCCAGACACTGCGTAGTGATATGTGTGTTTAACTCACAGAGTTTCACCTTTCTTTTCATACAGCATTCTGGAAACCCTGTGTTTGTAAAGTCTGCAAGTGGATATTTGGACCTCTTAGATGCCTTCGTTGGAAACGGGATTTCTTCATATAATGCTAGAGGGAAGAATTCTTAGTAACTTCTTTGTGTTGTGTGTATTCAACTGACAGAGTTGAACCTTCCTTTAGACAGAGCAGATTTGAAAGTCTCTTTTTGTGGAATTTGCAAGTGGAGATTTCAAGCGCTTTGAGGCCAAAAGCAGAAAAGGAAATATTTTCCTATAAAAACTAGACAGAATCATTCTCAGAAACTGCTCTGTGATGTGTGTGTTCAACTCACAGAGTTTAACTTTCTTTTCATTCAGCAGTTTGGAAACACTCTGTTTGGAAAGTCTGCACGTGGATATTTTGACCTCTTTGAGGCCTTCGTTGGAAACGGGTTTTTTCATGTAAGGCTAGACAGAAGAAATCTCAGTAACTTCCTTGTGTTGTGTGTATTCAACTGACAGAGTTGAACCTTCCTTTAGACAGAGCAGATTCGAAACACTCTTTTTCTGCAATTTGCAAGTGGAGACTTCAAGCGCTTTGAGGCCAAAGGCAGAAAAGGAAATATCTTCGTATAAAAACCCGACAGAATCATTCTCAGAAACTGCTCTGTGATGTGTGCGTTCAACTCACAGAGTTTAACTTTTCTTTTCATTCAGCAGTTTGGAAACACTCTGTTTGTAAAGTCTGCAAGTGGATATCTTGGCCTCTTAGAGGCCTTCGTTGGAAACGGGTTTTTTCATGTAAGGTTAGACAGAGGAATTCCCAGTAACTTCCTTGTGTTGTGTGCATTCAACTCACAGAGTTGAATGATTCTTTACACAGAGCAGATTTGAGACACTCTGTTGGTGGAATTTGTAAGTGGAGAATTCAGCCGCTTTGAGGTCAACGGTAGAAAAGGAAATATCTTCGTATAAAAACTAGACAGAATGATTCTCAGAAACTGTTTTGTGATGTGTGCGTTCAACTCACAGAGTTTAACCTTTCTTTTCAAAGAGCAGTTAGGAAACACTCTGTTTGTAAAGTCTGCAAGCGGATATTCAGACCTCTTTGAGGCCTTCGTTGGAAACGGGATTTCTTCATATTATGCTAGACAGATGAATTCTCAGTAACTTCCTTGTGTTGTGTGTATTCAACTCACAGAGTTGAACGATCCTTTACACAGAGCAGATTTGAAACACTGTTTTTCTGGAATTTGCAAGTGGAGATTTCAGCCGCTTTGAGGTCAATGGTAGAAAAGGAAATATCTTCGTATAAAAACTAGACAGAATGATTCTCAGAAACTCCTTTGTGATGTGTGCGTTCCACTCACAGAGTTTAACCTTTCTTTTCACAGAGCAGTTAGGAAACACTCTGTTTGTGAAGCCTGCCAGTGGATATTCGGACCTCTTTGAGGCCTTCGTTGGAAACGGGATTTCTTCATATTATGCTAGACAGAAGATTTCTCAGTAACTTCTTTGTGTTGTGTGTATGCAACTCACAGAGTTCAACCTTCCTTTAGACAGAGCAGATTTGAAACACTCTTTTTGTGGAATTTGCAAGTGGAGATTTCAAGCGCTTCGATGCCAATGGTAGAAAAGGAAATATCTTCGTATAAAAACAAGACAAACTCGTTCCCAGACACTGCGTAGTGATGTGTGTGTTTAACTCACAGAGTTTCACCTTTCTTTTCATACAGCATTCTGGAAACCCTCTGTTTGTAAAGTCTGCAAGTGGATATTTGGACCTCTTAGATGCCTTCGTTGGAAACGGGATTTCTTCATATAATGCTAGAGGGAAGAATTCTTAGTAACTTCTTTGTGTTGTGTGTATTCAACTGACAGAGTTGAACCTTCCTTTAGACAGAGCAGATTTGAAAGTCTCTTTTTGTGGAATTTGCAAGTGGAGATTTCAAGCGCTTTGAGGCCAAAAGCAGAAAAGGAAATATTTTCCTATAAAAACTAGACAGAATCATTCTCAGAAACTGCTCTGTGATGTGTGTGTTCAACTCACAGAGTTTAACTTTCTTTTCATTCAGCAGTTTGGAAACACTCTGCTTGGAAAGTCTGCACGTGGATATTTTGACCTCTTTGAGGCCTTCGTTGGAAACGGGTTTTTTTCATGTAAGGCTAGACAGAAGAAATCTCAGTAACTTCCTTGTGTTGTGTGTATTCAACTGACAGAGTTGAACCTTCCTTTAGACAGAGCAGATTCGAAACACTCTTTTTCTGCAATTTGCAAGTGGAGACTTCAAGCGCTTTGAGGCCAAAGGCAGAAAAGGAAATATCTTCGTATAAAAACCCGACAGAATCATTCTCAGAAACTGCTCTGTGATGTGTGCGTTCAACTCACAGAGTTTAACTTTTCTTTTCATTCAGCAGTTTGGAAACACTCTGTTTGTAAAGTCTGCAAGTGGATATCTTGGCCTCTTAGAGGCCTTCGTTGGAAACGGGTTTTTTCATGTAAGGTTAGACAGAGGAATTCCCAGTAACTTCCTTGTGTTGTGTGCATTCAACTCACAGAGTTGAATGATTCTTTACACAGAGCAGATTTGAGACACTCTTTTGGTGGAATTTGTAAGTGGAGAATTCAGCCGCTTTGACGTCAACGGTAGAAAAGGAAATATCTTCCTATAAAAACTAGACAGAATGATTCTCAGAAACTGTTTTGTGATGTGTGCTTTCAACTCACAGAGTTTAACCTTTCTTTTCAAAGAGCAGTTAGGAAACACTCTGTTTGTAAAGTCTGCAAGTGGATATTCAGACCTCTTTGAGGCCTTCGTTGGAAACGGGATTTCTTCATATTATGCTAGACAGATGAATTCTCAGTAACTTCCTTGTGTTGTGTGTATTCAACTCACAGAGTTGAACGATCCTTTACACAGAGCAGATTTGAAACACTGTTTTTCTGGAATTTGCAAGTGGAGATTTCAGCCGCTTTGAGGTCAATGGTAGAAAAGGAAATATCTTCGTATAAAAACTAGACAGAATGATTCTCAGAAACTCCTTTGTGATGTGTGCGTTCAACTCACAGAGTTTAACCTTTCTTTTCAACAGAGCAGTTAGGAAACACTCTGTTTGTGAAGCCTGCCAGTGGATATTCGGACCTCTTTGAGGCCTTCGTTGGAAACAGGATTTCTTCATATTATGCTAGACAGAAGATTTCTCAGTAACTTCTTTGTGTTGTGTGTATGCAACTTACAGAGTTCAACCTTCCTTTAGACAGAGCAGATTTGAAACACTCTTTTTGTGGAATTTGCAAGTGGAGATTTCAAGCGCTTTGAGGCCAAAAGCAGAAAAGGAAATATTTTCCTATAAAAACTAGACAGAATCTTTCTCAGAAACTGCTCTGGGATGTGTGCGTTCAACTCACAGAGTTTAACTTTTCTTTTCATTCAGCAGTTTGGAAACACTCTGTTTGGAAAGTCTGCACGTGGATATTTTGACCTCTTTGAGGCCTTCGTTGGAAACGGGTTTTTTTCATGTAAGGCTAGACAGAAGAAATCTCAGTAACTTCCTTGTGTTGTGTGTATTCAACTGACAGAGTTGAACCTTCCTTTAGACAGAGCAGATTCGAAACACTCTTTTTCTGCAATTTGCAAGTGGAGACTTCAAGTGCTTTGAGGCCAAAGGCAGAAAAGGAAATATCTTCGTATAAAAACCCGACAGAATCATTCTCAGAAACTGCTCTGTGATGTGTGCGTTCAACTCACAGAGTTTAACTTTTCTTTTCATTCAGCAGTTTGGAAACACTCTGTTTGTAAAGTCTGCAAGTGGATATCTTGGCCTCTTAGAGGCCTTCGTTGGAAACGGGTTTTTTCATGTAAGGATAGACAGAGGAATTCCCAGTAACTTCCTTGTGTTGTGTGCATTCAACTCACAGAGTTGAATGATTCTTTACACAGAGCAGATTTGAGACACTCTTTTGGTGGAATTTGTAAGTGGAGAATTCAGCCGCTTTGAGGTCAACGGTAGAAAAGGAAATATCTTCGTATAAAAACTAGACAGAATGATTCTCAGAAACTGTTTTGTGATGTGTGCGTTCAACTCACAGAGTTTAACCTTTCTTTTCAGAGAGCAGTTAGGAAACACTCTGTTTGTAAAGTCTGCAAGTGGATATTCAGACCTCTTTGAGGCCTTCGTTGGAAACGGGATTTCTTCATATTATGCTAGACAGATGAATTCTCAGTAACTTCCTTGTGTTGTGTGTATTCAACTCACAGAGTTGAACGATCCTTTACACAGAGCAGATTTGAAACACTGTTTTTCTGGAATTTGCAAGTGGAGATTTCAGCCGCTTTGAGGTCAATGGTAGAAAAGGAAATATCTTCGTATAAAAACTAGACAGAATGATTCTCAGAAACTCCTTTGTGATGTGTGCGTTCAACTCACAGAGTTTAACCTTTCTTTTCACAGAGCAGTTAGGAAACACTCTGTTTGTGAAGCCTGCCAGTGGATATTCGGACCTCTTTGAGGCCTTCGTTGGAAACGGGATTTCTTCATATTATGCTAGACAGAAGATTTCTCAGTAACTTCTTTGTGTTGTGTGTATGCAACTCACAGAGTTTAACCTTCCTTTAGACAGAGCAGATTTGAAACACTCTTTTTGTGGAATTTGCAAGTGGAGATTTCAAGCGCTTCGATGCCAATGGTAGAAAAGGAAATATCTTCGTATAAAAACAAGACAAACTCGTTCCCAGACACTGCGTAGTGATGTGTGTGTTTAACTCACAGAGTTTAACCTTTCTTTTCATACAGCATTCTGGAAACCCTCTGTTTGTAAAGTCTGCAAGTGGATATTTGGACCTCTTAGATGCCTTCGTTGGAAACGGGATTTCTTCATATAATGCTAGAGGGAAGAATTCTTAGTAACTTCTTTGTGTTGTGTGTATTCAACTGACAGAGTTGAACCTTCCTTTAGACAGAGCAGATTTGAAAGTCTCTTTTTGTGGAATTTGCAAGTGGAGATTTCAAGCGCTTTGAGGCCAAAAGCAGAAAAGGAAATATTTTCCTATAAAAACTAGACAGAATCTTTCTCAGAAACTGCTCTGGGATGTGTGCGTTCAACTCACAGAGTTTAACTTTTCTTTTCATTCAGCAGTTTGGAAACACTCTGTTTGGAAAGTCTGCACGTGGATATTTTGACCTCTTTGAGGCCTTCGTTGGAAACGGGTTTTTTTCATGTAAGGCTAGACAGAAGAAATCTCAGTAACTTCCTTGTGTTGTGTGTATTCAACTGACAGAGTTGAACCTTCCTTTAGACAGAGCAGATTCGAAACACTCTTTTTCTGCAATTTGCAAGTGGAGACTTCAAGCGCTTTGAGGCCAAAGGCAGAAAAGGAAATATCTTCGTATAAAAACCCGACAGAATCATTCTCAGAAACTGCTCTGTGATGTCTGCGTTCAACTCACAGAGTTTAACTTTTCTTTTCATTCAGCAGTTTGGAAACACTCTGTTTGTAAAGTCTGCAAGTGGATATCTTGGCCTCTTAGAGGCCTTCGTTGGAAACGGGTTTTTTCATGTAAGGATAGACAGAGGAATTCCCAGTAACTTCCTTGTGTTGTGTGCATTCAACTCACAGAGTTGAATGATTCTTTACACAGAGCAGATTTGAGACACTCTTTGGGTGGAATTTGTAAGTGGAGAATTCAGCCTCTTTGAGGTCAACGGTAGAAAAGGAAATACCTTCGTATAAAAACTAGACAGAATGATTCTCAGAAACTGTTTTGTGATGTGTGCGTTCAACTCACAGAGTTTAACCTTTCTTTTCAAAGAGCAGTTAGGAAACACTCTGTAAAGTCTGCAAGTGGATATTCAGACCTCTTTGAGGCCTTCGTTGGAAACGGGATTTCTTCATATAATGCTAGAGGGATGAATTCTCAGTAACTTCCTTGTGTTGTGTGTATTCAACTCACAGAGTTGAACGATCCTTTACACAGAGCAGATTTGAAACACTGTTTTTCTGGAATTTGCAAGTGGAGATTTCAGCCGCTTTGAGGTCAATGGTAGAAAAGGAAATATCTTCGTATAAAAACTAGACAGAATGATTCTCAGAAACTCCTTTGTGATGTGTGCGTTCAACTCACAGAGTTTAACCTTTCTTTTCACAGAGCAGTTAGGAAACACTCTGTTTGTGAAGCCTGCCAGTGGATATTCGGACCTCTTTGAGGCCTTCGTTTGAAACGGGATTTCTTCATATTATGCTAGACAGAAGATTTCTCAGTAACTTCTTTGTGTTGTGTGTATGCAACTCACAGAGTTCAACCTTCCTTTAGACAGAGCAGATTTGAAACACTCTTTTTGTGGAATTTGCAAGTGGAGATTTCAAGCGCTTCGATGCCAATGGTAGAAAAGGAAATATCTTCGTATAAAAACAAGACAAACTCGTTCCCAGACACTGCGTAGTGATGTGTGTGTTTAACTCACAGAGTTTAACCTTTCTTTTCATACAGCATTCTGGAAACCCTCTGTTTGTAAAGTCTGCAAGTGGATATTTGGACCTCTTAGATGCCTTCGTTGGAAACGGGATTTCTTCATTTAATGCTAGAGGGAAGAATTCTTAGTAACTTCTTTGTGTTGTGTGTATTCAACTGACAGAGTTGAACCTTCCTTTAGACAGAGCAGATTTGAAAGTCTCTTTTTGTGGAATTTGCAAGTGGAGATTTCAAGCGCTTTGAGGCCAAAAGCAGAAAAGGAAATATTTTCCTATAAAACCTCGACAGAATCTTTCTCAGAAACTGCTCTGGGATGTGTGCGTTCAACTCAGTGTTTAACTTTTCTTTTCATTCAGCGTTTGGAAACACTCTGTTTGGAAAGTCTGCACGTGGATATTTTGACCTCTTTGAGGCCTTCGTTGGAAACGGGTTTTTTTCATGTAAGGCTAGACAGAAGAAATCTCAGTAACTTCCTTGTGTTGTGTGTATTCAACTGACAGAGTTGAACCTTCCTTTAGACAGAGCAGATTCGAAACACTCTTTTTCTGCAATTTGCAAGTGGAGACTTCAAGCGCTTTGAGGCCAAAGGCAGAAAAGGAAATATCTTCGTATAAAAACCCGACAGAATCATTCTCAGAAACTGCTCTGTGATGTGTGCGTTCAACTCACAGAGTTTAACTTTTCTTTTCATTCAGCAGTTTGGAAACACTCTGTTTGTAAAGTCTGCAAGTGGATATCTTGGCCTCTTAGAGGCCTTCATTGGAAACGGGTTTTTTCATGTAAGGTTAGACAGAGGAATTCCCAGTAACTTCCTTGTGTTGTGTGCATTCAACTCACAGAGTTGAATGATTCTTTACACAGAGCAGATTTGAGACACTCTTTTGGTGGAATTTGTTAGTGGAGAATTCAGCCGCTTTGAGGTCAACGGTAGAAAAGGAAATATCTTCGTATAAAAACTAGACAGAATGATTCTCAGAAACTGTTTTGTGATGTGTGCGTTCAACTCACAGAGTTTAACCTTTCTTTTCAAAGAGCAGTTAGGAAACACTCTGTTTGTAAAGTCTGCAAGTGGATATTCAGACCTCTTTGAGGCCTTCGTTGGAAACGGGATTTCTTCATATTATGCTAGACAGATGAATTCTCAGTAACTTCCTTGTGTTGTGTGTATTCAACTCACAGAGTTGAACGATCCTTTACACAGAGCAGATTTGAAACACTGTTTTTCTGGAATTTGCAAGTGGAGATTTCAGCCGCTTTGAGGTCAATGGTAGAAAAGGAAATATCTTCGTATAAAAACTAGACAGAATGATTCTCAGAAACTCCTTTGTGATGTGTGCGTTCAACTCACAGAGTTTAACCTTTCTTTTCACAGAGCAGTTAGGAAACACTCTGTTTGTGAAGCCTGCCAGTGGATATTCGGACCTCTTTGAGGCCTTCGTTGGAAACGGGATTTCTTCATATTATGCTAGACAGAAGATTTCTCAGTAACTTCTTTGTGTTGTGTGTATACAACTCACAGAGTTCAACCTTCCTTTAGACAGAGCAGATTTGAAACACTCTTTTTCTGGAATTTGCAAGTGGAGATTTCAAGCGCTTCGATGCCAATGGTAGAAAAGGAAATATCTTCGTATAAAAACAAGACAAACTCGTTCCCAGACACTGCGTAGTGATGTGTGTGTTTAACTCACAGAGTTTAACCTTTCTTTTCATACAGCATTCTGGAAACCCTCTGTTTGTAAAGTCTGCAAGTGGATATTTGGACCTCTTAGATGCCTTCGTTGGAAACGGGATTTCTTCATATAATGCTAGAGGGAAGAATTCTTAGTAACTTCTTTGTGTTGTGTGTATTCAACTGACAGAGTTGAACCTTCCTTTAGACAGAGCAGATTTGAAAGTCTCTTTTTGTGGAATTTGCAAGTGGAGATTTCAAGCGCTTTGAGGCCAAAAGCAGAAAAGGAAATATTTTCCTATAAAACCTCGACAGAATCATTCTCAGAAACTGCTCTGTGATGTGTGTGTTCAACTCACAGAGTTTAACTTTCTTTTCATTCAGCAGTTTGGAAACACTCTGTTTGGAAAGTCTGCACGTGGATATTTTGACCTCTTTGAGGCCTTCGTTGGAAACGGGTTTTTTTCATGTAAGGCTAGACAGAAGAAATCTCAGTAACTTCCTTGTGTTGTGTGTATTCAACTGACAGAGTTGAACCTTCCTTTAGACAGAGCAGATTCGAAACACTCTTTTTCTGCAATTTGCAAGTGGAGACTTCAAGCGCTTTGAGGCCAAAGGCAGAAAAGGAAATATCTTCGTATAAAAACCCGACAGAATCATTCTCAGAAACTGCTCTGTGATGTGTGCGTTCAACTCACAGAGTTTAACTTTTCTTTTCATTCAGCAGTTTGGAAACACTCTGTTTGAAAAGTCTGCAAGTGGATATCTTGGCCTCTTAGAGGCCTTCGTTGGAAACGGGTTTTTTCATGTAAGGTTAGACAGAGGAATTCCCAGTAACTTCCTTGTGTTGTGTGCATTCAACTCACAGAGTTGAATGATTCTTTACACAGAGCAGATTTGAGACACTCTTTTGGTGGAATTTGTAAGTGGAGAATTCAGCCGCTTTGAGGTCAACGGTAGAAAAGGAAATATCTTCGTATAAAAACTAGACAGAATGATTCTCAGAAACTGTTTTGTGATGTGTGCGTTCAACTCACAGAGTTTAACCTTTCTTTTCAAAGAGCAGTTAGGAAACACTCTGTTTGTAAAGTCTGCAAGAGGATATTCAGACCTCTTTGAGGCCTTCGTTGGAAACGGGATTTCTTCATATTATGCTAGACAGATGAATTCTCAGTAACTTCCTTGTGTTGTGTGTATTCAACTCACAGAGTTGAACGATCCTTTACACAGAGCAGATTTGAAACACTGTTTTTCTGGAATTTGCAAGTGGAGATTTCAGCCGCTTTGAGGTCAATGGTAGAAAAGGAAATATCTTCGTATAAAAACTAGACAGAATGATTCTCAGAAACTCCTTTGTGATGTGTGCGTTCAACTCACAGTAGTTTAACCTTTCTTTTCACAGAGCAGTTAGGAAACACTCTGTTTGTGAAGCCTGCCAGTGGATATTCGGACCTCTTTGAGGCCTTCGTTGGAAACGGGATTTCTTCATATTATGCTAGACAGAAGATTTCTCAGTAACTTCTTTGTGTTGTGTGTATGCAACTCACAGAGTTCAACCTTCCTTTAGACAGAGCAGATTTGAAACACTCTTTTTGTGGAATTTGCAAGTGGAGATTTCAAGCGCTTCGATGCCAATGGTAGAAAAGGAAATATCTTCGTATAAAAACAAGACAAACTCGTTCCCAGACACTGCGTAGTGATGTGTGTGTTTAACTCACAGAGTTTCACCTTTCTTTTCATACAGCATTCTGGAAACCCTGTGTTTGTAAAGTCTGCAAGTGGACATTTGGACCTCTTAGATGCCTTCGTTGGAAACGGGATTTCTTCATATAATGCTAGAGGGAAGAATTCTTAGTAACTTCTTTGTGTTGTGTGTATTCAACTGACAGAGTTGAACCTTCCTTTAGACAGAGCAGATTTGAAAGTCTCTTTTTGTGGAATTTGCAAGTGGAGATTTCAAGCGCTTTGAGGCCAAAAGCAGAAAAGGAAATATTTTCCTATAAAAACTAGACAGAATCATTCTCAGAAACTGCTCTGTGATGTGTGCGTTCAACTCACACAGTTTAACTTTTCTTTTCATTCAGCAGTTTGGAAACACTCTGTTTGGAAAGTCTGCACGTGGATATTTTGACCTCTTTGAGGCCTTCGTTGGAAACGGGTTTTATCATGTAAGGCTAGACAGAAGAAATCTCAGTAACTTCCTTGTGTTGTGTGTATTCAACTGACAGAGTTGAACCTTCCTTTAGACAGAGCAGATTCGAAACACTCTTTTTCTGCAATTTGCAAGTGGAGACTTCAAGCGCTTTGAGGCCAAAGGCAGAAAAGGAAATATCTTCGTATAAAAACCCGACAGAATCATTCTCAGAAACTGCTCTGTGATGTGTGCGTTCAACTCACAGAGTTTAACTTTTCTTTTCATTCAGCAGTTTGGAAACACTCTGTTTGTAAAGTCTGCAAGTGGATATCTTGGCCTCTTAGAGGCCTTCGTTGGAAACGGGTTTTTTCATGTAAGGATAGACAGAGGAATTCCCAGTAACTTCCTTGTGTTGTGTGCATTCAACTCACAGAGTTGAATGATTCTTTACACAGAGCAGATTTGAGACACTCTTTTGGTGGAATTTGTAAGTGGAGAATTCAGCCGCTTTGAGGTCAACGGTAGAAAAGGAAATATCTTCGTATAAAAACTAGACAGAATGATTCTCAGAAACTGTTTTGTGATGTGTGCGTTCAACTCACAGAGTTTAACCTTTCTTTTCAAAGAGCAGTTAGGAAACACTCTGTTTGTAAAGTCTGCAAGTGGATATTCAGACCTCTTTGAGGCCTTCGTTGGAAACGGGATTTCTTCATATTATGCTAGACAGATGAATTCTCAGTAACTTCCTTGTGTTGTGTGTATTCAACTCACAGAGTTGAACGATCCTTTACACAGAGCAGATTTGAAACACTGTTTTTCTGGAATTTGCAAGTGGAGATTTCAGCCGCTTTGAGGTCAATGGTAGAAAAGGAAATATCTTCGTATAAAAACTAGACAGAATGATTCTCAGAAACTCCTTTGTGATGTGTGCGTTCAACTCACAGAGTTTAACCTTTCTTTTCACAGAGCAGTTAGGAAACACTCTGTTTGTGAAGCCTGCCAGTGGATATTCGGACCTCTTTGAGGCCTTCGTTGGAAACGGGATTTCTTCATATTATGCTATTCAGAAGATTTCTCAGTAACTTCTTTGTGTTGTGTCTATGCAACTCACAGAGTTCAACCTTCCTTTAGACAGAGCAGATTTGAAACACTCTTTTTGTGGAATTTGCAAGTGGAGATTTCAAGCGCTTCGATGCCAATGGTAGAAAAGGAAATATCTTCGTATAAAAACAAGACAAACTCGTTCCCAGACACTGCGTAGTGATGTGTGTGTTTAACTCACAGAGTTTCACCTTTCTTTTCATACAGCATTCTGGAAACCCTGTGTTTGTAAAGTCTGCAAGTGGATATTTGGACCTCTTAGATGCCTTCGTTGGAAACGGGATTTCTTCATATAATGCTAGAGGGAAGAATTCTTAGTAACTTCTTTGTGTTGTGTGTATTCAACTGACAGAGTTGAACCTTCCTTTAGACAGAGCAGATTTGAAAGTCTCTTTTTGTGGAATTTGCAAGTGGAGATTTCAAGCGCTTTGAGGCCAAAAGCAGAAAAGGAAATATTTTCCTATAAAAACTCGACAGAATCTTTCTCAGAAACTGCTCTGGGATGTGTGCGTTCAACTCACAGAGTTTAACTTTTCTTTTCATTCAGCAGTTTGGAAACACTCTGTTTGGAAAGTCTGCACGTGGATATTTTGACCTCTTTGAGGCCTTCGTTGGAAACGGGTTTTTTTCATGTAAGGCTAGACAGAAGAAATCTCAGTAACTTCCTTGTGTTGTGTGTATTCAACTGACAGAGTTGAACCTTCCTTTAGACAGAGCAGATTCGAAACACTCTTTTTCTGCAATTTGCAAGTGGAGACTTCAAGCGCTTTGAGGCCAAAGGCAGAAAAGGAAATATCTTCGTATAAAAACCCGACAGAATCATTCTCAGAAACTGCTCTGTGATGTGTGCGTTCAACTCACAGAGTTTAACTTTTCTTTTCATTCAGCAGTTTGGAAACACTCTGTTTGTAAAGTCTGCAAGTGGATATCTTGGCCTCTTAGAGGCCTTCGTTGGAAACGGGTTTTTTCATGTAAGGTTAGACAGAGGAATTCCCAGTAACTTCCTTGTGTTGTGTGCATTCAACTCACAGAGTTGAATGATTCTTTACACAGAGCAGTTTTGAGACACTCTTTTGGTGGAATTTGTAAGTGGAGAATTCAGCCGCTTTGAGGTCAACGGTAGAAAAGGAAATATCTTCGTATAAAAACTAGACAGAATGATTCTCAGAAACTGTTTTGTGATGTGTGCGTTCAACTCACAGAGTTTAACCTTTCTTTTCAAAGAGCAGTTAGGAAACACTCTGTTTGTAAAGTCTGCAAGTGGATATTCAGACCTCTTTGAGGCCTTCGTTGGAAACGGGATTTCTTCATATTATGCTAGACAGATGAATTCTCAGTAACTTCCTTGTGTTGTGTGTATTCAACTCACAGAGTTGAACGATCCTTTACACAGAGCAGATTTGAAACACTGTTTTTCTGGAATTTTCAAGTGGAGATTTCAGCCGCTTTGAGGTCAATGGTAGAAAAGGAAATATCTTCGTATAAAAACTAGACAGAATGATTCTCAGCAAACTCCTTTGTGATGTGTGCGTTCAACTCACAGAGTTTAACCTTTCTTTTCACAGAGCAGTTAGGAAACACTCTGTTTGTGAAGCCTGCCAGTGGATATTCGGACCTCTTTGAGGCCTTCGTTGGAAACGGGATTTCTTCATATTATGCTAGACAGAAGATTTCTCAGTAACTTCTTTGTGTTGTGTGTATGCAACTCACAGAGTTCAACCTTCCTTTAGACAGAGCAGATTTGAAACACTCTTTTTGTGGAATTTGCAAGTGGAGATTTCAAGCGCTTCGATGCCAATGGTAGAAAAGGAAATATCTTCGTATAAAAACAAGACAAACTCGTTCCCAGACACTGCGTAGTGATGTGTGTGTTTAACTCACAGAGTTTAACCTTTCTTTTCATACAGCATTCTGGAAACCCTCTGTTTGTAAAGTCTGCAAGTGGATATTTCGACCTCTTAGATGCCTTCGTT